>NC_000011.10:6423636-6726666 GCF_000001405.40 Homo sapiens | reverse complement strand
TTTTGTTATAGTCTTTCATTTGAAGTCTATTTTAGCTGACATAAGTATAGCTACTCTTGCCCTTTTCTGTTTTCCAGTTGTATGGAATATATTTTCCCCTCCTTTACTATTAGTCTATGTGTGACTTTATAAGTGAAGTGAGTATATTGAAGCCAGCATATAGTTGGGTCTTGTTTATTTATAAATTCACCCAATCAATACCTGTTAACTGGAGAACTGGGATTATTTACATTCAGTGTTAATTTTGATAAATAATTTTGATAATTTACTACTGCCATAGTGTTGCTTGTTTTCGTTTATTTTGAGAGTACTCTCTTTCTTTTTTACTGTCTTACTGTCTTCTTTTGTTGTTAGTAATTTTCTCTGGTAGTATGTTTTAATTTGTTGCTTTTTATTTTTAGTGAACTTATTATAGCCTGTTGTACTGTGGTTAACATGAGGCTTACAGAAAACATCTTATATATATAAAAAATTATTTTTAAAAGATGACAACTTAGACTACATATAAAAGAATATAAACAAACCAAAAAAAAACAACAAATTCTACATTTTAACTCCATGTCCCCATATTTTGACTTTTGGTTGTCTCAATTTACATATTTTAATATCATCTATCTTTTAATAGGTTGCTATACCTATATTTTTCCTCTGGTCTTTGATTCAGGATCTATTATTTTTGATAGATTTGTCTTTTGGGCTTCATACTAGCATGTTAAGTGAATTGCACACTACAATTATAGTAATGGAGTATTCTTGGTTTGTCCGTTTACTTAATTTTTCCAGTGAATTTTATATCTTGAAAAGTTTATCTTTCCACATTAGTGTTTTTTCTTTCAGATTGAAGAACTCCCTTAAGTATTACTTGCAAGATAGGTCTGGTGGTGGTGAATTCGCCCAGATTTTGTTTGTCTAGGAAAGACTTTATCTCTCCTTCATATTTAAAGGGTATTTTTGCTGGATTTAGAATTCCTGGGTGGGAGTTTTCTGTCTTTGGGCATTTTGAAAATGTCACTCCATTCCCTCCTGACCTATATGGCATCCAACAAGAACTCTGTTGCCAGATGAATTGGACTTTCTTCATATGTTATTTGCTTTTGCTTTTTTTTCTGCTTTTACAATCCTTTCTTTGTCTTTGACCTTTTCAAAGTCGTATGCCTTGGAGTAGTCTCATATGGATTGAATGTTTGATGTTCTCAGACCTTTCTGTACCAGGATATGTATATCTTTCTCAAGTTTCAGAAAGTTTTCCTTTATATTTATATATATATTTATATTTATATATATCTTTATATATTTATTTATTTATTTTGAGGCAGGGTCTCACTCTGTCACCCAGACTACAGTACAGTGGCATGATCATGTTCACTGCAACCTCCATCTCCCAGGCTCAAGAGATCCTCCCACCTCAGCTTCCCAAGTAGCTGAGACCACAGGCACATACCACCACGCTCAGCTAATTTTTGAATTTTTCTGTAGAAACAGGGCCTGGCCATGCTGCTCAGGCTGGCTTAAAACTCCTGAGCTCAAGCAATCTACCCACCTCAGCCTCCCAAATTGCTGGGATTACCAGGTGTGGGCCACCATGCCCATCCTGTTTTTGTTTTTTGGGTTTTTTTTTAAATAAGCCTTCTACCACTTACTCTCTTACTCTTGCTCAGCTCCCTCTTGAACAGCAACAATTTTTACCTTTGGTCCCTTGAGGTAATTTTCTATATCTTGCAGGCAGTCTTTGTTCCTTTTCATTATTTTTTCTCATCAGACTATCTACTTTCAAATAGCCAGTCTTTGAGCTCACTGATTCCTTCATCTGCTTAGTTCATTCTGGTGTTGAGAGCCTCTAAAGGGTTCTTTGTTTCAGCAAACGTATGTCTCAGTTCCAATATTTTTGTTTAATTTTTTTTAATTATTGTTTCAATCTCTTTGTTACACTTTCTGACATGCTTCTGAACTGCTTTACCTTTGAGATAATTGAGTTTCTCTTGGGCAGAGAATTCACAGATCACTATCTCATTAGAGTCAGTCACTGGATTTTTGCTTAGTCTTTCTGTGGAGGTAATGGCTCCCTGATTGTTGTTGTTTCTTGTGGGCATGTGCCAATGCCTTTGCATTGAAGGAGAAGTTATTTATTCCAGTTTTCTTTCTTTGGCTTGTTCTGGTTTTTATTTAGTATATTTATTTAGTGAATATTTACCACTAGATTGCTGCCTCCTTTTTCAGTCTAGGTGGTGCCTTAAGCCTAAGTTCACCTCGGCTCTGGTAAATGATTATAGCGTTGCCTGTCCTGAATGGGGGAGGTCTCAAAAGGATTATCTCAGCAATGTGGGAAGGCTGGCTAATGGTTCATGCCCAGGGCACCTATGGAACATACCTCCTACAATGTGCTGCTGCTAAACAGCCACTCTGATTTGGCATCTCCTTTGGCCAAGTTACAGAGCAGAATTCCCTAGGATGTGGATGATATTCTCACTTCCTCCCTTTGTCTTTGCTTGTCCTCAGGGATATTTATCCCTTTAGGTAGTCATGATGCTTCCTGTGGGTTAAGGCAAAGACAGGTCAACTTACAGGGGACTCAAGAAAGTGGGAAAGCTGACTGACCACCTCAATTTCACCTGTTCCAGTGTAGAAACTTTGAGTTGGGTGTCAGGGGAGATTTTCTATGTTCTTAGTACCAAAGAGAATAATGTGTAGGGTCATTACAGATGTGGAAATTTGATTCTCTTACCATCTGCTCAGAGTTTTCCCACTTCTGTGTGGTCCTGGGAACTGCCTCATCCTCATACTTGAGCTCTGGGTTATTGATGGTAAAAATTTCAGTGCTATATATTTGTTTTTGGTTTTCTGAGTGGGGACAGTAAAGCCAGCTTGCCCCTATGCCATAATCTTGCAACTGTAAGTCTTTAATTTTTGTTGTAAATGTCCCTTTTCCACGATCATTCTTTAAGAATATCTCACTATACATAAAATTTGTGTCTGATATTTTCTTTCAGTGAAATAAATACTCCATTCTACTCTCTTTTGGCTTCCACTATAGCTGTTCAGAAATCAGCTCTCTGTTAGGTTTTTAAAGGTAAACTCTTTTTCTACTTGTATTTGTACTTTCTACATGTATTTGTTGTTTTGTTGTTGTTCTTGTTGTTTCTGCAGTTTTATTCTGATGCATCTGATTGTAAAGTTATTTTATTTTACTTTAATTTTTTTACTTAGTGTTTGCAAAGGTCTTAAACTTTGTCTTTAATTTATAATGGAATTTTTTCATTCATTATTGCTTCAGATTATTTACCTCTTCTGTCAGATATTTTTACCAGGTAAATTACTTAAGGCTTTAAAAAATTGTCTTATACATTTCTCTACTTATTTCAAATGGCTTTCATTGGAAAGATTGGTTTGAGCTGCTGAGTTTACCATTAATTAACATGCAGATTTAAATTGTAGAGACATTGAGGAAGAAGAAATGCGCAAGACAAAAATGACTGCAAGATGGTGTTTTACTCTGTTTTGTGTTGCTATAGCAGAGCACTTGAGACATGGTAACTAACAATAAACAAATTTATGGCTCAAAGCTCTGGAGGCTGGGAAGTCCAAGGTCAAGGTGTCAGCATCTTGCAAGGACCTTCTTGCTTTGTCATCACATGGCAGAAGCACAAGAGGCAAAAGGGGACAAAATTCAACCTTTCATAACAGCATTAACCCCACCCATGATGGCATAGCCCTCATGGCCTAATCACCTCTCAATACTAATCATCTCTCCTGCCTCTTAATACTATTAAGATGGCAATTAAATTTCAACATAAGCTTTGGAGAGGACAAACCTTCAAACCATAGAAGATAGAATGACTATTATAGCAATCCGATAGACATGATGAAGGCAACATCTAAGGGAGAACGGATAGAGTGTCAAAAAGAAGTGAAATTAAATAGAGGTTTAAGAGGACAAATGGAAAAGATATTATGTACTAAATTCATGTTAAGAAGAAGGATGAACAAGACGCCCATTGGCCTGGAAGTAAGGTGGTGCCATTCAGCAGGACAAGAATTACAGGAGGAAGGGAAATTGAATAACGTATGAAATTGAAACATGTAAAATCTCATCTCATCTGCTGGTCAAGGATATATACTGAAGGTAGTGAGGGGAAAAACATAACATTAATAAAACATTAAATACAGGGGAGCATTTGAGTCTACAGACACAGATGAAGGTGGCATCAACAGAGAGACAGCTATTAATGTAACAGAAAGATGATATTAACTAGGGAAAATTAAGAGTAAGAAGGGAGTGACAAGCATAAACCAGGTTAGTAGCACATTTAAAAGGGCAGGAAAGCAAATAAATATCATGAAATGCCCTAGGAAGAAGTGACACAGAGACAGGAAGGAAACCAGGCAACACAGATTTCACAGAAACTAGATAATCTGTTGGTTCCATCACTCTTTAAAAAAAAAAAAAAAAAATCAAGCTACCAAACTCAAACTCAAGCATATTTTCAAACTCCGTCTCTCATCTTAATGTTTTACATGCAATTGATTCTATGTAAAAGGAATTGTCAAAATAAGTCTAGTAAGTTGCAACCCACCCTGCAAACCACAAAGGCAATCCACATTGAAAATATCCACAATGATGGCTTGCACACAAAAAAGGGTGTTAAAAAATTTTTGTTAAAACAATTAAATGAGGAATGAGAAAGCCTTGTAGACTTGCATACTAGTATACTTACACTTTTGGCCATGTGGCTGACACTTCCTAAGGTCAGAACAGTCAGCTAACTGAGTGTCTGTTTTTTATGCAGCCATGGCCACAGGAGAGCACACCCCTGATGACCCTCTGCTCAGAGGCAAAAGGAGGCAAGACCTCCAAGAGATGCTGAGAGAAGTGGGCCTGGATGTTGAGTACTGGTTACCCAAGCTGCAGGAACACCTGGGTGTGACCTGTGCCCAGGCCTTACAACACCTAGACAAAAACAACCTCAAGAAGCTGAAATCCCAGACACAACATCCATGGGAGAAAGCTGCTTAATCTGTCACACTCAAAAAGTCTTTCAGCGTTACAGGAGTCTCAGGTGGAGAGGGCAAAGAGAAAGCAGAAGCAGGCAGAACAGGCACTGCAGGAGCTGAGGGACTTGCTGACAGAAGGGAAGCAGAGACAGGAAGAGGCAGTGAGGACAAGAGAAGCAGAGCTGAGGCAAGCAATGGACATCCCTGAAGAGTACTGGCCATCCCCTGAAGAGCCTCTAAGGGAACTCATGGAAAACCTGCAGAGACAACTCAACCTCATGAAGTGGACACTGTGCCACAGGCAAAACCTTCCAGATAGAGATGTGGTGAGATGGGCATCTGGAGGGCTGGCCCTCCAGGGAATTTACAAAGCCAGCCACCAAAGGGGCCTGACAGAGAAGAGAGAGGAGTTGCTCAGTGTCCCCAAAGAGTTCTTACTTTTGGGTCCTCAGCAAGGAACACAAATGAAAACAAAGGAATTCACATCTCCTCAGGCTGAATTCATGTTTACCCAGATGGTAGAGAAGCTGGGCTTTCGTTTAACTACTTCAGCCAAGGACGGAAATTGGGGGTTTAGTCTAGAAGCTGGTTTGGATCACAGCAAACATCCAGAATCCAAGGAAACCCAACAATCAAGTTCTGAGAATTCTTATTTCTGCTCAACCAAGTTCAGCTATATCCCCCTGGCCTCCTGCCACTTTCCCATTGATCAGCTCCAGTTATCCAAGCCTGCTGTCCAGGAATTGAAATGCATTGAAGAGCTTCTGAGTCAGACAACAAACCCAGACAGGTTCTCCTTGCTGAGGCACAGGATCATAAACTTCTTCCACAGGTTTGGCTCTCATGTTAACCAAGGCCCTCTGCACCTGGGAGGAATCTACTGGTGGAAAGCCATTTCAGAGGGTTATTGCACGGAGCAGTTGGCAGAAGTGAGGCAGCAGTCTGCAGAGGCCCTGGACATTTTCATAAGGGACAGCTACAGTGGCTTTGGAGTGAAAGTTGCTGCAGGTGTGAATGTTTCAGACTCTCATTCGAAGACAGCCACTCAGACCAAAACTTCCCAAAACCTCCAAACCAAGGTCCAATTATCTGTGGCCCAAACAGGTGGCCCACCAGAAGCAGATGGCCTTGTCCAGTGGAAAGCTGGCCTCATTGCCAGCAATCAAACCTGGTGTGTCATTGACCGCGGGCTTCAGTTGGTGCCAGTTTGGGACATTATCCTCTCTAGCCACAGAAGCAATTTTAAGGATCCTCTTCAGGTGGCTAACTTCCTGAAAGACAGCTACACTGCTCTGACTAGCATCACTGCCCAGATCCAGAATGGGGAAGAGTTACTGAGTGCTGGGAAGGAGGCCAGGGTTTTTCTAGAGGATGTAAAATCTTGGGAGGTATCTGATCCTGAAGAGCAACTTAAAAAACTGATAAATTTCATGAAAATGTTGAGTCAAAAACTAAAAAGTTATGACACTTGGATTAATATATGTCTCACAGATTAGAGTCTGCAGAATTTTCTAGTAAACACCATCAACTTTTGCAAAAAGTCTTCCATTTATAAAACTAAATGTATTAAATCTCATTTGCGCAGCCTTCTGGATCCTCACATCTACAGAGTGACAAACTTTCCTCAGGCTCACTTCATCATGCAGTGGATCTTCCAGTCAGATTCAGAGCAGGAGCAGGTGAATATTTCCCAATTTTCTCAATTAATTGAGATCTTAAAAGAAACCCAGAATAACCTCATGGAAGTAAAGGTCAAATCTGAGTCCCCAGAAACAGTGGAGGAAGCTCAAAGAAAGTCCACTTATGAGGTCAGCTTGGCTCTCAGCTGCTTCTTGAATTATCTCCAAAAAACAGAGCAGACAGACACACAACTCTTGCTACTTTCCATTGCAGCTGCTGCAGGATATCATGTGATCAACAATACTTTTCAGAGTCTCTTGGGGTGTGATGAGTTAAGCTTCCTACTGGATGAAATGCAAACCGCCCAAAATAAATACCAGGAGCTTAAGAATATTTGCAGCTATAGGGCTCAGGCATTCCTGGTTCTCACAGGTCTGACAGCCACAGTTGGAGACACAGCTATTTCTTCAGAAGAGAAAACACAACGCATGTCATTAATGAGACATCACATGGGACAATCATTGTCCAAAGAAGTTGCACATGTCCTCACCAAACCTGGAGCAGATCACGATTGGGAAAACCTAGAGAAAGACTTGAGATTGCTCATTAATGGGGATTATGAAGAAGTCACCATCTCTTCTTTGCAAATGGAAGAGGTGAGCAAGCAAAGTCTCTTCTATGGAAAGAAACAGCCCCATGAACCACATGACAATGAAAATAACAAATGGGAGATGATAAAAAATGGAGCCTTCCTAGACTTACTCCAGCATCTAGGTCTAGAACATTACTACCCCAAAAAATTGAGCAAAGCTAATTTCCATCTCATCTATAAGACGTCTGTGTATAACACCCAGCCCAGCTCTGAACAGGAGCTTCCCTTCTATTTCCTGCAGAAACTACTGATGATGGATTATGAGCTGAGATACCTAGTCTTCAAAGATGATAGAAACACAGAACACCAAGTACATCCAAATGCTTCAGATCAGGAAGATGAGGCTTTTGACCCATATGAAAACTTTTTTGAAGACAGTGATAGTCCCACTAAATCTTCATCCACTGAGCCTAGCCCCCACATTCACCCAGTGGATATTCAGATGACAATTTTTCACTGTGCAGATAATTTTGCCAGACAATATATTTTGGCCAAACTTTCCACTTGTCAGTTTGCCCTCCCCCTTTTGGTGCCTAATCCCTGTACTTCTCAGATTGAATTCTCTCTCTGGTCTCTCCGTCAAATTACAAGAAGTTGGCAGGAAGCAAGGAAATCACCAAAAGGGAAGAACTATTATAAGAATCAGCAGATGTGCTGTGTCTCTACCTCAATTGTGTCCTTCGTAAGAGTTGGAAATGGCCTCTCTGCTTCTAAATCTCAGATTATGAACTGTCTTCTCAGTAAACGGAAACATGATGTGTTTTTTCACCGACACTGCACAGGAAGCAGGAAAGACTGCCTCTTGATGGGGGGCATGGTAGAGATCTGTTGGTTCTGTCCAGGAGGGGAAGATGAGGACAGATTTGACAACTGTGTGACCTTCACCAATCTTCATGGAGATGCAAAAGAACATGAGCAGCAGCTCAGCTTCCTGAAGGAGGTGTCTACTGTCATTGTGGTCCTCATGTCAGCCTCCGATGACAATGAAGGAAACCGAAAAATTGTCCGTAACTTGTGGCAGTCATCAAGGCCATTGATCTGCTTGCTCGATGACAAAGAAGCAACCATGACCAATATTTCTGGCCAAAGAATGAGAATGGGTATCAAGAATAGAAATGAGGCAGAATTAACAGAGGAACTCACAACTACAATCAGACATTTGCTAGAACTCTCAGATACTGCTCTCAGCTTGGAGGACTGTTCCCAGATTGCTCACCAGCAAGGATTTCTTATCGATGAAGACCAGAGAGACTGCAAGGAAGCCAAAGAAAAGGCACAGGCTCTAATGGCCTTCCTGGGGAAAATGAAATTATCTCAGATTAAGGAAAAATTACTACCCCTTCAGGGACAACTGTGGCACCACTGGTGTAAGAAGGACAAAGAACTCTATCATCTTAGAGAAAAGGGAAATCAGAGCATTGAACAACACAAGAGTGAGATTGAGACAGATAAACAAATAATACGGCATGAACAGTTGGCCAGAGCCCTTCCTCTCAATGATTTAATGCAATCTGTCCTTCAGTTTCTCCAAGAGCATTCAGAAATTCACACCAAACTGTACTTCTTGCAGTGGCTGAGTGTATTTTTGGACAAACTGACTGCAGGACACTTGGAAGAACTGCATGAGAAGCAAAAATATTGGTGGTCACTGGTTCAAACAGTAAAGCAAAAGGCACCTAATAGTCACTCCCTGATATGCCTGCAAAGTGAGATAGAAGCCATTTCCACAGAGATTAGTGACTGTACTTTGGGAATTGAGCAACTTATCAGAGAAGTTGGTCAGATTTATGAAGCTCTGGAAGAAGCTTCCTCCATAAAAAAGATTTTTTTCTCGCTTCCCCAAATTGCCGCAGACCTGATGATATCTGGTGTTCCCATTGAGCTGATGGATGGGGATGCAGCATATGTACCTCTAACATGGGTGGCAGCTGTTTTTGACAAGGTCTCTGAGAAACTTGGAGACAAACGGCTATTTGTTCTTTCTATCCTTGGCTTGCAGAGCTCAGGGAAATCCACCGTGCTGAATGCCCTTTTTGGGCTTCAGTTCACTGTTAGTGCAGGCAAATGTACCCAAGGGGCCTATATGCAGCTCCTCAAGGTGGAGGAGACATTCACGGAGGAACTTGGCTTTGACTTTGTGCTTGCTGTGGACACAGAAGGACTTCGGGCACCAGAACACAGCAACAAATCCAAGGATAGGGACAATGAGTTGGTAACTTTTGTCATTGGACTTGCAAACTTGACTCTGATCAATATTTTTGGGGAGAATCCATCAGAGATGCAAGATATCCTACAAATAGTTGTCCAAGCCTTTCTGAGAATGAAACAAGTAAAAATCTTTCCAAGTTGCCTCTTTGTCCATCAGAATGTGGGGGAAGCTACAGCTACGGACCAAACTATGGATGGACGAAGACGGCTAGAGCAGAAACTAGATGAAATGGCAGCAATAGCTGCTGAACAAGAACAGTGCTTAGACGTAACCTGCTTCAGTGATGTCATTAGGTTTGATGTCAATACTCACGTCTACTACTTTGCTCACCTCTGGGATGGCAACCCCCCAATGGCCCCTCCCAATCCTCGCTACAGCCACAATGTACAGCAACTGAAAAGTAGAATTCTTATGACTGCCACACAGGAATCCAGGGGAAACATCATGAAGATATCAGATGTAAAATCCCGAGTTCAAGATTTGTGGAGAGGCCTGATGAACGAGAACTTTATTTTCAGTTTCAGGAACACCCAAGAAGTCATGGCCATGAACAAACTGGAAACCATGTATAACCACTGGACCTGGGAGCTGAGGAGTCACGTGCTGGGCTTGCAGAACCAGCTGATCAACCAGATTCAGAATGGAAAAATCCAGACACTTGAAGCAAGCACATTTGAGGTTCTAGTTACAGAAAAATATGAAGTTGTCAAGCAAGAACTTGAAAAATATTTTAATGAAGGCCCATGTAGCAAAATACTGATTCAATGTAAAGCAAACTTTGAAAATAAGCTAATAGTCCTTAAAGAAAAACTTATTTCAGATAGCAAAAGACAAGCCAATGAACTCATTAGTTTTAAAAACCAAAGTCAAGAAAGGCTGAATAAGAAAAAGACAGATTATGAAAAAGAATTATTGGAAAAAAGCCGGAAGTTGGCTTTAACTGTAAAGGGCAAAGAATTGAGTGAGGAAGAGTTACATGAGAAATTCAATCAACTTTGGAAAAAGTGGGTGTGTGATGTATCCACAACTCTCCCGCAAGTTACAGAGCCTGACATTGATTTGGATTCTGAAAACATCCTTTGGGAGTATTTCAAAAACAAGACGAATGTCGTGGGTCTACTGACAAATTCTGCAGAGAAGTTTCAAATCAATTATGATAAACATATCAAGGTGAATAAGAAATATAACCATATCCCAATGACATTAACAGTCTTTGAGAAAGAGTTCATTAATATGACTACTGACTACATTGTTTCAAGATTTAATAAAATTATTAACAACATGTGGAAACAACAGTGTGGTTACAATCCAAATTATTTCCATGAGATTCTAAAGACAATAGAAGAAGAAGTGAAATCTGCCTCTACTCAGAAGAGATACACATTTACAAATACATTTATCATTGACTTATGTGTGTGTTTATTTCAAAGAGCAAGAGAGAATTTTAAGGAAATGCACAGGGCATTCAAGAGAGCAAATGATCCTGTAAACTACCTAGAAAGTAAGAAAGATGATTTCTTCACGAGTTTTAAGATCTCCTGTCAAGGAGCAACCTCCATCAAAACATTTGTTGATGTTCTGTGGTATAAGCTCACTCCTGCAGTCTCCACTACTATATGGGAGGACATGACCTTTAAAATTGCGGGGGACATGCGAGCTACCTGCCCTGCGTTCAATGGAAACAGGACTAACCTGGAGAAACACATTCTCTTCTCTCTGGCAGAAGAAGAAAACTTTGATAATTACTGGGAATACCTTCATAATTCAAAATCGTTTTTTAGGAGTTACATCAAAAATCATATTAAAAGATATTGTTCAGACAATGGAGGTGAAAAAATGAAGACTTTTTTTGAAAAAAGCTTAATTGATATCAAGAATACCATCCTCTCTGCCATCCATGAATCCACATCAGTAGCTAAAGATAAAAGCAGCACTGCTTCTGAGTGGTTGGATTTATTCTGTGATTGCCTGGGGTGCAACTTGATCTTTCCACGAAGGGACTTGATAAGCATTGAACACCAGGAGATAAAACATACTGAATTTCTTAAAGAAGCCATGAGTGCAGCTTTGGATCTCACAATGAAGAAAATAGAACAGAATTATTCAAGTAAGCCTATAGAAGCAATGGTTTCTAAAATTGAGAAAATGCTCTCTGAACATCTCTGTGGCTGCTGGAAACAGTGTCCCAGCTGTGGAGCAATTTGTACAAACACAATTCCTACACATGAAGGAGACCATAGTGTTCCCTTCCACCGTCCTCAGGCTGTCAATGGGGAGGAATGGTATGAAACAGATGATTTTGTCATTGATTGCTGTACTAGTTTGGTTGCAAGTGATTGTTTGTTGGTTTTGAGGGATGGCAGGAATTTCCCATTTAAGAACTATCGACAAGCAGGAGGGGATTATGCCATGTGGAGCATCACCCCAGATACCTCCATCCAGCTATACTGGAAATGGTTTGTCTCTCACTTCAGATCAAATCTAGAAGAAAAATATCAGAAAAAATTTGCAGGTAAAGGTAAAATCCCCAATGCATGGGCCAAAATCACAAAGCAAGATGTGCTTGAAGACTTGAAAAAACAGTAATACTCAGTGACCACAAAAGAGCCCCAGTGTCTGAAGAAAAGAGGCAGTGTACCTGAACAATCCAAAAACAACTACTCATTACAATTAGAACCTTCATCATTTCCATGTTTAAAATGAAATGTGTAAAAATCAATCAATTAACACATTAAGAGATGAAAATTTCCAGTAAAAGGACTTCATTTCTCTCTGCCTCAATTCCTCTAGTTTAAAAACAACTTACTAAAATCTGTTAATATATGATGAAATCAAATAACATTCATTTTAGAAACCTATTTTGTATTTTAAACTATTATTCTAGATATTGCTTTTTTATTTTAAAATATTTAAGTATCAGAGAAAGTCATTTTAACAGAGAAAAATCAAAATCATTTCAGGCTGCAACAAATTTCTATAGAATAACTGTATCAGTATTTCAACCAATATACATGTCTTGACTGAAAGCTATAAACTGGCTCACTGCAACGTCCACCTCCCGGGTTCAAGTGATTCTCCTGCCTCAGCCTCCTGAGTAGCTGGAACTACAGGCACACACCATCACTCCTATTTTTTTTTGTATTCTTAGTAGAGACAGGGTTTCACTGTGTTGGCCAGGCTGGTCCTGACCTCAAGTGATCCACCCATCTCGGCCTCCCAAAGTGCTGGGATTACAGGCATGAGCCACTGAGCCCAGCCAGACTTTTCAATGTTTAAGTGGATTTTTTTCACCCTCTAAAGTTTTAAGGAAAAGTTATTAATCTTTAAATGTAAAAACATTCATGAGTCCCAAGCATAGCAATATTTAGGCATATTCTGTTCTAGGAAAGAATAAAGCAGAGACTTGACCAAGATAGGGATGTCATCAATTCAGGAAACATTATCAAGCAAATATGGAAAGTAGAAATCAAATAACTGTTTTTCTCATTAACTTTCACCCTGTTCTTCCCTGGTATGTTGGCAATTCCCTGCGCATGCTAAGAAAAAAAAAAAAACAGTCACAAAGCTTTGTTATTCAAAGCTTGGTGTTATGTACAAGTCTGAGAATTGGCTTTTGGAAAAAAATTTATGATGACCAAATAAAATGTACCATTTTAATGAAGTCTGTGGACAAGGTTCAATTAGATTGGTTATTTTAAAATGATTCATTGATTATTTTAAACTGATTACTTAAAGAAAAATATCAAAAAGTATACAGTTTTAAGGCCGGGCATGGTGGCTCATGCCTGTAATCCCAGCCCCCTGGGAGACAGGGCAGGCAGATCACCTGATGTCAGGAGTTTGGGACCAGCCTGGCCAACATGATGAAACTCCATCTCTACTAAAAATACAAAACTTAGCCAAGCATGGTGGCAGGCACCTGTAATCCCAGCTACTTGGGAGCCTGAAGCAGGAGAATGGCTTGAACCTGGGAGGCAGAGTTTGCAGTGAGCTGAGAACAAGCCACTGCACTCCAGCCTGGGTGACAGAGCGAGACTCCGTGTTGAAAAAAAAAAAAAAAAAAAAGTATACAGTTTTTACAAATCTCCTAATACACTTAACTGGGTTCTAATATTTCAATAAGGAATTTATTTTTATACATAAAAGTGTAATGAATGCTTTCCTCCAAATCGGGCATATATGTGACTGTTCACACCATTTGAGCCATAAATTCATAATTAGAATAAAAATGAAGAACACTCTGAATCCAACCAGGGCCTGAGAAGGGAAGGAAATCACCCTTCTGCAAACCTACACCTTATGCTAGGTTCTCAAAGCTGATGATCTAAAGGAATCCTGGTGCAAAGAAGACAATTTATTCATGTTGGACATAAATGCACCCGTTGGCTTCCATTTACAGGTGTACTCTATCTTCCATAAACAGTGAAAATAGACAGCCCAGGGAGCAGTAACCAAGTGACTTGGATCTTCAGAGCATGGAGATAGGAATGCTGACTCTATCTCCTTTGTCCTCTCAAAGGGCTTCAAGCCTATTCTCAATGTCAGGTCAAATGACTCATCTCTCCAGAAAAAGTTTGAGGACAGAAAAATTACAAAGGAAACATGTTCTTGGAGAGTATAGTTTTTCTTTTGTTCTCTGGAAAATAATGTTAGTGAGAGTTGGAAGGATCTCCTAAAACAACAAAATGGAAATATGATAGAAGCAGAACCCCTGCCCCACATGGTGCCTGTCTCTCACATCACTGTAACCTTAAAAACTGTGTAGGGGCCAGCCCCACAGGGTTGGTGGGTTTCTCCCCATGTGCAGAGACAAGAGAACGTAGAAATAAAGACGCAAGACAAAGAGGTAAAAGAAAAGACAGCTGGGCCCAGGGGACCACTACCACCAAGACGCGGAGACCGGTAGTGGCCCTGAATGTCTGGCTGCGCAGTTATTTATTGGATACAAAGCAAAAGGGGCAGGGTAAAGAGTGTGAGTCATCTCCAATGATAGATAAGGTCACGTGGGTCACATGTCCACTGGACAGGGGTCCCTTCCCTGCCTGGCAGCCAAGGCAGAGAGACAGAGGGAGAGAGAGAGAGACAGCTGACACCATTATTTCTGCATATCAGAGACTTTTAGTACTTTCACTAATTTTGCTACTGTTATCTAAAAGGCAGAGCCAGGTGTACAGGATGGAACATGAAAACGGACTAGGAGCGTGACCACTGAGGCACAGCATCACAGGGAGACGGTTAGGCCTCCAGATAACTGCGGGCGGGCCTGACTGATGTCAGGCCCTCCACAAGAGGTGGAGGAGTAGAGTCTTCTCTAAACTCCCCCGGCGAAAGGGAGACTCCCTTTCCTGGTCTGCTAAGTAGTGGGTGTTTTTCCTTGACACTGACGCTACCGCTAGACCACAGTCCACTTGGCAAAGGGAGTCTTTCCAGACACTGGCATCACCACTAGACCAAGGAGCCCTCTGGTGGCCCTGTCTGGGCATAGCAGAAGCCTCGCACTCTTCTGGTCACTTCTCACTGTGTCCCCTCAGCTCCTATCTCTGTATGGCCTGGTTTTTCTTAGGTTATGATTGTAGAGCAAGGATTATTATAATATTGGAATAAAGAATAATTACTACAAACTAATGATTAATGATATTCATATATAATCATATCTAAGATATATATCTAGTATAACTATTCTTATTTTATATATATTATCATATATATAATATATATTATAATATAATATAGTATAGTATATTTTATATATTATACTGGAACAGCTCGTGCCCTTGGTCTCTTGCCTCAGCACCTGGGTGGCTTGCCGCCCACAAACTGCTCACTGTTCAATTACCATTTTCAGAATGCTTTTTATGTTTGTTTGATGAATTCATAAAAGTCTCTAATGTGAAATAAGCCAAGCACAGAAAGACAAATAATGCATGTTTGGCCGGGTGTGGTGGCTCACGCCTGTAATCCTGACACTTTGGGAGGCCGAGGCGGGCAGATCCCCTGAGGTCAGGAGTTTGAGACCACCCTGGCCAACATGGTGAAACCTCGTCTCTACTAAAAATACAAAAACAATTAGACAGGCGTGGTGGCAGGCGCCTGTAATTCTAGCCACTTGGGAGGCTGAGGCAAGAGAATTGTTTGAACCAGGGAGGCAGAGGTTGCAGTGAACCGAGATCGTGCCATTGTAATCCAGCCTGAGCAAGAGAGCAAGACTTGGTCTCAAAAGAAAAAAAAAAAGATAAATAACACATGTTCTCTCATAGGTCAGTACTAAAAGAGTTGCTCTCATAGAAGTAAACAGAACAGTGGTTACTAGAGGCTGGGAAGGGAAAGGCTGTAAAAGGGATAGGGAGAGGTTGGTTAAAGAATACAAAATTACAGCTAGATAGGAGGAATAAGTTCTAGGGTTCTATAGTTCTGGAGGGTGACTATAGTTAGCAATAATTCATTGTATATTTTCAAAAAGTGAGAAGAAAAGATTTTAATGATCTTAACATAAAGAAATGATCAATGTTTAAGGTGATAGATATGCTAATTACCCTGATCTAATCATTACACATTATATACATGTATCAAAATCTCACCCTGCACATACACCATGGAATACCATGCAGCCATAAAATGAACAAGATTATGCCTTTTGCAGGAACATAGATGGAGCTGGAGACCATTGTCCTTAGCAAACTAATGCAGGAACAGAAAAATAAATACTGCACGTTCTCACTTATAAGTGGGAGCTAAATGATGAGAACTCATGGACTCAAAGAGAGGAACAACAGACACTGGGACCTACCTGAGAGTGGAGGGTGGGAGGAGAGAGAGGACCAGAAAGATGAAGAAGCAGGTATAAGCCAAATGTTGAGAGTTAGAGAATGCCAGCCTGCAGTTGTCATCACCCAGGCTTAGTACCTGGGTGATGAAATAATCTGTACAACAAACCCTCATGACACGAGTTTACCTATATAACAAATCTGCACATGTAACCCTGAGGCTAAATAAAAGTTTTTTAAAATCTCACTCTGTACTGCATAAACATGTATGAATATTATGTGTGAATTAAACGTTTTTAACATCCTTTAACAAGGTATCATATATATGTTAACCTTGACTTTCAAACCAAAATTAGTGTGTATAAAATTTCAAAAGTCTTTGATAAATTCCTCAGGATTTTAAGCTGCATGGTTATTAAATGAGATTCAGAGGCCGTTCTCAAGAAATCACACAAAAGATGGGAAAAAGGTAAATTGGGATAAAGCAAAGATGCCTGTGTAGAGATGGGGATTTCTGTGATAGAAGTGGAGAGAGTAGCGCTGCCATCAAGGTGGGGTTAGGATTGGAGAGGATTAGTGTCAGTGGGTTGGGTGGCACTGGGGCGAGAGACCTCAGGAGTCAGGAGGGATGAGATCATCAAGAAGGGGAGACACCTGCGTTCAAAATCCTCACTCTGTAAACATATTAGACCAGTCTTTCTAGTTCTAAGTTTGTACGATTATCAGATTTATTTATTTTGAGATGGAGTCTCACTCTGTTGCCCAGGCTGGAGTGCAGTAGTGGTGCGATCTCGGCTCACTGCAACCTCTGCCTCCCGGGTTCAAGTGATTCTCCTGCCTCAGCCTCCTGAGTAGCTGGGATTACAGGCGCATGCCACCACGCCTGGCTAATTTTTGTATTTTTAGTAGAGACGGGGTTTCACCATGTTGGTCAGGCTGGTCTCGAACTCCTGACCTCGTGATCCACCCGCCTCGGCCTCTCAAAATGCTGAGATTACAAGTGTGAGCCACCATGCCCGGCTGATTATCAAATTTATTTACTGATCTACTAATCATCATGGTACAAGTAATTCAAAATGAAAATATCATCTATTAACAAATTGTTTTGTGAAACCAAAAAAAAGGGGGGGGTGGTCAGGGGGAGACACTGGGTCTAGGTGCAGCTCACAGGATTAGAGGTAGCTAGAGTTATGACATTGGCAGGAACAGGGCTCTCATGGTCAGTGGAATGGGGCAGAGTCATTGCAAGTGGGAAACAGAGACATGGGAGTTGGGGATCACTTCAGTAGATTTAGGGATGTTCCAGTCAGTTAAAGCAGAGAACCAAGTACAGTGGGAAAGAAGGAGTCACAAGGCCTGTAGAAAAGGGAAGCAGGGTGATGGATTCTAGAACAACATCAAATCACATGAATAAGTTGTGAGTTACTTACATGTGGAATCTAAATTTGAAATCATAGAAGTAGAAAGTAGAATGTTTGTGGTCAGGTGCGGTGGCTCATGCCAGTAATCCCAGAACTTTGGGAGGTTGAGGCAGGCGGATCACATGAGGTCAGGAGTTGTAGACCAGCCTGGGCAGCACAGTGAAGCCCCATCTCTACTGAAAATACAAAAATTAGCCGGGTGTTGTGGCGGGCGCCTGTAATCCCAGCTACTCAGGAGGCTGAGACAGGAGAATCACTTGAACCTGGGAGGCAGAGGTTGCAGTGAGCTGAGATAGCTCTACTGCACTCCAGCTTGGGCGGCACATGGAGACTGTCTCAAAAACATAAAAAAATAAAAAGAAAAAAGAAGGAAAGTAGAATGTTTGTTACCAGAAGCTGGGATGGTGGGTGGGGGAAAGCAGAAGTGTAGGTCAAAGGGTACAAAGAGAGAGAGGAAGCAAGAAGAAGGTAATTCAAGATGAAGAAGCAGGTATAAGCCAAGTGTTGAGAGTTAGAAAATGCCAGCCTGTGAAAGCCAGGCTGTTAGTTGTGCGAAGGGCCTCCACTATTTACTACATGTATGACCTTGGATGAGTTAGTTAACCTGTCTCTGCTTCATTTCCTTCATACATAAAATGGTGCAACCTCAGTGAAGTGTTAAGAATAACGTGAAACAATACATATGCCTGAAACATGGTACACGTGCCAATAATGTTAGGTAGTAGCAATGCCAACAACAGCAGAAGCAGCAATAACCGCAGCAAAAGTCACGTTAATAGAAGTAATTATAGCATTTATTAACATTATTATTGCTATTATACTGAAATGTAGTTGTGGCTACACTCCATCTTAATTGTTAAGGTCCTGAAGAAGAGGGTCCAAGTTCTTTTTTTTTTTTTTTTTTTTTGAGATACAGTCTTGCTCTGTCGCCCAGGCTGGAGTGCAGTGGTGCAATCTCGGCTCACTGCAACCTCTCAGGCTCAAGCGATTCTCCTGCCTCAGCCTCCCGAGTGGCTGGGATTACAGGCACCTGCCACCACTCCCAGATAATTTTTATACTTTTTAGTAGAGAGGAGGTTTTGCCATGTTGGCCAGGCTGGTCTCAAACTCCTGACCTCAGGCGATCTGCCTGCCTCAGCCTCCCAAAGTGCTGGGATTACAGGTGTGAGCCACCACGCTGGGCCAGTCCAAGTTCTTTATTTTGACTGAAACAGTGTTTATAAATGTGCTTTCCTTATTGTTTCCTGTATCTATAGTTTATTTTCTCTGAATAGGATTTTTAAAATACAATAGAATTAAAATGTAAACCTCAAAAAAGGGGTGAGGAATGGAGGGAAGATATGTGAGTAGGCCAGGACAGAATGAGAGCGTCGTTGTGGGTTCCTGAGGCAACAGTTATCCAATGTCATTGTTATTTTTAATGAAATTCAAGGAATTTGCATTTATTCCAAATTGGAAAAGATGTGAACCAGGAACAACCTGCCTGACAGTTTATGTATCTTTGGCGATTTTCCTTTGAACCATGGGAAAAATCATGTTTATCTTGTAGTTTACATTGTAATTCTCATCCACTCCTCTGTGAAGACGTGGAACTGTGCCACCCAGAACCTCCTGCAAGAGAAGACTTGCTGCCCAACTGAGGGGAATGAAGTAAGCAGCCAGGCTTCAGCTGTCAGATCTTCCCAATCTGCCTCAATTGCAGGGAGCCCCTTCACCTGAGGTAATGCCCTTCCTGGGGTAGCCTGTATCCAGAGGCTGAGACAGAAAAGAAAGACCCAGCCATTGTAGCCTGACACAGGATGCTTTGTTGGTCTTCACTCTACAGAGCTCTCCACCAGGTTCAGGGAAGGTTTGTAAGGCCTGCATCACGGCTCAATGTCTTTCTCTGCCAAATCCTACTTTTGCCCCTTTTCTTCACAGGCGTTGATCCCTAATAAACATCTTGCCCTCCACACTGTTCTACCGTCTGCTCTTGGGGAAATCAACCTGCAACCTACTTCAAGGCATTGGTAGATATTGCTATGTCAAGATAGATTTGGACAATGGGGTGATGGATACTAAAGAGGTAGTGCAAAAAGAAAATGAGGGGCATACAACATTCTCCTCTTCCCAACACCTGTATGAAGAAAGCAGCATCCTTTTGAGGAGTGAGAGAATACAGATCTTTCAGAAGTGAGCAGCAGGCAGGAAAGTGGCCTACAGCCCTGTTGAGAGCAGCAGAGAGGAGCATGAGACATAGCTGCCAGATGGGAAATTCATTAGTAAGTGATCATTAGAAAACAGGAAACTGGTGGATGAAAATAAAAGAAGTAAAACTGATAAGCAAGTAAGAACAGATATTTCTTCTACGTGGCTTTCGAATTGGGGGTAGGAGGGGTGGAGTCAAGGAATGAAGCCTAGGCCTTGCAAATGCATCCCTTAGGAAAAGTGAAATGGAAGTAACGGTTACATCAAGCCAAAACAAGGAGCTTTGACTTGGTCCCACATGCTGCGATCTAGAATTGTTCCTGGCACAGCTAAAGCTTTATCATCCTATGTAATGGGGAGGCACCTATGGATGCAAGTAGAGATTACCCCCTTATATCAACCACATTAAATCCATAAAGTTTCCCCAAAGCCTTTCCTGCCTCAGCATCTAACTTCCTTCTTCTGAGTCTCTGGAGTCCCAGCGCGGCAGGAAAATGGAAATCATAATATAGCGTTCATAGATACAGAATGGCAGCGTCAGGAGCAACTACAGTTCTTAGTAAGAGCATCACAGACCCTCTCAGCCATGAATTAACTTGCTCTTTTTCTACCTCCCTTTGTAACTATAGCTACCCTTCTTAGGGCCTCCCATCTTTTTTCTGAGGCCCTAGTTTGGTTTCTGGCTGAAACTACATGGGAGTTGCAGGCACTTCTCTCACCACCAGATGGTGATAAAGAGCCTATCAGGATAATGAATTCTGAGATTTCCCAACTCCGGCATAGTTAACATTTAGAGCCAGATAATTTATTGTGGGAAACTCTCTGTGCGTTATAAGATGTCTAGTAGCACCTCTGGCCTCTATCCATTAAATGTGAGTAGCACTATTCACAGTTATGGCAACAAAAATGTCTCTAGACATTGTCAAATGTCCCTGAAACATTTGCATTGCCCCGGTGGAGAACCACTGTGAAATGAGGTGTTCAAGAGTTTTAAATAGGAGAAAGAAAATGAATGCAATTTTGATGAAATTTTTGAAAAGCTTTCTTATTTTTTACAATATTACATTTATTGAAAAAATTCAAAAATGTGGAAAAACATAAGAAAATCAGACACCCAAAATCCTGTCATCCAGATTAACTTTGGTGAACATTTTTATACTCATCCTTCTAGGCATATGGACACATAGTGGAAAACATACAATTTTGCATACATGGCAATGTATAATATATATACTCCAAAATTTCACTCATAAATGGCACTGCAGTTAACATACATCTTTGAACATAATTTTTTTTTTTGAGATGGAGTCTCACTCTGTCACACAGGCTGGAGTGCAGTGGCGCAATCTCGGCTCACTGCAACCTCTGCCTCCTGGGTTCAGGCGATTCTCCTGCCTCAGCCTCCCAAGTAGCTGGGATTACAGGTCCATGCCACTATGCCCAGCTAATTTTTGTATTTTTACTAGAGACGGGGTTTTGCCATGTTGGCCAGGCTGGTCTCGAACTCCTGACCTCAGGTGATCTGCCCACCTCAGCCTCCCAAAGTGCTGGGATTACAGGCATGAGCCACCATGCCCAGCCTGAACATACATCTTTGCACAGGTTGAGTGTGACAGTTTTTCACTCCACATTTCCTATATATCTACAATTTTGCCACGACAGGACCCAGAGCTTTACAAAGTAATTTGGACATAGATATTCTTCCAAAGATGTACAAAAACTGCTGGAAAGAATGTGAACATTCCCAGTGCAGTGGCTCATGCTGTCTCTACTAAAAATACAAAAATTAGCCAGGCATGGTGGCGGGTGCCTGTAATCCCAGCTACTCAGGAGGCTGAGGCAGGAGAATCACTTGAACCGGGAGGTGCAGGTTGCAGTGAGCTGAGATCGCACCACTGCACTCCAGCCTGGGCAACAGAGCAAGACTCCATCTCAAAAAAAAATTGTGAATAGAAGATAGAATAAATATAATTCGTGACATGGAAATGCAAGGTGGAAATTTTGGCAAAAATTGAGAGATAACTGATTAGATGTCAGGGATATCTTCACAGACATGGGCCTAGATATAAGCAGTATAAATGTTAGTCTCAGCCAGTTGTCGTGGCTCACACCTGCAATCCCAGCACTTTGGGAGGTCAAGGCAGGTGGCTCACTTGAGGTCAGGAGTTCAAGACAACCCTGGCCAACATGGTGAAACCCCATCTAGAAAAAAAAAGAAAAAAGTATCAGCTCCTTTTTCTTCAACTACAGTACTTCGAAAATTATTTGTTTAAATATTTCCGCTGGACACAGTGGCTCTCACCTGTAATTCCAGTGCTTTGGAAGGCTGAGACAGGAGGATCACTTGAGGCCAGGAATTTGAGACTAGCCTGGGCAACATAGCAAGACTCCATCTGTACAAAAAAAAGATTAAATAAAGAAAAAAATGCATATTCCCCCTACTCCCCTGTGTGCAGGCTAGGGCCAGCTTTCTCTTCTTATATATCCTGTATTTATTACAGGGCCTCCCACTTATCAAACCTTTAGTAAACATTCGCTGAATGGAGGTATTTATTGGAAACTCCTGCTTGAAGAGCATTCTCCAAAACAAAGAGAAGGGTGTATCATGTAGGAGACAGAGGGTTATGGATTCAAGTTCAAATTGCCTCCAACTTCCCAAACTCAAAACATGAACTCATGGATAAGAAAGAGAGGAGAGAGGAAGCGAAAAATGTAAATTGATATGCACTTCTGTGATCTCTTGCTCTTTCTGTGATTCTCTTTCCTTTTCTGGCAACCTTATCCAAGGAAAAATCTCAATGACCTTGCAGTAGGGCAATTGGGGATGATCCTAAGGCTTACACTACACCTCAGAGGATGTACAGAAACATTTTACTCTCTTTATTTAGTCTATAATCTGATGTCCTCCCAAATCCCTATCTACGAGTTAGCAGGAGGAAGAAAAAAAAACTAATAATGCAATCTAATTTTAATTTAGTCTAACCTGACACAATGTAAATATGCCTTCAGAAATTATTGTTTCTATTGGATAAAATAATGCTTGATCACTCAGAAAGCCTCTACTTCCCCTGCTTCTCTCCCCAGTGTATGATGGAGAGACTATGGTTATGCAATCCCCTGGCACAGAGAAGGAACTCTAGCCTCAGGCTGGTTTTTATGTTGTGGCAGCTCCATCTGCTGGTCTCTGGGGGACTGTCCTTTGGGCACTGAATTATTCAACATTCTGCAGGACACCACTGCTAAATTGGCTAATTCACATGGGGTCTGTACTTTCTACAGGGACAATGTTCCTGAGTTGCTAAGGCTGTTAAGAAAAATTTTGCTGTCTGCAGAACCCTGAGTTGATTGCCACATCCTCCAGCCTGCAAATTGGTCCAGCAGTCTACGCTACCTTATTGTTGAGTCAACTCATTCTGCTATTGTAGGCCTATGACAATCCACTGGGTTTCAATTCAGTATCCAAACTGCATAAAAACTCAAGGCACCTTTGTAAAATTAAGCCTTCTTCTTTCTGACCATGCTGTGCTACATTTCTGTGAATGAATCCTAAAGTTGATGCATGGCATAATCCATTTGGATGTCAAAAGACTAATATTACCTCAGTCTTATATTTTTGGAAAAAATTCTAACTTCCTCCAGACAAATGAATGCCTCCGACAGACTAAGGAGAAGCCCTAATAATGGCATTTTTATCTACATCCTCATCTTCAATTTTGTTGTCTGATGAGTTCAAAGCTTGTGCTCTCTTCACTTCACCTCCAGGACCTTGGTCTGGAAAGGTCCTTGAGGTCTGGAAGATTAGCAGGAGAGAGACAAAAAAAAAAAATTGCCTGGTCACACTACACAATACCAGTCTTGAATTCTCACAGACAAAAACACCTTTATTTATTTCTAAAATTCCTTCGTCGTAATTAAGAATCAGACATGTTGGAAGCTCGGCCATTCATTCAATACACACTCACAGAGTACCTATTATGTGTGATGTATTCTGACGGGCACAATGTGTAACCCACTGTGTTAGTTTCCTGTTCCTACTATAACAAATTATCACAACCTTGGTGGCTAAAAACAATGAAACAACAGATTTATCTTACAGTTCTGGAGGTCAAAGTCTAAAATTAGGACTTATGGAATTAAAAACAAGGTATTGGCAGAGCTTCGTACCTTCTAAAGACACTCGGGAAAAATTCTTTTTCTTCTTTCTTTCTTTTTTTTTTTTTTTTGCCTTTTCTGCTTCTACATTCCTAGACACATGACCCCCTTCCATCTTCAAAGCCAGCAACAAGAAGTCAAGTTTTTCAGTGCCTCATTCCAATGCTTGACCCTACTGACTCTTTCTTATAAGGACCCTTGTGATTACATTGGGCCCACTGGATAATCCAGGATAATCTCCTCGTCTCAAGATTGTGAATTTAATCACATCTGCAAAGTCCTTTTTGCCATATGGAGTAACAGTCACAGGTTCTGGGGAGTAGGAGGTGGATATCTTCAGGGGACCTTTATTTATCAGTATTAAACTCAAAGAAAGGATAACTCTCCATGAGTCGGACAGCTATAAAAGATGTGGCTAATCTTTTTTAACTTCTTTTTTATTGAAATATAACAGTTATACTAAAAAGGGTACACAGATTTTATGTGTACAGCTCAACGATCTGTGACAAAGCAAATACACTCCAGTAACCAGCATCCAGATCAAGTTACGGAGCATTGCCCACACCCTAGAACTCACCCCTCATGCCCTCCTCTAATCACTGTACCTTCTCTCCACTCTCCAAAGCAGTGTAACACAGAGATTAGCTCTGTTTTCAAACAAGCAGTTGGAATGATACAATGTGTACATTTTGTGCCTGACTTCCTTTACTCAACATTACGTTTTTAAGATTTATCCATGTTACTATGTGGAGCTGTATTAGTTTATTTTCATTGTTGTATAATGCATTATATGACCAAATGACAATTATTTATCCTTTCTGCCAACAAACATGTGTGCTGTTCCCACCTTGGGAATGTTTTAAATAGTTTTGCTATAAGCATTGTTGCATACCTTCTGGTGCACATATATACACATTTCCATTAGGCATGTGTGTATATACTAGGAGTAGGATTTCTGGGTTGTAGCATATACATTTTCAACTTCTGTAAAGAGTACCAACCAGCTTTCAAAGTGTATGTTGCAATTTATGCCTTTATCAGAAATGTATGAGAATTCCAGTTGCTTCTCATACTCACCAAGACTTAATTTTATCAGAAAGTCTTTTTAACTTTAGCCATTCTGGAGTATATAGTACTATTTCAATATGGTTTTAATATGTATTTCCTTAATTAATAATGAAGTTTTACATTTTTGTCCTTTATTGGCTATTTGAATATTCACTTTCATAAAATGCCTACTCAAGTTTTTCACCCATTTTTATCTTGTGTTGATTTTCTAGGAGTCCTTTACATATTCTGTCCACAACCCCTTTGTCAGTTATAAGAGTAGCATACATGACTTGGGCCACAAAATATGCGTATAAATTTGAAATGTAAATTTCAACTGATTTCTTACAGGTTTAGTTACCATTTCAGTTTTATAGTATAGAACTAAGCGAAACAAAGTATTTTACAAATCTGTGATAAATAATTCTTAAATAGAAAGAGTACTTTTTTATTAAAATACATCTTCTAAAGACAAGAACAGGGCAAGTTTTTTTTTAATTAGTTCCCTTATCCTTAAATGAATAAAATACCCAATGTTAAAATGTGACTGGGTTTAGTAGAGATTAAGAGCAAAAAGTAAAGGTACTGGGCTGCTTAGAAGTGCAGGGGCTTAAAACGTGTATTAATTATTGTTACAGAAGGATTTTTACAATAGAATTAACCAAATATTCAAATAAAGCTAATCTAAATTTCTTAAATCGATGATAGGAATGAATAAATTACAAGAAAATTGGTTGAAGAGTAACAAGTAAGTCATGAGCGAGGGTAAAAATAAATACATATTTATAGGACCCCAACCTCTATCAAAAGCTAATGGAAGAACTTTCTGGTATGTGAATTTAGCTCAATAAAGCTTTTTTTTTAAAAAAAAAAAAAGCTAATAAAAATGTTTCTCCCATGAGTTTGAATAAATGTACATGGTTAACTTACTTCCAATATATATTGTTTTTTCTCTTACATGTAACATTAAAGTGGTAGAAGCAGACCAGGTGCAGTGGCTCACACCTGTAATCCCAGCACTTTGGGAGGCTGAGGCAAGCAGATCACCTGAGGTCAGTCAGGAGTTCGAGACCAGCCTGACCAACATGGCAAAACCCCGTCTCTACTAAAAATCCAAAAACTAGCCAGGTGTGGTGACGGGTGCCTGTGATCCCAGCTACTTGGGAGACTGAGGCAAGAGAATTGCTTGAACCCGGGAGGCGGAGGTTGCAGTGAGCGGAGATGGCACCATTGCACTCCAGCCTGGGCAACAGAGCCAGATTCTGTCTCTAAGTAAATAAATAAATAAAAATAAAGTGGTAGAAGCAAACATAAAATTTCTTCTTCTAATTACTGAAATTTTATGAAATATGCACCTGGACCTAAGTGAACAAAAATACTCATTAAGCTTTTTCTCATTTGTGAAATTTATGCAAATGCAAAGGATACATGTTATAGAATGTATGTTACATTTCCCAGCATGATTTTTATAAATCTTGAATATTCTAATTATGGGTAAGTGATGTTGCCAAAAATTTGTCATATGAATTAAATTAGTATCACCTTCACTACTTCTTAACAGTAATCTCTATGATTTTCTTAACAGAACTTTCCTTTAGGAATGATGTTTTTGTTTGTTGGTTTGGTTTAGCAATTGTCAGCAGTCAAAAGAGATGAAATCATTCAACAAAAATTATTATTCTTGCTGTCCTTACTACAACATATCTGGTTTTAGTATAGTCTATCATGAGCCAAAAATACCATTTCTTTTTTTTTCTTTTTTACATAAGAAGATTTAGAAGAGACAAAAATACCATTTCTAATGCCACATTTTTTTTCTTAACAGAAACGTATAAGCAAGGAAAAGGAGGCTTCATATACACCAATATTTTGATTTGTTCCTCTGTTTTACCCCTTGGATTTTTTATTCAGGACAATGTGCCATAAGATTGAAAATGGGCAAGAAGAATAGCTTTCTTTTTTAAAATGAGTGAAGGGTCAATGTGTAAGCGGAGGTGGGAAAGAAGAATAACAATGCTATTTCTACAATAGACATATTCTTGGGCAGATCAATTTTGGAAAAGAAACATATGGATGTTGAGGACCTGAAAGAAATTACTGTAAAACTATCTATACATGTGTATCTCCTAGAAAGTCCCATCAACCCCCACAGTGTGCATACCTAAGTTTGAAGAGAGCGTTCCTAGAATATAAGCCCTATGAATGTAGGGGCTTGGTATGGTTTTGAGACGGAGGCTGGAGTGCAGTGGTGCGATCTCAGCTCACTGCAACCTCTGCCCCCTGGGTTCAAGTGATTCTCCTGCCTCAGCCTCCTGACTAGCTGGGATTACAGATGTGCACCATCATGCCCAGCTTTCTGTATTTTTAGTAGAGACGGGGTTTCAGCATGTTGGCCAGGCTGGTCTTGAACTCCTGACCTCATGATCCACCCGCCTCAGCCTCCCAAAGTGTTGGGATTACAGGTGTGAGCCACCGTGCCCGGCCAGGTTTTTTTAAAAATTGTTTGTGGGGAATATTTTCTGTTTGTGTCCCAGATACACTCTCCATCCTTCTGTGTCCTGTTGTGTGACCTGAAACTGGGCTCCATTGCCCTCTGGTTTCTGAGTGGGTGAGGCCACAGGGAAGTACCAGCAAAAGATCAAAAGGAAAAAGGAGAGTGAGTTCTGGCTACTGATTCCCCTAGGTCCCTTCCCACACATCCTTCCCTCCCGCTGCATCGCTCCCACCATACAGTGACCCTCCCCCAGGGAATTGTTCCCCACCCTTGCCCCTTCAAGCCTCAAGGTGGTAATGGTTCTGATATTGCTAGCCTGAGGTCCTGCACCATTGTTTTTGTTGGCTTTCCTAAATCCAATCCATATCTTACATAATTTAAGTGTGTCATCTGTTGCCTATCAGGACCCTAAAAATATTCTGTAAGCATTTGTTGAATGAATGAATGAACCCCCACTTCTACCAAGTCACCATCTTCTTATCTGCACTACCACAAAAACTTCCTAACTGGCTTCCCTGACTCTGCTGTTGCTCCCCCTCTCCATTTTCCACAACCTAAGACAAAGAGACCCACAATTGTGTGCTGCTTAGTGACAGGAATGTGTTCTGAGAAATGCGTCATTAGGTGATTTCGTAGTTGTTTGAACCTCATAGAGTGTACTTACACAAACCTAGATGGTATAGCCTACTACACATGTTGGCTATATGGTATAGCCTATTGCTCCTAGGCTACAAACCTGTACAGCATGTTAATGTAGTAAATACTGTAGGCAAAAGTAACACAATGGTAAATATTTGTGTATCTAAACAAATCTCAACTTTTTTTTTTTTTTTTTTTTTGGAGACCACTACCTCCTGGGATCAGGTGACCCTCCTACTTCAACCTCCTGAGTAGCTGGGAAGTAGTTGGGATTGCAGGCGTATGCCACCAAGCCCCGCTAATTTGTTTTTTCTCTTACAGAGATGGGGTTTCGCCATGTTGCCCAAACTGGTATCAAACTCCTGGGGTCAAGCGATCTGCCCACGTTGGCCTCCCAAAGTGCTGGGATTACAAGCATGAGCCACCATGCCTGGCCAGCCCACAGTGTTATCATTTTATGTGACCATCAAGTCATATGTCATTATTGACTGAAAGGTGTATCGTGAGGCCTGTGACTATATTTTAAATGGAAATCTGATCACGTCATTTCTCTACCTAAAATGCTACAGTGGCTTCCCACTACCTTTTAAGACAGAGTTCAAAATCATTAAAATGATTTATAGTATATATTCATACACAATGGGATCCATGTCTCACTCCAGCCTCAATGCTCACCCCTTTCCATTCACTCCTCCAGCCACAGTGAACTTTTCTTCAGTCCAGAAAGGATTTTTCCTCTAGGCCCTCAAACATGCCATTTCTTTCATTCAGAACACTCTTCCCCTACTTTTTCATCTAGCCTACTCCTATTTATCCTTAGGTCCCAGCTTAGACATCATTTCCTCAGAGAAGCCTTCCATAACCTACTAAACTGTACACACTTTAAATGTCCTCCATTATTCCAGAAAAACTCATATTGTTCCTTTCTAAGCATGTAAACTCACTTCTACATATCTGTTTAATGTTTAACTCCTCACTACATTATACATCTTATAAGAACAGTTATCTAGTGAATTCCAAATGGCTAATTCAACAATTGGTGCATAGTAAGTTTCAACACATATTGAATGAATGAAAGAAACCTAGGCCGGGCACAGTGGCTCATGCCTGTAATCCCAGCACTTTGGGAGGCTGAGGCGGGCAGATCATTTGAGGTTAGGAGTTCAAGACCAGCCTGACCAACATGGTGAAACCCCGTCTCCACTAAAAATACAAAAAATTTAGCCGGGCATGGTGGCAGGTGCCTGTAGTCCCAGCTACTCAGGAGGCTGAGACAGGAGAATCACTTGAACCTAGGAGGCGGAGGTTGCAGTAAGCTGAGATCACACCACTGAACTCCAGCCTGAGCAACAGAGCAATACTCCATCTCAAAAAAAAAAAAAGAAAAAAGAAAGAAACTTGGGGTGGGGTTGAAGGTAGTGACTTGATGTTTACTGAGCTATACTGGGATTCAAATGTAGTTCTTCTCTTTCAAAGAATAAGACCTCTCAACTTTTTTCACAAGGGCTTTCCTCCGTTTCCTCACCTGCACAATAACTCAGGTGTTCTTAATCTGGAGGTCTGACACCCAAGGAGTCAATGAATAAAATTCAGGAGGTGCATAAACTTGAATGGGAAAAAAATATGTCTTTATTTTTATTGACCTGTTACTGCAATGTAGCATTTTCTTCCATTTGTATGTAGGTGGCAAACCACAATAGTATTAGTCTCAATTATTCTAATTCTAAACAGCACATATTATGATGTCACCAATTAGAGATTTTAAAAAAATATTTTGAAAACAACATAATTGGCTTCCTTTGTATTCCTTTGTATTTTCTTTCATGCATTTAAAAGTATTATTCTCGGAAGATTAAGATTGCTCAGTCTTGGTCAAAAGGCACAACAAAAGCTAAGAGCCCTTTGACTGGATGATCAGTAAGTCTCCTTCCAAATGAATCCAGTTTGTAGCTATTTTTTCCTCTGATGTGCCTATTGCCCAACTTTTATCTGATTCAAATCTTTCCAAAATAGATAAGTAGGGAATAAAGAAAAGAACCAATTTCTGGTGGTGCAGAAATATACGAGTGAGGATGAGAGAAAGGACCCAAAGCAAAAACAAATCAGATGCTTTGCCAATAGCACAGTCAGTAACATGTTTGAGTTCAGGCTCATAGGAAAAGGTAAGCTGGAGAGATCCTTTTAATAATTTAAATCCAGTAGTAAAAGGTCACAGATAATGGGAAATACCACACAGAGGCACAGTCAGAGAGATATTTGGTGTTGAGGTCTAATGAAAGGTAGCTGACAAGAAATGGGCCTAGCCACACAATAAATTCTCAATAACAGGCCAGGTGTAGTGGCTCATACCTGTAATTTCAGCACTTTGAGAGGCTGAGGTGGGAGGATTGCTTGAGCCCAGGAGTTTGAGACCAGCTTGGGCAACACAGTGAGACCCCATCTCTACAAAAAATACAAAAATTAGCTGGGTATGGTGGCACATACCTGTAGTCCCAGCTACTCAGGAGGCTGAGATGGAAGGATCCCTTGAGCCCAGGAGGCAGAGGTTGCAGTGAGCAGAGAGCTCACCACTGCACCCCAGCCTGGGCAACAGAGTAAGACCCTGTCTCAAAAGAATAAAATATAAATTAAAAATTCTCAATAACTAGCAAATAAAAGAGAAAGGAGAGGATAAATAATTGTGCTAAGTAAAGGTGAAGTCATCAAGAAACACAAAGAAATCAAAGCTTTCTATTTTTTAAGATTTTTTAAGGTTTTTTTTCTTTTTTATGAACTTGTAAACTTTTCAAACTTAGAAAAGCACAGTGCTAGCTTGGGTATAAAAGGGAGGGGAGAGGAAATGGGATACATGAGTCAGAGTCCTTCTTTGACCTTGAAAGACCTTATAATTTCTGCAGCAGGCAGTTCATCTCACTAATAATAGAAGGAAATAAAGCAGGGAGGGGAAAGAACACCACATGAAGAGAATAAGCCAAGTCGGAAACAGCTAGTCACCATTTCCAGAATGAAGTCACTGTAGAGGATTGTGCTGATTCTATCCAAATTCTGCCCCTCCATCACCCTGGACCACCTCAACTTTAGTTACATGTAAATCAGGAGTTAATTTTCCTAAATTCAGTTGCTTACAAGGCTTCTTGTTTCAGCTTGGGGTGTGTTTTGATTTGTTGTTATCCTCAATATCCTGGTGACTCTGAAAAACTCATTTCAACTGATCACCCAATATGATCATCATTCCATAAGATACTAGAGATAGGCTGTATCTTTGTCCAGTGCCTCCCAAAATGTTGGATTACCCTGCTCTGAGGGTAAGAATTAATATATATCAAGAAAGAGCCAGTTCCTAGGCTATTTCTAGACATTCAGGATTCTAGAGATAGAAGTCGGCTTGGGGTTTAATCAATAATTGCTTCCTACCATCATCACTAAACCCCTGATCGAACACTTTGCTGTGTTCCCCTAAACTGGCTCCCCAAACACTGCTTCACAGAGGCTCCTGCAGAATAGGATGCAGGCATTTAGGGGTTCTCTGCAGTGGTATCAGCAGATCCAACCCCCTTCTTCCAGCAGAGTTTGCGGACAAAAATTCTCTTAGAGGCTGGGATCTTTTTTCTTCAGCTGCCTCCCAAAACATTGATTGGGACCACTTTCCTCAATCCTGCCAGACTGACTGTGGTCACTACCAACACCTCCTCAGGGGCTCCACCTGGACTCTTACCAGAGTCACTCCAAGTCCTGTCTCAGGCAGAATACTCAGATCTATTCCAAGCACCTTCCCTGGGATCTCAGGCGCATACTGAGAACCAGTGGGTAACAGGGTTGAGAGGTAAGAGCAGCCTGGCCCGGGTGCAGAAATAAGGGGTGAATTGTCTGTAAAAAAAAAAGTTTAAATAGTAATAAAACAAACTAAAAGTCAATCTGATTTTTATTATCACCTTGTACAACAATTCTAGGCAATGTTAGTGATACAATGACCCTTAACAAAAAAAAAAAAGTTAATCTAAGTTCTAAGCAATTGCTACAGTTACTGTTGCATTATAATAATATGTGTGTAAGCTTCAAATTATCTCTTTTTAAATTTATTCACTAAAAATTATTTTATTCTACATGGAAGTTAATTTGGAGAACTACCAGTTACACAAACTCTGCCACATATATTACTCTTTTTCTTTCCCTTTTTTTTTTTTTTTTTTTTTTTTTTGGCAGGAGACCAGAGTTTTATTATTACTCAAATCAGTCTCCCTGAGCATTCGGGGATCAGGGTTTTAAGGACAACTTGGTGGGTGGGGGAAAAGTTAGTGAGCTGGGAGTGCTGATTGGTCAGGTCAGAGATGAAATCACAGGGAGTAGAAGCTGTCTTCTTGCACTGAGTCAGTTCCTGGGTGGGGACCACAAGATCAGATGAGCCAGTTTATTCATCTGGTGGTGCCAGCTGATCCATCAAGTGCAGAGACTGTAAAATATCTCAAGCACTGATATTAGGAGCAGTTTAGATAGAGTCAGAATCTTGTAGCCTCAGCTGTATGATTCCTGAACCATAATTTCTAATCTTGTGGCTAATTTGTTAGTCCCACAAAGGCAGTCTAGTCCCCAGGCATGAAGGGGGTTTGCCTTGGAAAAGGCCTGTTATCACCTTTGTTTTAAGCTATGAACTATAAATTAAGTTCTTCCCAAAGTTAGTTCAGCCTATGCCCAGGAATGAACAAGAACAGCTTGGAGGTTAGAAGCAAGATGGAATTGGTTAGGTCAGATCTCTTTTCACTGTCTCAGTTACAATTTTGCAATGGTGGTTTCAATCTCTCCCTTTGGATTTTATAACACCTTAATCTTAAGGTGTTAGCTAATGAAGATGGGAAAAGGGCGAAGACCCCTCTAAATTCTTCCTGCTGACCAGGGGTGTAGTGGGGGTAGGTGTTGACCCCAAGGTGAGAGGAGTGAAATCACTTTGCAACTGTCTGAGCATACTCACACAGGCCTGGCTGGGATTCTAAGGCTTCTATGACAAAGGCATTAGTATTGCCATCTATAATTTTAGTACCACATTTAAGGGAACAGCACATTATAAGGTAAATAATGAGTACTAAGATAAGGAGTGTGATTTCCAGTTTTAAAAGCAAAGATTTGAAAGCTCTAGTTTGGGGACTTGCAGCCCACAAAGAATTTAAGATTTAGTCCAAACTGCAGAAAAAAACTGAAGAACAACTAACAACAGATGTACTATAGTTTTTTGAAGCATAATTTTTCTCTCTCCAGTCCCTTTTTTTTTTTTTTTTTTTTTTTTTTGAGACAAGAGTCTCGCTCTGTCGCCCAGGCTGACTGCAGTGGCGCGATCTCGGCTCACTGCAAGCTCCGCCTCCCGGGTTCACGCCATTCTCCTGCCTCAGCCTCCCGTCCAGTCCCTATTTTTATCAAAAACACATCATGATAGAACTGATCTGTTCACAAAATAAACTTTAGTCTTATCATATTTGGCCTGATTATTTGCATAAAGTGTAGCAAGAATAATTATTTTTCACATAGGCTCTTTTTAATATTGGCTTTGCTGAAACTGTTCTATAAAGAATCTCAGGTTGTACTTTTTAAAAGCCTTGAAGCCCAGCCATGGATTTATCTATGCCTCCAAACACCTGTGAATTCCTCATCTCAAGGTCTCAAGATAACTTGGGGCTCCTGGGCCTGTCAGAAAGCGACATTCTTTACTTACCACTGGTCAGGAACTCTGTACAAGGACTCTGTAGACAATGCATGAGGCCAGCTTTCCCAAGGGGCTTTATTGGCTTTATAAGTCCACTTTGATTCCCTAAAGAAAGCATGTCATTTTAGTCAAAGCCTTGGTAAAATAACCAGTTTCTCCAATTGTGTCTTGTTTCAGAAGAGAACAGATTCTCATTGCACTTATTCAAATAACTATACTGCCATAAGTTGAGAATACTCACAAGTAGTTTCTAAATTCCATAGAAATCAGGTAAAGAGAAAGCAATATGCTTCAAATTTTGCTCCCAGGAGTATACTTTACACACTTGCTAAAAGTTGTAAATAGCTCAAAAGAAATAAGTTTCCTTAATTCTGAAAACAAAAGGATTAGCAATGTTTAACACATCAGCTCTCCATGAGAGTCCCAGAAGTTTCAGTTTTTCCTCTATTCCAATTGCACAATTTTTAAAGTTATCAGAGGCCTGCACTCAGAGTCCTATATCTGACTATAAACTGCCTTTTGAAAAGGACCAAAGCCAGACAAAATGTCTGTGGATGACAAAAGTCTTACAACAGCCACTATTAAAGCTCAATTGACTAGAAATTTTGGTCACTTCTGTGGCATACAACAATTTTACATAATGTACCCTAAATCACATCAGAATTATAGAAGTTTCCAATAATTTTGAAAATAATACTAATAACATATTTATATAAGTACAGCCCAAAGATAGCCAAATACCATTTCATATTTGACAATGCTTCCTGTATGATTTTTATACCAAATAAGCCAAACACATCATTTTTGGACTTCAGAGGACCTAATATCTAAAAGGATTGATTAGGTCAGAAAATGATATATTTTTTAATTTAATTTTGGAAAGTTTGTCAAATATCAAAGGTTTCGAACACTATATCACAAAATAGAATCACAGGTTGCTCATTTATCTGAAGTGGTAACTCAAAAAAAAATTTTTTAAGACGAAAACCTTTACTCTGATAGAACAGACTTAGCTTTCCAAACAAGACCCAATGAAGATAGCATGAGGCCAACTGAATCTGTCTCTTCTCTCTCCCTGCCATTTACCCAAAGGGGAAAACAAAAACCTTTCATTATCTTTTAATATTACATAAAAATCTTTCTCAAAAGAGAAATCCAGGAAAGAGAAAACTGTCTCAAAAAATAGAAAAATTAAAAAATTAAAATAAAAACCTTGATTTATTGAAAAAAGAAAAAAGAGAGAAAACCAAATTTCATGTTTGCATTATTGCATCTTTAATGTTATAGCTAGTTTCTAAATAAAAGTTTATCAATCTATTCAGTTTTAATTAGTTTGACCATAAGGTAAGATTTTTATAAATTTTTTAGAACCCTTTAAACAGCATCTCAGTTTTCTAAGAAAACTCTGTTATTCGGACACATGGGCCCAGATTCTGGCCCCGCATTAATGTGCTTTTATTTTAATATTCAACATGTGGAAAAAAATTAAATAATCCCCTTCAAATCTTAGCCAACTTACTCATACCCACAGAACTTTCTTCATAAGGCCAACTCTTCACAAACCCTTTTCAACTTGCTTAAACCTTCAGTTTTGTCCCAATACTCTTTTAGGTTAAGACAATCTTTAAATTCCTCTAAACTAGACAAAATTATATTCTCTTTAACAAAAGCCACATTTCCATGCCGACTTACAATCTTTTACCAAAAACACATCCTACTATCCCTACACACTTTGGATGTAAAACCATTTCTCCAGTAGTCTCAATCACATGTTACAATGTTAACCCTTAGCAACTTTCATTTTTGGTGAAAAGCCCGACAAGTAAGAGATTTTAATTACGTACTAACCTTACCCCCAACCCTGTGCTCTCTGAAACACGTGCTGCGTCCACTCAGGGTTAAATGGATTAAGGGCGGTGCAAGTTGTGCTTTGTTAAACAGATGCTTGAAGGCAGCATGCTCGTTAAGAGTCATCACCACTCCCTAATCTCAAGTACCCAGGGACACAAACACTGCGGAAGGCCGCAGGGTCCTCTGCCTAGGAAAACCAGAGACCTTTGTTCACTTGTTTATCTGCTGACCTTCCCTCCACTATTGTCCTATGACCCTGCCAAATCCCCCTCTGCGAGAAACACCCAAGAATGATCAATAAAAAAAATAAATAAATAAATAAATAAATAAATAATTATGTACTAGTTGTGGGGCCTAGGACATCAGACGGAAGTGAAGATAAGATCTGACTCTTTCTAGCATAGCTAGGGGGCATGGCCAACTCCACATGTCCCCAGGCCTTATCTAGAGTCCAATGCTCCAAAGTAGGTAAACTGAACAATTTTCCAAAGTCAAAGAAGCAGTTTACAACCTTAAAGCATTTAGCAGATCTGATATCTGACCTTTAAACCAAATGTCTACATTTTGAAGACATTTTTATTTTACCAATAATCTTTAAAACTGTCTTTATTTCCAAAAGATTACTAAAGTCATGTGAACAAAAAGGCATTAAAGTTTCTATTTTTCTAACCAAATATTTTATTTAAGTGCTTATTTTTCTAAGCCAACTAATCAGAGCCCTTTTTATATAAACATTACACACACAATGCATATAAGTAGACAGACAGAGAGAAGGTTCAGCACTTGTAAGGTTTTTCATTTGCCAGTTTCTTTTTTTTTTTTTCCGAGATGGAGTCTCGCTCTGTCGCCCAGGCTGGAATGCAGTGGCGCAATCTCAGCTCACGGCCAGCTCTGCCTCCTAGGTTCATGCCATTCTCCTGCCTCAGCCTCCCAAGTAGCTGGGACTACATGCACCCACCACCACTCCTGGCTAATTTTTTGTATTTTTAGTAGAGATGGGGTTTCACTGTGTTAGACAGGATGGTCTCGATCTCCTGACCTTGTGATCCGCCCATTTCAGCCTCCCAAAGTGCTGGGATTACAGGCGTGAGCCACTGTGCCCAGCCCCTCATTTGCCAGTTTCTTAATTGGAGTACTGGCTTCAGGGTGGAGCCCTTGGAGGTACAGGGCCAGGAAAGTATGCAGTTTCTAGGGCCTAACAAGCAGGCACAGCTGGAAGGCAAAGACAGGTCCTCAAGATTAAAGGTGCCATTTTATACTGGATCCTAGATCCCCAAAAGAGAGGGAAATACGACAGGAGAAGATAGTGCAGTGCTTTTACCATGCATTTCATTGTAAGACAGCCCAAAGCCAATCAGCCCATTTTATACTCAGCCCATCCCCCATGGGAGTCTCATCTCTCAGTGAGGGTTGGAGATGTTTCCATATCTTCCAGGTGGCCAAGAACATACTTCTCTAATCAAAACTTCAAAGAGCCAAGTATCCCCCCATAACTGCCATTAGCCATCCCCAAAAGTAATTTCCTACCTAGTTATTACACACCAAATTTCTCTCATAATGCGAAGTAATTTCTGATACCCACAAAAGTCAAAACTGTCACCTAATGCAATGCAAAACAGAATAGAGCCTTAGATTTTGAAAGGGATCTATTCTCTTTCAATTCCTGGGCTTCTGTGAGGAAAACAGAGCTTTATCCCAGAATAGGGTCTGTGGTGCCTCCTCTGCTTTTCCCCAGGAGTCCCAGGCTGTTAGAATTTATCTTAAATTCTCTCATGTGGGCATCAAGAGTGGCAAGAAGACAAAATGGAAAAGAACAATTCTGTCTACCAAGGAAAAAAAACTTTTTTCAGGAAAACACAATTCAAGAAGAGGAAAAAGATAAAGTCCTCTTAAATACATATAGCTTGGATATTTCTTTTTAATTAAGCTGATTTTAACCATAGAGATCTTTTTTAAAAAAATAAATAAATCCTTTAAAATTTCTTATTACCAGACTCTAGCCAGGACAGCCGATATTTCTGGCTTTTGATTTCTACCACAGGTAACTTTCTACATGAAATTAATAAGTTTTAGCTAAGGTTATAACTTAACCATGGACATATAAGGTGTCTCAAAGAGATGATAAGCAGTTTCTCTTTTTTTTTTTTTTTTTTTTTTTTTTGGCAAGATTTACAATCTCCCCAAGGGTAGTTTACCAAGGGTAGTTTAGAGAAAGGAAAATCCAAGACAGGAAATCAGAAGCTATCCATGGGGGAAAAACCCTCAATAAATAGCAAAATTACATAAATAACAAACCAGAAAGGAAACTTTCCAGAAGCCAAGAATTGAACCCAGGCCACCACTGTCAAAAAAAAAAGCTTCAGCTACTGAGCTACACAGCATTGAGCAGTTTCTATTGCTCTTCCCAGAAGAAGTCTAGAGCAGCCAATTTCAAGCTTGCAAAGGCTCTTAACTCCTCAAGATAATTTTTAGGGCTAACTATGACATGAACCCCAAAATTCCTGTCCTCTGGATGGCAGAAACCAAGAGACAATATCCTCACATGGTCACAAGGTTAAGCTCTTAAGGACACTAAACAAGACAGAGAAATTTCATCCGGTATTGGTTTCAGGGACCCTCAACAAAGTTTGTTACTGACCAGTCTGCTAGGCTGGCTTGAAAAGCAGGCTTACTGGGGTCCTAAGCCCACGTTCTATCCTGTGATACCCCTCTCTCCATTACAGAAAGACAAATTCTTAGCACAAAGTCAACCAGATTTGCTACAGCCTGACTAGTCTCGCAAATCCTTTTTTCTATTAATCAAACCCTTGCAGAGAAGGCAAATAGTGATGTTTACCATTTATACACACACACACACACACGTGCACACACACACACACACGTGCACACACACACACACACAGATGGGGAGGTACAGAAACCCAGCTGGTAAGAATTTCTTACCCTTTTTGCCAGCATACCAGGTTTCCAGGTTCCCTTTCTCTGCAGCTTCTGGAAGAACAGAGCAGCTTTTGATGACCCTGCTAGTTGTGCCATAGCTGTGGAGGTCAAGCCACTTTACAAAAGAAAATCACCCTTTTCTCTCTTATGGAACCATAAGCAAAAGATTCTCAATTTTGCAAGATGCTGCCCAAGAGGCTGCATGGGGAAACAAACTAACATTTTCCATCCCTGTAAAAGCAAAATATACATAACAAAACAGACACTAGTCATCTCATTCACCACCCAGTATTGACCTGGCAAGGCTCAAACTTTCTCCCATTGGTCCCCATTGTCTTTGATCCACTCCAGGTGGGGAGGAATGACCTCCAACCAGTAATTTGATGGGTGGTCTCTGGGCAAGACGAAGAGCAGATAGTCGTCCTGAGCCAGGCCTGTTGAGCTTTCTTTGGGACTCACCGAATGTGACCAGACAAATAAGGAGGGTTCTCTGAGTTAGGCCTGCTGGACTTTCATCAGCAAGTCCTTCTGAGGTCCCCTCCACATATATAAACACATACAAAGACAAGACAGACAGAAGGGCTTCCAAATCAGATCCCTAACCAAGAACTCCAAGAGTATCCCTTCCAAACTATCCTCCTGTTCTCTGTCTGAGAAATCTCCCCAAAATCTTCCTGATTGAGAAGTCTCCCAAACCAAGACTCTTCCTACTAATTAGAGAGAGCCAACCGAGAATCTCAAATGAACCAAACTGAGAAAGATGCCCCTCAGTGGGGCTACAGACCGACACCCCACCATGGGGCAACAGAAAAACCAAGACCCCCTCCCCAAAGGAATCAAACCAATCGGGAAAAGGAAGGAGGCGTTGGCCGTGCCTAGGATATTCACCAATCCAGACACACTGTAATGAGGCTACAGCTACAGACACTCCATGACTGGGCTACAGACAGACACCTTGTGATAGGGCTACAGTTATAGGACATCTCCTCAAGACTATTTCTCTATTGCAATTAAATCCATGCACACTGGGTCACCAGTGCCCCTTCAGCAGAGACAATACCAGAGTCAGCCCCCAGTCCAAAATAACTAGGCAGCTGCTTGAGCTGGCATCTGAATCCATCACCAGAGGGGGACTACCAAACCATGGGCAGGTAGCCACATGGGCAATCCTGGACAAGCCCCCAGATTTGTAACCACCCAATGAGTTCACCTTGCCCACTGCCTAGACAGAGCCGATTTAACAAGACAGGGAAATTGCGATAGAGAAAGAGTAACTCACACAGAGCCAGCTGTGCAGGAGACCAGAGTTTTATTTATATTTATAGATATAAATTCATAAGAGTTTAATTAGCTCTCAGGCTCACTTCAGGTACATTTCATGACTCCAACTCCTGTTGTACAAAATATCCCTGCTTTTAAACAGTAGATTTAAAACAAACAACCTTGGTTTTCTGGGACTTTTCTTTTATGAGTATTTTTTTATTAATGTAAAGTTTCAAAGAAGGCTAATCAAACACAAAAATATCTGCAAAGAGCCACAATAAGCCTTGAACAACATACAGTCAGTAAAACATCAAGGTTTAAATTGTTGCTTTAACTTCCTTTTGGCTGGAAGCTCCATATTCTGGTAATTCACCAAAATGGCCAACACAAGGAAAACAGGAGAGGCACCCAGTGTATGTTTTCTAGGCCTTTTAGAAAACATGGAGTTGGCCACATGCATGGGAGTCTATAAAAAAGGTGATACTGTAGACATCAAGGGAATGGGTATGGTTCAAAAAGGAATGCCTCACAAGTGTTACCATGGCAAAAACTGGAAGAGTCTATAATGTTACTCAGCATGCTGTTAGCATTGCTGTAGGGAAAAAAAAAAAAAAAAGTTAAGGGCTAGATTCTTGCCAAAAGAATTAATGTGCATATGGAGCACATTAAACACTCTAAGGGAAAAGGTAGTCTCCTGAAATGCATGAAAGAAAATGATCAGAAAAAGAAGAGAGCCAAAGAGAAAGGTACCTGGATTCAGCTGACAGGCCAGCCTGCTGCACCAAGAGAAGCACACTTGGTGAGAACCAATGGAGAGGAGCCAGAGCTACTGGAACCTATTCCCTATGAATTCATGACATAATAGGTGCAAATAATACCACTAATAAAAGACCCTTGGACTGTAAAAAAAAATTGTTCCGTTAATATCAGCCCACAGAAATTGCAGAGAAAGCCAGTAGTAATGCTGCAAAAACAAAATGTAAGGAAATTGACATATAAAAAAGAATCAAATTTTGAAGACTACCAGAAGAGACAAGAGATGACGGTCTTGTATTGCCAGAAAAAGTCAAAAGGACAGTGTTTGATGCTACAATTGTTTTTACCAAGTGTAAGCATTTTCTAAGACAATGGATCAATGTTTCATTTCACCTAATTTTTGCTGAAGAAGAACCTCTTCACAAGTTTTTACCAATAGAAATTTATGATAAATTTTCTGGTGGGCCGGGCACAGTGGCTCACACCTGTAATCCCAGCACTTTGGGAGGCTGAGGCGGGCAGATCACCTGAGGTCAGGAGTTCGAGACCAGCCCGGCCAACATGGTGAAACCCCGTCTCTACTAAAAATACAAAAAAAATTAGCCAGGCATGGTGGTGGGCGCCTGTAATCCCAGTTACTTGTGAGGCTGAGGCATGAGAATCGCTTGAACCCAGGAGGTGGAGGTTGCAGTGAGCCGAGACCGCACCATTGCACTCCAGCCTGGGCAACAAGAAAGAAACTCCGTCTCAAAAAAATATATATATATCCTGGTGAAAACATCTTAGTGAAATTTTTCAACTGCAAAGACAATTGAAAACTACAAGAATTGCTCCCAAAGAAACAAAACATGAATGGTAATTGTAATTTCTGTAATTTATTGTAAATTTCTTTAATTGTGAAGTGTGATTTGTATAAATCTGTCAATGTATTTATATGTTCATGACTTTTCCTATTTGCATATTTGTTCCTTCATATTAAAGAAACTTTTCAAAATTAAAATTAGCAAAGAAGTGTTCTTTGGTCACCTATAAGCTGACAAAGTGACAAATCTATACGTCTACTGAATATGTACATGTAAAGAGGAGTGAATTCATTTCCTAAGACTGCTGTAACAAACTATCACAAACTGTGGAACTTAAAACAACAGAAATTTATTGTTTTGTGGCTCTGGAGGCTAGAAGTAAGAAAGCGATGTGTTAGCAGCAGGGTCATGCTCTCTGACAGATCTGAAAAAGAATGCGTTTTATACCTTTCCCTTGGCTTCAGGTGTGCTCCAGCAATCCTTGGTGTTCATTCATTGATTTGCAACTGCTTGACTCCATAATCTCTGCTTTCAAGGTCACATGGCTTTCTGCCTGTATGTCTCTGTCTTTACCTGGTCAGCATCACCCTGTGTCCATCTCTCTCTCTTCATGCGCATTTTTTTTTTTTTTTTTTTTGAGATAGAGCCTCACTCTGTCGCCCAGTCTAGAGTGCAGTGCCCGATCTCAGCTCACTGCAACCTCCACCTCCCGGGTTCAAGCTATTCTCCTGCCTCAGCCTCCCGAGTAGCTAGAATTACAGGCATGAGCCACCACGCCCGGCTAATTTTTGTGTTTTTAGTAGAGACGGGGTTTCGCCATGTTGGCCAGGCTGGTCTCGAATTCCTGACCTCAGGTGATCCGCCCGCCTCGGCCTCCCAAAGTGCTGGAATTACAGGAGTGAGCCACCGTGCCCGGCCTGCATATATGTATGTACGTATATATGTGTCTATCTATCTAGCTAGCTAGACACTAGGCATTTTGGATTAGGCGCCCACCTATGCCTGCATGACTTCATCTTAACAAATGACATCTGCAATGACCCTATTTCCACATAAGGTCACATTCTGAGTTACTGCAGGTTAGGACTTAACATAGCTTTTTGGGGACGGGAAGAATCATGGGGAAGACACAATTCAACCCATAACAAGGAATAATTTTGACAGTCATTGCCAATTTGCAGATGTTAAGGCTCAAAAACAAACTATAATATTATTGTTCATTAACACATAAATGTGTAGGTATGTTTTTTCCCCTTAAAAAGACACACTGGTGTAATTAAAAACAATCTACTACTTTTCCCTTTAGTGCTGTAATTTTTTTAACTGGAGTGATTACTTCAATAAAAGAAAAATTTCACTATCTGCGTTTCTTTTCCGGGCATCGTTATTATCCATCTCACCATTACTACTGAAAATCACTGTGTTAAAAACAATGCGTACAGGTGTCAACCAGGCCAGCTGGCCACTGCTGGACCCGGTAGGGCCGTCAGCCCGCAGGACCCCGAACCCTCCGGGTGCCTTTCTCTTCAGACGCTCTCTTTCCCAGGAGTCTCCGCGGCGGAGCGCCCCATCGCCCTAAATGCCACTGGCTGACGCAGCCCCAAAAAAAACCCGATGGCCCGCTTATCCCACACTAGGGGGCGCCTGGTTCTTCGGCCGCCACAGAGCGCTCTGGATGCCTGAAGCCCGCCCAGCTCGCCGCCTCTGGAAAAGCTCAACACCGTTTCTCCGCCCTTCCCGAGATTGCCAACGAGGCAGGCTCTGATGCGCATGCGCAAACACGTTCACCACGCTCCGAGCTAAGGCGCATGCGTTCCCTGAAATTGCCGCCACCGGCTCTACCTTCCAGTTTCCAGTTCCGGCCTCCAAGGGGCGGGCAGAAGTTGGAAACATGCGGCTGTCGGTCGCTGCAGCGATCTCCCATGGCCGCGTATTTCGCCGTATGGGCCTCGGTCCCGAGTCCCGCATCCATCTGTTGCGGAACTTGCTCACAGGGCTGGTGCGGCACGAACGCATCGAGGCACCATGGGCGCGTGTGGACGAAATGAGGGGCTACGCGGAGAAGGTGAGGAGCGCGGCCCTCTTGTCCACTCTGCGGGTCTGGTCTGAGGGGGCGGAGCCGGCTGCAAGTGGAAAGGGACCGGGACCAACCTGGTAAACCATTCCCCAAGTCTGAGTCCCCCAGAACCTTGGGCTGAACCCGCCCCTCCATCGCCTCTAATGGAAGACTGGTTAGGGCTGCGGAGTTAGGGGTGGCGTAGATTGGAGATGCTTGGCTAGTGGAAAGAATGGATTGCCTTCCGGCATTAGAGAAATTAGATTGGCACCTTGTTTTCTTGCTCGGTTGGATCCGTGATGTTATGTCCTCACAGCTCATCGACTATGGGAAGCTGGGAGACACTAACGAACGAGCCATGCGCATGGCTGACTTCTGGCTCACAGTGAGTGCGACCTATCTGCCTTCAAAATCCCACCCTTTGCTCCCTGGGGGTGGGGGTTGGAAAAAGGAGAACTATGCAGAATTAAACTTGGGTACTCACTTATGGGCCAGTGCTGCTAACTAAATTAGAAACTGTGTCTTAAGTTAGTTGAAGTCGATGTGAATATACCTCTGCACAACTGCCTATAAACGACCCCTTTGTGTAACACTGACTATGCCAGATTGGCGAGGGGAGGGGGAGGTCTTTCTATGTGTGGATGGACCTTACCTTTGGGAATGGTGTAAAGTTAAATGCCTCTGCAGTTTTGCCTGACTCTGCTGTCTCTTGGATAATTCTCCCTCTAGGAGAAGGATTTGATCCCAAAGCTGTTTCAAGTACTGGCCCCTCGGTACAAAGATCAAACTGGGGGCTACACAAGAATGCTGCAGATCCCAAATCGGAGTTTGGATCGGGCCAAGATGGCAGTGATCGAGTATAAAGGGAATTGCCTCCCACCCCTGCCTCTGCCTCGCAGAGACAGCCACCTTACACTCCTAAACCAGCTGCTGCAGGGTTTGCGGCAGGACCTCAGGCAAAGCCAGGAAGCAAGCAACCACAGCTCCCACACAGCTCAAACACCAGGGATTTAACTGGATCTGAAGAGTCTGCAGCCCTTAATCAGTACCCATGATCACAGGCCTTTGGAGCACTTTTACTCTCTGAGAAGAACTGGAGCTAGAGATGTAAAATGGACAGTCTTGATGGGGTTGAGAACCTTCTGGGGAGCCAGATGACCCTCTCTTTGCACAATAGATAAAAGTCTTTATATGAATATATATAAATTTATTTATTTTTTCCTTCCTGTGGGATTTCTGGAGAATGAGAATTATCCAAATGCTCAGTCTACCTGAGATAGTAAATTCATGGCTTATGCTTCTGGTCCTTAAATTTGGGTTATTTTTGGTTAGTGCAATTTTGTTTTTCTTAATGCCAGTTTACATGGGAATGCATCCTATAATTCCAAATGTTGCCAGAGGTGGTTGTGTTTTGACATCTGGTCTCCTAGAGATGAGTGCTTGGGATTTCTTAGAGAAAGATTACTTCCTGACAGGGGTAGGGGAGTGACAATCTGCAAGTGAAACTTCCTTAAACAATCTAGTACCCTGCGAACCTTCAGGGGATACTGCAATCAGTCCTCTGTTTTGAGGCAGGATCACACATTACCTTAATGTGTTCCCTTCAACCCCCTGAATGGGCCTGGGAGGAGAGGACCCAAGAACTCAGATGTTCCACCAGTTTGGCCAAAGGGGTGGAGACATTCAGCAGAGGATGTTGGGCTCCAGGATAAGCTCCTTCCTCTTGGTGAGGGGAAGGGGTAAGAAAGAGGGTCTATGCGAGAGAAGGATTAGGAAATTAAACCTCCTAGGAATTTCCTGGAAGTTTTTATTGTTGTCAAATCTGGCCTCTCTGGGAACCCAGAAAAGGGAAATCCGGCTTCAGAATGTGAGAAGCTGGGAGCCCCTTTCTTGGCACAGCCAGGCTGCCGTTCCCTTGGGTTCAGAGGCTTTAGTAGGGTAGTAGTTATGGAAGGACTTAGAAAGGAGCCATCAGTCTTGGTCCAAACACTTGATAGCAGTGCCTGATAATTGCCATATCCCCAGTAAAGTGGGTAGAAGAGATTTTATCTTAGGCTCTATCTTCTGAGTGTATTTGGCCCACTGAACCCATCCACTGTCTGAGATAATAAGTAAGAGTAAGGGTAAAGGGATCACTGGTGTAGCAGACATGGCTTCAGTGACAGAACGAACTATTCTGGTGCTAATTTAGCTGTAGCTGCCTTAGTCTGATACTCATCTACTCCCAACAGAGCTCTTTATCTCTTTTTCTCTACTATGGTTTGTTCTTCACACTATAGCCAGAAAGCTCTTATATTTTAAATGAAATATAGTAGACACTCAAAACATTTATGAAATAAAGCTACAACTCTGCTTCTGCTAAAAAATATACCCCTCTTCTGTCTTAGCATGAATATCCACCCTAGCTAGGTATCTAGGAGTCATACCTAACTTCTAGAGAAACCACTTTCCTTAAAACCACATCTTTATTTTAAATAGATGGATTGTGGCTGGGCTCCTGTAGCTTTTCCTCTTAGACCCCAGAAATATATCTCCCTTTGGGACTTCCAACAGTTCCCTACATGCTTTTTGAGCATCTGCTAGTTCCCAGCATCAATTTAGGCAGAAGGGATACAATATCCACTGTTCATCTAATAGAGACTAGAGATAAGAAACAACCTGTACCATCAATGAGCTCACAATAACAGGCCACTGCCACTACCACAGTGGCCTCAAGGGACACTGCTTCCCCTTTAATGTTTTGGTCCAAATAAAAGTACATGAATCCTAAAACATTTGCTAAAGGCTCAGGGATAACACAAGGAAAGTAACAGCATCAAGAATTTTACTGCCGGGTGCGGTGGCTCACGCCTGTAATCCCCACACTTTGGGAGGCCAAGGCAGGCAGATCATAAGGTCAGGAGATCAAGACCATCCTGGCTAACACGGTGAAACCCCGTCTCCACTAAAAATACAAAAAGTTAGCTGGGCGTGGTTGCGGGCACCTATAGTCCCAGCTACTCAGGAGGCTGAGGCAGGAGAATGGCGTGAACCTGGGAGGCGGAGCTTGCAGTGAGCTGAGATTGTGCCACTGCACTCCAGCCTGGGCAACAGAGCGAGACTCTGTCTCAAAAAAAAAGAATTTTACTAATCTGGCTTATAAATAACTTCTTCAACTAGTGGACTGCTCCCCCCAAGTCCATCTAGGCACCTCTTTAATGCGTTCCAAACCCAAGAGCACCACTCTCAAAGGTTCCCACCGTCTTGGGCGCCAGTTCTTTACAGTAAGGTAGACAAAGTAATGATCACTCCTTTCTCAAAAGGTAACAAGTTTAGGCTTTACAGTTAATACACTGTAAGCCTGATATCTTGGGGAGATGACTAGAAAAGTCAGAGATTATTTCCTTACCCTCATTGACACTGAAATTAACAAGTCATGTTTATTTCCGTAATGTTTCTCAAATCTGCAGTCAACTTGCTCCCTAGTAAGAAATCCAAGATACCTCTATCCTGGGTTACTTCAACAACCTCCTAACTTACCTCCCTCTACACTTTGGCTGTACTGACGGGAATCTGATCATCTTAATTCCCTGGTGATGATCTCCAGTTGCTTATTTCCTATGGGATCCTTATCATGACTCCCCTCCTTGTTCAGGCATCTACTCATCACTCCAACTACTTCCTTTGCCTCTAAATGCTATGCTCTAGAAGCATAAAAGTTCCTATTTTGGATGTTTCCCTGTGCACAGCTCCCCTGTCCACAACCTTTTGTTAAAGCAGTCCCTGCCGTGCAGACAGCCTTCTCTCTTTTACCTATGTAACTTACACACAAACTTTTGGTATCACCTAGGTGGCTCCCCGCCCATCCCCACAGCTAAATTCATGACTTCGTCAGCTGAGGTGCTCTATGTTTCGATAATACACTGAATTTGCCACATTGCATTACAGTTTCCTACAGTAGATTAGTTCCTGAATGGGTTGTAGTGGACAGGCCTAAACTAAGTTAAGGCAGTGAGAATCTAAGCTCTATTCTGCCTAGATGAATAAATTGGCATGTTATTCTAAGTGCCACTGGGGAACTGGCTTTAGGCAGAAGATAACACTGAGAGTGGCAGATTAGAACAACTAAAACTCTCAGTAAACTATCGCAAGAACAAAAAACCAAACACCGCATATTCTCACTCATAGGTGGGAATTGAACAATGAGATCACATGGACACAGGAAGGGGAATATCACACTCTGGGGACTGTTGTGGGGTGGGGGGAGAGGGGAGGGATAGCATTGGGAGATATACCTAATGCTAGATGACGAGTTAGTGGGTGCAGCGCACCAGCACGGCACATGTATACACATGTAACTAACCTGCACAATGTGCACATGTACCCTAAAACTTAAAGTATAAAAAAAAAAAAAAAAAAAAAAAAACAACTAAAACTACAGCACCAAGAGCTCCCAAACTGGAATCCTAGTTACGTTGGAATAATAATCTTTTTTAGTGATTATTCCCATTTGGATCTGAATTTTCTGTTAATTACTACTAAAAGTAATCTGATAATTTGTGTAACACTGAACCTTTAAACAAGTGCTTCTCAAAAATTGTGACTGTGACCTACAGGTCAAAAAACATTTTACATCAGAACAGATTATCCATAAACATAAATGATTGAAACAAAATCTTCATAAAATGTTATTTACCTTTACAAATATGATCTACCCTCATATTTTCTACTTGTTCACCTTTTATATGCTGGCCCCAATTCACTAAATTGATTTTACAACCCACTAATGGATTATAATCTACTCTTTGAAAAACACTCTTCATAGCCAGTATTCCAGTGACTAACCACCGCCTTCGCTGGATAAAAATCCAGACATTTAATGACACAAAGGTCATCTATGACCTGGTCCCGGCCACTTCTCAGCCTCCTTTCCTACCACTATTTGCAGCCACCCTTCATGAGAAACTCCTTGTTATTCTCTGACTATATTACTACTTGGTGTATGATGTTCCCTCTACTATAATGCTTGCCCTCTTTCAAGTCCACTCCTACTTGTCATTCAAATATTTGCTCAGAAGTCACTTTTCTGAGGCCCCAAACTCCACATCACCGTCCAAATGGGCTCAGGCCTCTCTTGTGTACTGTTATTTATAATCCTGTGGGCATACACCTAACTAGTTGCCTGTCTACTTAACTGATCCCTTCATTCAGCCAAACTGCTGAAGCCAGAGATTGGGACTCATTCTTGATAACTCTATCATAAGGCCTGATACAAAATAGGTGCTCAATATATGTTCATTAAATAAGGAGGAGTAAGCTACATCCATGCCATATTCAACTCTCTGGCTGAGCTTTACAAACAATAAACATGGTACCACATGTAGAGATAGGGTTAAGCTACACTACTGAGTATACCAAGCAAAAGAAATGGTCTCCTTCCTCTTCCAGAACTTAAATGCTTATAATGATTGTCAAGAATGTGAGCATATTTCTAATTCATTTCCCACACATTTTATATTCCAATTTTCTGGAATATTTCTAACCAATCCACAGATAGAAAACACCTATAAATTTTCCAAGACTAGCCAAAAGCTGAAAGGTTGCGTTTTTTGTAAAGTGTTGACAGAATTACCCAAGCAAAACTCAGCACTATTCCAATGATCCAATTTCTTTTTTTTTTTTTTTTAGTTAACACATCCATCACCACGTATGCTGTACATTAGATCTCCAGAACTTGTTCATCTTATAACTGAAAGTTTAGACCCTTTGATCAACATCTCTATTTCCCTCATACCTCAGACCCTGGCAATGACTGTTCTACTCTGTTTCTATGAGTTCAATGTTTTTACATTTCAAATATAAATGAGCTCATACGTAATTTTCTTTCTGTGTCTAACTGACTCATTTAGCATAATGTTCTTCTGGTTTATCCACGTTGTCATGAATAGCAGGATTTCCTTTTTTATGGCTAAATACAATTCCATTGTATATAAATATACCACATTCTCTTTATCTATTTATGTGTCGACAGACACTTAGATTGTTTCTGTATCTTGGCTATTGTAAATAAGGCTGCAGTGAACATGGGAATGCAGATATCTCTCTTCAGGATCCTGATTTTGTTTCCCAGAAGTGGTATTGCTGGATCATAGGGTAGTTCTATTTTTAATTTTTTGAAGAACCTTCATACTACTGTTTCCCATAGTGGCTGTACCAATTTACATTCCCACCAAGAGTGTACAAGTGTTCCCCTTTCTCCACATCCTCACCAACACTTGTCATCCCTTATCTTTTTTTATAACAGCCATGCTAACAAGTGTAGGATGATCTCTCATTATGGTTTTGATTTACATTTCTCTGATGATTAGTGGTGCTGAACACTTTTTCATGTATTTCTTCTTTAGAAAAATATCTATTCAGATCCTTTACCTATTTTCAAATCAGATTTTTTGTGTTTTCTTGCTATTGAGTTGTGTGAGTTCCTTATATATTTTGGATATCAGCCCCTTATCAGATATGGTTTGCAAATATTTTCTCCCATTCGGTAAGTTACCTTTTCATTTTGTTGTTTCCTTTGATGTACAGAGCCTTTTAGTTTGATGTGGTACAACTTGTTTATTTTTATTTTGTTTGCCTATGCTTTTCGTGTCATATCTGAAAAATCATTGCCAAGGCCAATGTCAAGGAGCTGTTCCCCTATGTTTTCTTCTAAGAGTTTTACAGTTTCACATCTTACATTTAAGTCTTGAATCCATTCCAAATTCATTTTTATATGGTGTAATACAAAAGTCCATTTTTGTCATTTTGCATATGTCTATCCAGTTTTCCCAATACTATTTATTGAAGGGATTTTTGTTCCTCATTGTGTATTCTTGGTGCCTCATCAAAGATTAGTTGACCAGTTGGGCATGGTGGCTCGCACCTGTAACCCCAGCACCTTGAGAGGCAGGGGCAGGAGGATCACTTGAGCACAAGAGTTTGAAACCAGGCTGGGCAACATCCGGAGACCTCATCTCTACAAAAAAAAATCAAGAAAATTAGCTGAATGTGGTGGTGTGTGCTTGTAGTCCCAGCTCCTCAGGAGGCTGAGATGGGAAGATCACTTGAGCCCGGGAAGTCAGGGCTGCAGTGAGCCAAGATTGTGCCTCTGCACTCCAATCTGGGCGACACAGCAAGACCCTATTAAAAAAAAAGAAAAAAAGATCAGTTGACCACATGACCATACATGCATGGGTTTATTTCTGAGTTCTCTATCCTGTTTTATTGGTCTGTGTGTCTATGTTTAAGTTGTACATGCAAAACAGTATGGTACATAATGTTTTGATTACTGTAACTTTGAATGTAGTTTGAAATCAGCAAAGGTGATGCCTCCAGTTTTGTTCTTTATCAAGATTATTTATTCTATTTGTAGTCTTTTGTTGTCCTGTACTAATTTTAGGACTTTTTTCTACATCTATGAAAAATGCCATGGAATTTTCATAGGGATTGAATTGAATGTGTAGATCACTTTGGGTAACATGGACATTTTAATATTATTAATTCTTCCAATCCATAAACATGGGATGTATTTCCAGCTATTTGTTCTTTTTCAGTTTCTTTCATTGGCACCTCATAGTTTTCAGTGTATAGATCTTTTTTTTTTTATACTTTAAGTTTTAGGGTACATGTGCACAACATGCAGGTTTGTTACATATGTATACAAGTGTATAGATCTTTGTGTGTGTGTGTGTATGTAGATTTTTCACCTCCTTGGTTAAATTTATTCTTAAGATTTTATTCTTTTTAATGCTATTATAAACAGGACTGTTTTCTTTATTTTCTTTTGCAGTCCAGTTTTACATTGTACATTCTTCATTACAACAACGGTATAATTATATTGTTCAGCACTCATTACTAAACAGTGAACTACTTAAGAGCACAAACACGTCTAATTCACTTTTCCCACCACCCTGTAAAGAACATGAGGCAAAATAGACATCTATAAATGTCTGTTGAATGAATCAATGTGTTATACTGAGTTCTTCTGCTTAGCTCTGTCTTTTGGACTCACTGACTCCTCCCTTCTCCTGTTTCCTCCTTCTTCATCTAAAAAAGAACTTCCTGCAAAGCTGATTCCCTATTGTTCATGCCTGGGTAATATCTGTACCCTTAAGGCTTTCCTCTCTGTGCTCTTAAATGCATGGGCATAGTGTAGCTCTCCTTTAGTTTCTGGGATATAAATTTGTTAGTTATTGATGTTTTCGTTTTGTTTTCGTTTTCGTTTTTTGAGGCAATTCTCCTGCCTCAGCCTCCCAAGTAGCTGGGATTATAGGTGCCTGCTACCAGGCCTGGCTAATTTTTGTATTTTTAGTAGAGGCGGTGTTTCACCATGTTGGTCAGGCTGGTCTTAAACTCCTGATCTCAGGTGATCCACCCGCCTCGGCCTCCCAAAGTACTGGGATCACAGGCGTGAGCCACTGAGCCCAGCCTTAAATTTGGTAGTTAAATCTGAGATATCTTAATAATAGAAATGGTTTGTGTGCTTACATTTCCAGGAAAGAACTAAACTTTTCTGACATTTTTGCATTCTGTTCCACAACATATCTGTTTAATAGAAAAATAAGATTTTTAATTCTCACAAGTTAAATATTGTACATTACACACAGACACACACACACACATGAACACACACAATTTTCTATCAAAATTGATGTCTTGGGAAGACAAGCCTTGTTTACACTGTGGTTTCATATATACCTTGGTACACCACTGTGTAGCCCAGTACAGGAAGCACACCATTAAAGGGTTTTTCTGCTATTCACTTGAAAACACAAAAGGAGATGAAAACACAAAAGCTGTACCTAGGGATGTCACTGAAGACTTAATGACATTGTCCTGGCTTAATTTCTAACTACTTTTCCGTAAAATGGTTTCATAACCTTTCCTACAATTACTTCTCCTTTTATCCCAGAAGGAATAAAAAGAAAAAGAAGATAGTTCAGTTTCATATGTGCTGCATTTGAGATGCCTGGAAGCATCTGGAGCTTGAGAAAGAGGTTTTTGCTGGAAGAACAAATTTGGGAGTTGTCAGCAATTAAAGCTAAATAAATGGATAGAGTGACTCAGAGTATATATGTAGAGCAAGAGGAGGCTGAGGTCAGGCAGTAGGGAACAGACAGGATAGAGAACTTTTGAAGGAGACTGAGAATTTTTTAAGAGAGGAAAGGGAACCTGCAAAATTCATCACAGTACCCAGCTTGTGTCTTCTTTGTCATAGGAGGCACTCAATAATTAATCAGTTAACTTAGCAAGCATATTTCTCCCTCCAAAGCACTATGCTTTGAAATATTGGAATGACCCCTCAAAGGCCCAAAAGACCAGTTAGAGAGACAGATCATAAATAAGTACAACATAGTAAAACAGATACTATGAACATGGTTGCACCTGAGGCCTACTGGAGTACCAAGAAAGGAAGTGGTCCATGCAGAACTTCTCAAAATAAACAATGCTAGGGCTGAATCTTGAAGAATGATTAGGAACTCATCAAGCATTGGGGAAAGAAATTAGTTTGGAGGGCATTCCATGCAGCAAGATCTGTAGATGCATTGAATTATGAAATGGTATAGAGTGGTTGAGAAATTCCAATTAATTTGGCACAGCAGGGATTTAAGATTTGAGGAAAAAGTAAAGGAAGAGAAGCTGGAAAGCCAGGCAAGACCAGGTTACAAAGGACCCTGTAAGATATGATAAAGTGTTTGGATTTTATCCTGAAGACTAAGGGAAGCCACCAGTATTTTTAAATGGAGAAAAGAGGGATAAGATTAACATTTCAGAAAGATCATTCTTGCATCAGACTGTAAGATAGGTGAGAGGGACAAGATTAGAAGCTGATAAAAAAATAAAAATAAAAAAAAAAAGATTAGAAGCTGGTAAACCAAATAGGAAGCTAGTTAAGGAGTCTAAGTGGAGTTGGAAACCCAGATTAGGCCAAAAACAGGGAAAACCTAGAGAAGCTGACAGAACAAACAGCCATAGAAAAGGTAGAATAGGCTAGACACATTGTATGTGATTACATGAGGTGGAGGAGAAATTAAGAGTCGAGGATAACACCAGGTTTCTGTTTGGGTAGTTGGGTAGAGAAATTCTATTCACATATTCACAGAGAATGAGGATAAGTAAGAGGGGAAGTAGATCAGGAGTTACAGTGATGAACTTGGTTGTAAATATACTCGTGTTAAGGAACTGTCTTGTTAACAATTGTTCTGGAGCTCAGAGGATAGAGGTAAGCTAGCAATTCAAACTTGAGAGTCATACGCACATACATGGGAAATGGAGCAATTGGTTTAGATGAGATTTCTCAGACAGGAAATATAGGGGGAGAAAAAAAAGAGTCCTAGCATAGAGCCAACATACAAAGGCCAGAGAGAGAGAGAGAGAGAGACAGAAAGACAGAGAAAGAGAGAGTAGCCCTCTTAGGGGATTGAAAAGGAGCACTACAACTAGAACACTGCTGTCTCAAAATCCAGAGGAACAGAGTGTTGAAAATGTCAATTTGAGTCTATCTCCCCCAGTAGATTGTGAGTTATTGGGGGGCATACAATAGTTAATTTTGTATTCTCAGAACCTAACGTTGGCCAGGCTCCAGAGTATTGGTTTAAAGACTATCTTTGGCCATTGGACTTGGAAATTAGGACATTCACTATTGACCTCTGATAGAGTTGTCTCTTCAGAGGGGCAAAAGCAGAAACCATAAATACAGCTCAAGAAGTTTGGTGACCATGAAAAGGGAAGACAAGGCAGAGACACATCAGCAACTTGAAAGGGAGTCACATTTAAAAAGTCCATTTTGGGGATTTTTTTTTTTTTGCAAGGTCATTCATTTGTACAGATAGACACTTAAAGGGTATGTGTAAATTGAGGGGAAAATCCAAAATCTTGGGTTGAGAGCAAGAAGAAAGGGAGCTTTCTTCTCATTCCTTATTGTTGCTTCCATAGCTCCTCCATTTTTGTGTAAAGTCCCTTATCTTTTGGGACTCAGGACATTGGTTTTACCACTTCCTGTTAATGGTCTCGGCCTTAGCTGCTAAGGGATAAGGATCCTAGGGCATCTTTTAGCCCAACCGGCAGGAAGTCAGTTGGCAAGGTTGCAGTTTAAGCATGTCTACTTTTCAGGAGAAAGCATGCACAGTATATACTCCACAGCTAGTAAAAAAAAAAAAAAAAAAAAAAAGAATCATTAAATTCGGTCAGAGACCTAACAGGATGGGTCTAGAGAAGATTGAGAGAACATGAATTCAAAACCTGACTGAGTAGTCAATACGGAGCTGGCAGAGATAGAAGCAAATACAGGAAGGTAAAGACCTCTCTAGAGAAGTTCTGCAAACACTCGAGAACAAGATTCCCTTCCCCGTCCCACCTTTTTAATGACAGGATGGTTCATTCATGCTGGGCTAATGGAGTTTGGGGTTGGGAGAAGACAGCTCCTAATCACTCACAGATTCAGTGAAGTCTTAGTCTCAGAGTCTTGCTCACCATCCCAAGACCTGCTATCATTCCATCCATGTGCTTGCCCCATCCATGTAGTTGCTCCATCCAAGTCTCTGGCCCCACTGTTCTACATTGTCCTCACCTCCAGTAACCCATCCAACCAGCCCACTCTGTTTACCAGGCCTCTGGCCCTTTCCTGATGAGATCTGCTTTACCCCTGAAATTTTGCCCTCCAGAATCTCACTCTGTAAACCCAGCTTCTTGTCTCTGGCTCCCTCATCCCCTTACACTCAGATGTTAAACCTCTAACCTCTTGAAACTCCAGTCCTTTGGACTCTCTCTTTTACCCTTTTGTCTACCAGGCCTTTCTTCTTTTTCAACTCAGCCTGGATGTCATGAGCCAACACCACCATTCTCATGCCATGCCCTGTTGAACCCGTTGTCTTTTTCTCCCACCTACATACTAATCACCAGATTCTCTACTCCTGTGCCTTCTTCACTGAACACTCCTAGAAACAAGAAGCATCAACAACCATTGGAATTGTCACCAACAGAGCTGGGTCCTGAACACAACTCAGCAAGCTTGGGTTGTCCAATTCCATCACCTCATTGACTCCTGCAAACTCTCTCCACTTTTTTTTTTTTTTTTTTTTTTTTTTTTTTTTGAGATGCAGTCTCACTCTGTCACCCAGGCTGGAGTGCAGTGGCATGATCTCAGCTCACTACAACCTCCATCTCCCAGGTTCAAGCGATTCTCCTACCTCAGCCTCCTGAGTAGCTGGAACTACAGGCATGCACCAGCACACCTGGCTAATTTGTGTGTGTTTGTGTGTGTGTGTGTGTGTGTGTGTTTAGTAGAGACAGGGTTTTGCCACGTTGGACAGGCTGGTCTCAAACTCCTGACCTCAGATGATCCACCTACCTCGGCCTCCCAAAGTGCTGAGATTACAGGCATGAGCCACCCCGCCGAGCCTTTCTCCACTTTTCTTAAACCCTCTACTTCACCTTCACCTCTGTCAGCACTTAACCTCACTGCCTATTCTGCAAAAAAGAAAAAGGAGTCTGTAGGCAAAGTTCTCTCAATTTCCTGTCCTCGTGATCCTTATCTGTACCCACAAACTAGGCAATTAGTTGAAAGAGTATTTACTGAAGACAATTCACCCAATGACCAAGCTACCCAAAGTCCAATTCGCCAAATTTTCCAAATTTACCAACTTAGAAAAATCTGCTTTTGGACACCAATATCTAATTTAGTGAAATTATCCATTCAAAAATTTGTTTATATCAGCAATTTATAAAGTTTATGGCAATTGTGTTGCATGGAAAAGTTTAACAGCTTTATGGATTCTATTATTTAAGATTTGCAACTGATTTCAGTTTGACTTAGTTTAGTTTTAGTTTTACCAGTTTCTTCATTAGACTCATTGCACAGTGGATTTCAGTCAAACTCCACTGAATGTCAGTTTTGTGTGTGATACACATTTCAGACATTTATGATTCAAATGCCTAAAACAAATAGATAATGCTCATTTGATCAAGATGATAAAAGTCTCTGAATTTACAGTGTTGAAATGAGCACTTTCCAATTCACTCTATGAGGCAGGTTAATTACCCTGATACTAAAACCAAAGATGTAACAGGAAAACAAAAATACAGATCAATATCTCATGTGAATATGCAAAATTCCTCAACAAAATACCAGTAAACTGAATCTAACAGCATATAAAAAGAGTTACCACCATGTCAAATGGGGTTTATCCCAGAAATGCAACATTGGTTTTCCATCCTAAAATCAATTAATATAATACACCATATCATATCAAGAGAATAAGAAATGAAACCACATAATCATCTCAGTATACACAGAAAAGGCATTTGACAAAATTGGACACCTTTTCATCATAAAACACCCAGTAAACTAGGAAAAAAGGGAATTTTTTCAACCTGATGAAAGGCATGGATGAAAAACTGTACCTAACATTATACTTAATATTAGAAGACTGGATGATTTCCCTCTAAAATCAAGAATAACACAGGGAGGTCCACTCTTGCCTCAACATTGTACTAGAGGTTCCACAAGAGCCACTGGAAAAGAAAAATAAATAAAAGACTTTTATATTGGAAAGGAAGAAGTAAAACTATCTACTTGCAGGTGACAAGGTCTTGTATATAAAAAATCCTAAGGAATTTACAAAAAAAAAAAACCTATGAAAACTAATAAATAAGTTCAGCAAGGCTACAGGATACAAGATGGGAATACGAAAATCAACTGTATGCAAAATTCAATTGTATTTCTGCACAGTAACAAGAAACAACTCAAAAAGGAAATTAACAATTCTATTTACAATAACATCAAATAGAATTAAATGCTCAGGAATAAACTTAAGAAAAGGACAAGATTTATACACTGAAAGCTACAAAACATTGTTGAGAGAAATGTTAAAATGCCTAAATAAATAGAAAGACATTATATGTTCAGGGATTAGAAAATATCACATTATTAAGATGCCAAACTGATTTACAGATTCAACACAATCCCTATCAAAATCACAGCTATCTTTTTGTAGAAATTGCTAAACCAATCCTTAAATTCATATGGAAATTCAAGGGACTCAGAATAGCCAAAATAATCTTGAAAAAGAACAAAGCTGGAGGATTCACACTTCCAGATTTTAAAACTTACTACAACATAATCAAGACTGCGTGGTACCAGCATCTACAGATCAGTGGAATAGATTTGAGAGTCCAGAAGTAAAACATTACTTTTATGTTCAATTCATTTTTGACAAAAATGATAAGAAAATTAAATAAAAGAGAAGTCTTTTCAACAAATGATGCTGGGACAACTAGATATCCACATGCAAAAGAATAAAATTGGACTCACATCATATACCAAAACTAACTAAAATGGATCATTTACCTAAAGTAGGAGCTGAAGCTATTAAAACTCTTAGAAGAAAACACAGCAGTAAATCTTCTTGACCTTGGACAATGATTTCTTAGATATGACACCCAAATCACAAGCAACAAAAGGAAAATCAAATAAATCTAACTTCATTAAAATTAAAAACGTTTGTGCTTCAAAGCACACTGTCAAGGAAATGAAAATTCACAAAATGGGAGAAAATATATGCAAATCACATATCTGATAAGGAACTTGTATCTAGGTATATAATTCTTGTATCTAAAGAATCCTTATGGCCTGGCGCAGTGGCTCATGCCTGTAATCCTAGCACTTTGGGAGGCCAAGATGTGTGGATCACTTGAGGTTAGGAGTTCAAAACCAGCCTGGCCAACATGATGAAACACTGTCTCTACTAAAAATACAAAAAAATTAGCTGTGCATGGTGGCTGGTGCCTGTAATCTCAGCTTCTTGGGAGTCTGAGGCAGGAGAATCTGTTGAACCCGGAAGGCAGAGGTTGCAGTGAGCCAAGATCACACCACTGCACTCCAACATGGGTGACAGAGTGAAACTCCATCTCAAAAAAAAAAAAGAAAAAAGAATCCTTACAACAACTCAGCAAGAAAGAAAAAATTTAATGGGCAAAGGATTTAAATAGAGATTTTTTCCCAAAGAAGTTATACAGCCAGTTTTTTGCTTTAACAAGAACTGGAAGCCCCACCAGGTTCTCGCTGTAAAGACTGGAGAAAATTTCCTCATGCATCCAGCAGGGGGACAGAAAAAGTAACAAATTTGAAATATACCCAGAGCTCTCTGTTCTCCTTAACAAGGCCTGCCCTCAGGGAAAACTGTTTACCACAGCCTAACCAACTTGAGTTTTACCAAAGCCTAACCAACATGGGGCAAGGGAAATACCCAGCCTCAGCCCCCTCCAGCCTTCCTGTCTCTCTACGGTGGAGTAGGGGGAAGCTGAGAAGCACTTGCCAAGGTCATAGCCCAAGGACATGGGCTCATTAAAAGACTGAGACATAATTATAAGACTATATAATGCTTCCCTTATCCACCCCAACCTTCTCACTGCATCAGTGGGCTCCTGAATAATAATAACAAGGGGTTACAGCTAAAAGAACTGCAAGCCTCAGCCCCTATTTAAGAAGGAGTCTCTAGGAAAACCCAAAGGCAAAAGGGAAGACAAAAATAAGGACACTAGGTGTTAGCTTCTGACACCACGGCTACAAGAAGTAGTAAACGCAGCCTGACTCCTAGCCAGATAAACATAAAATCTCACATTAAAGGCCTATCTACCTCAGTTCCTTTTACCTGATACATAATATCCAGTTTCAAAAAAAAAAAAAAATTACAAGACAGGCTAAAAGGCAAAAAAAAAAAAAAAATCTGAAAATACAAAGCAAGCATCAGAATCAGACTTATATGCCATAGATTTTGGAATTATCAGGCTGGAAATTTAAAATGAGTATGATTATATGCTAAGGGCTCTAGTGGGAAAACTGGATAGCATACAAGAACAGATGGATAATGGAAGCAGAGTAAAGGAAACTCTAAGAGACGATCAAAAGGAAATGTTAGAAATTTAAAACAGTGTAATAGAAATAAATAATGTATGTGATGGACTCATCAGTAGACTGGACATGGCTGAGGGAAGAATCAGTGAGCTAGAAGATATATCAATAGAAATTTTCCAAACTGAAAAGCAAAGAGAAAAAGGAATGGGGAAAAAAATGAAACAGACTATCCAAGAACTGTGGGACAATAACAAAAGGTGTAACATATGTGTAATGGGAATATCAGAAAAAAATAAAGAAAAGAAAGAAAGAAAGAGAGAGAGAAAAAAAAGAAAGAAAGAGAGAAAAAGAAAGAAGAGGAAAGAAAAGAAAGAAAGAAAAAAGGAAGGAAGGAAGAAAGAAAGAAAGAAAGAGGGAGGGAGGAAAGAAGGAAGGAAAGAAAGAGAGAAAGAGAGGAAGAAAGAAGGAAAGAAGAAGGAAGAAGAGGAGGAGGAGAAGAAGGAGGAGGAGGAGGGAAAGAAAGGAAGGAAGGAAGGAGAGAAAGCGAGGGAGAGAAGGAGGGAGGAAGGGAGGGAGGAAGGAAGGAAGAGAGAGAGAGAAGGAAGGGAAGGAAGGAAGGAGAAAAGGAAAGAGAGAAAGCAAGCAAGCAAATAAATATGTAAAGTAATAATGACTCAGAATTTTCTGAAATTAATGACAGACAGCAAGCCACAGACCCAGAAAGCCCAAAGAACAACAAGCACAATAAATACTGAAAAAATCTATGCCTAGGTGTATCATATTGAAACTACAAAGAGAAAATCTTGAAAGAAACCACAGAAGAAGATATACATATAGTCAATAAGCATATAAAAAAGATGCTCTGCTGGGCGTGGTGGCTCACACCTGTCATCCCAGCACTTTGGGAGGCCAAGGCAGGTAGATAACTTGAAGTCAGGAGTTCGAGACCAGCCTGGCCGACATAGTGAAGCCCCGTCTCTACTAAAAATACAAAAAATTTAGCTGGGCGTGGTGGTGCATGCCTGTAATCCTGGCTACATAGGAGGCAGGGTGGGAGGATTGCTTGAACCTGGGAAGCAGAGGTTGCAGTGAGCTGAGATTGCACCACTGCACTCCAGCTTGGGTGACAGAGTAAGATTTTGTCTCAAAAAAAAAAAAAAAAAAAAAAAAAAAAGATGCTCAACATCATTAGTTATTAGGGAAATGGGAATCAAAACCACAACAATATACCACTTTATACCCAGCTGGATAACAACAAAATGACGAACAGTAAATGAGGGTTCCAGTTTCTCCGTATCCTTGTCAACAAGTGTTTGACACTTGTTTGACCAGTAAACGAACCCTCATTTACTGGTGGTGGAAGTGTAAAATAGTGCAGCTGCTTTAGCAACAGTTTGGCAAATTTTCTCAAATATTTTCTAAAAATGTTAAACATAGAGTTATAATCATACCAGCAATTCCACTCCTAGGTATCTACCCAAGAAGAGAAAACATGTGTCCACACAAAAATGTATATACAAGTGTTCATAGCAGCATTACTTATAATAGCCCCAAAGTGGAAACAACCCAAATGACCATCAACTGATGAAAAGAAAAACAAGATGTGTTATATGCATACAAGGGAATATCTTCAGCCATATCTTAAGTCAAGAAATGAAGTACTGATACATGCAATGACATGGATGAATACTGAAAACATGCCAAGTGAAAGAAGCCAGATGCAAAAGGCCACATGTTGTATGATTCAATTTATATGAAATGTCCAGAATAAGCAAATTCATAGAGTCAGAAAGTAGATTATTGGTTGCCAGGAGCTGAGGGGACAGCAAATGGAGTAACTGTTAATGGGTGTGGGGTTTCTTTTTGGGTGACAAAAATATTCTGAAATGTAATAGTGATGATAATGCACAACCCCATGAATATACTAAAAATTACTGTGAATTGTACACTTTAAAAGGATATACTTTATGGTATACATAGTGTATCTCAACAAAGCTGTTACTTTAAAAAGTAATAAAGCCAAAGTAAAAACCTGACTACTTAGAAGTAGTAACAACTATTTAATCAACAGGAATGCTCCTAAAGTACAATATTCCTATTGTGATACAAATGGAACTGGCAGAAATTTTGCAAATGTTTCTCAGATGTCACTACAGCAGGAGACCCATTTATCAATGGCCATCATGATATCTTAGAAAAATTGTCTTAGACTAATTAGTTTATAATATAATTTATATTATTAATTTTATCACTTATTGTAGTCACTATTATATGATTTACCAACCAACAAGTATGGAAATACAGTATGGCTATATTTCAGCCCACATCTACATTTCTATTAAAAGTACAAATGCACAAAAAATATTAAAGTAAAAGGAAAACTGTTGGATTGAAAATATTTTGGAAGGGAGAATTCCACGCCCCCCCAGATTGTATATGAAATTTTTGACATCTGAGTCATTGTACAACATTTGCAGAGTAAAATGCATAAGAAATTCCCATTCCCCAAAGTCACAGATCCAAAATAAGGAAAAACTTAGAATACACTGAACTTTGGCAAGCCATGGCAAAATGATTTCAGAGAAACAGCTGCAAATAAATTAAAAGTACAACTAAGCTAAACTAAACTCAAAATTGTCAACTGATACTTTGTAGAAATCATTAAAAGTAGTTAAAATCAGCCCAACCATGCAAATTGTTTTAACCTTCACACGTAATTAAAAGAAACAAAATTTTGGTAAACTGATAAAATTGGTAAGTTCTAACAAATTGATCACTGTGTGAATTGAAATCCACAGGACTGGCTTTCCTTACTTCCCATCTCAGTGGATAGGAGTCCTTCCTCTTCGCCATATTTAATCCCTCCACCTGTGTTCTAGATTCCATTTCCTTCTACTTTCTCTGGCTCTTGCTCTGTGGGAGAGCATAGGGAGCTTCCTTTTCCTTTCCTAGAGCCTCTACAGGGAGTTGAAGTCCTTCAGAGCCTGGAAAACATCCTCACTCTTGAAAGATCCCAATTCAAACAGTGCTGGACTCTGGCCATTTTTTTTTTTTTTTTTTTAATACTCCTGCTCACTTCTTCCAGGGCTGGGCTGTACCAAGGAGTTCTAATGACTTGTGATTTATAAGTATTTTGAACTAAGGCTTGGAGCAGTCTGAAACCAAGTACTAATGCTACCCAGTGCCTCCAGCTCACTAGGAAAGAACGGAGGACTAACAGAACCACTGACAACTGTCTGCCTCCCATCCTGTCACTCAAGATCATCATTCACAAGGTAGGCCTTTTGAGTCATCTCTCCTTTCTCATTTGGTCATCGCCACATTGATGTGCCCTTCCCTGACCCTAGTTGACTGGACCTCCCACTGCTTCCCTGCCTTTTAGCCTTTCCCATCATGGATTCACCCCTCAGTCTTTCCTGTTCTGAAACCTCCATTTCATGGTGACAAACTCCTGAATTCTCAGCCCCTTCATATACCTCTGAGCCTCCACTTCCTGTGTAAGAGACCTGGCTTTGCTTAAGTACTCCCCTTTTGCACATACTTTCACATATCTTTGAAGGAAAAGGGAAGGAGTCACCACTATCCAGGCTTCCCAAGGCCTAAACAGAGACAACTATTTCTCCATCCTCACCCCTCAGCCTTTGAAATTATGCCGTCTTACACAAGACTCTACCCTCCTCAGTGTTGTCATGAAATGACTTTCCCTCTTTTTCACCAAGGACTTAGGTGTAGGTGTGTCTCTATCCTTTGTTTTCTTGCCAGTGTCCTCAACTCCTTGGTCCTTTAGGCTTATAAGGCCACCAGCTATCACTTCCCTTAACAGTGTCTTCACTCCTTTAAAGCTTTCAAGATTTCTAACATTATTGCCTCCCTCGTGCCCATTTTTCACAAAATCCCAACTCCTCTCTAGAGAGAATGAGATCATCAGGTATGATGGCCTCAAATTCCTGCCTTGTCCACCTTCTTCCCCCACTACCACACACTTACACACATGCCGTTATCTGCACCCCACTCATCTTCCTTTTCAGTCTTGGAGGAGGAGGTACTTCTCTTCCTGGCAAAGACCAATCCCTCTTTGTTGTGATGGTTAATTCTTCAGTCCCTCCTCTCTCCTCTGGGACCTTGCTCCATTCTCTCCATGAGTTCCTTACCTGAGATGTTAAACATGCTCTTGTTGCCTTCTTCCAAAGAGCTCTCTGTCAACCCTCTCTGCTCCCACTCCTCCTGCCAATACCCCAACCCACCCCACCCTCCCACCTAGGTTATCTATCCTCTCTCTCTTTTCTCTTGCATTCACTGAGTAATGGTACTTGATTCTGTTGTCTCACTAACATCTTTTCTTTATTCTGGAACAACCACCCCCTTCATGTCAGCCATTCACTTAACAAATATTGACTGAACATCACCTATGTACATATATGTGCTACAGTGGTGAACAAACCAGCTTTACCGTTTAGTGGAGTGTATAGACATTTAACCAAATATTCACACACTAGAATGGATGTAAACTTGCCACTGTGATAACTGCCACAGAGGAGAAGTACCAGGCACTATGACAACCCATAATATGGGGATTTGACCTAAAGAGGTCAGAGAAGATATCTATGATGAAGTGTTGCTTCAGCTGAGATCTGAAGGGTAAATGAAAGGTCAATTAACAGAAGAAGGGACCAAAGTATGCCCTAAACAAAAGGGCACGTGTATGCCAAAACATTTTTAATCATCGGTCTGAATGGGAGCTGCCGTCTTTTAAGTGACCTGGCCCCCTGCTCCCGAGATTGATCTGGATGGGCACGTAAGTCAGCCCCGGCCCCAGGCCATCCAGACTCTTTCCCCAGGATTTCCGAATCTGTGGTTGTTGTTATAAGGCCTATTTTTTAAACTAAGTAAATACATAATATTGATTAGAAAACTAATTTTAAAAATCAGTAGGAAAGAGGAGAAGAGCCAAATCTGCATACAGAAGAATTCCAAATAAAGTATATTATGTTTTAATACATATCATACATACCCCCTCTAGGAGATGGAGCTTAATCTCCCCCTCCCTGAGTATGGGACTTAGTGACACTTCTAAAGAACAGAATATGGTAAGGGGGAAAGTAGCCTTAAAGTGGAGAGATCTTAATGCAGTGACTAAGGTTAACATTACCAGTGAAAATTTACATTTATATCATGCACCCCCTGATATGATATAGAGAGAAGGCACTTCAGCTCTGTGGTAGTCTCTCGCCAGTTTAATCACATGGAAAACAGAGAAATCCAAATTGAGGGACACTCTACGAACTGCCTGGCCAGTACTCTTCAAAATTGTCAAGGTCATTAAAAAAAAAAAGAAAGATGGAGACACTGTCACAGACCAGGGGAAACTAACCAAACACGATGACTAAATGCAATGTATCCTGGATTGAATCCTGGGATAGGAAAAGGACATTAGTGGAAAAACTGGTGAAATCAGAACAGAGTCTGGAATTTAGTTAATAATGATGTACTGGCTCCGTGCAGTGGCTCACACCTAAAATTCCAGTATTTTGGGAGGCCAAGGTAGGAGGATCCCTTAAGGCCAGGAGTTCAAGACCAGCCTTGGAAGCATAGTGAGACCCCCTACACTCTACAAAAGATAAAAAAATAAAACACTAGGCTGGGCGTGGTGGCTTACACCTGTAATGCCAGCATTTTGGGAGGCTGAGGTGGGTAGATTGCTTGAGCTCAGGAGTTCCAGACCAGCCTGGCCAACATGATGAAACTCTGTCTCTACAAAAAATACAAAAAATTATCCAGGTGGTGGCAGGTGTCTGTAGTCTCATTTACTCAGGGGAGGGGGGTGGGGGGGGTGTGGAGGTTAAAGTGGGAGAAAGCACTTGAGCACAGAAGGTTGAGGCTGTAGTAAGCCATGATGACACAACTACACTCCAGCCTGGGTGACAAAGGGAGACCTTTGTTACCACAAAAACTAGCCGAGTGTGGTGGTATGTGCCTATAGTCCCAGCTGCTTGGCAGGCTGAGGTGGGAGAATTGCTTGAGCCTGGGAGTTTGAGGCTGAATTGAGATGTGATTGTACCACTGCACTCTAGCCTCAGCGACAGAGTGAGATTCCATCTCCAAAATAATAATAATAGTAATAATAATAACAATATACCAATGTTTAGAGGAAACTCGGTGAAGGTATATGGGAACCCCCAGTACTATCTTTGCAACTTTTCTATAAATCTAAAATTATCCCAAAATAAAAAGTTCATTAAAAAAATCAGTGGGAGAAAATGAAGCTGACAAGCAAAAGAAAATGAAATGAAAAACAGAAACCAGAGACACAGAGAAAGTCTTAATGGGCTTTCAGTTCCTGGTTCCATTAGCCAGTCGTCTCCCAGCTTTAGTTATCTGGGCCAATAAATATACCTTTCTTTCCTAAATGAATTCAAATTGTGTTTCTTTCATGTGCAATCAACTTTTCACTCTTCCACACACATCACTATTGTTTTACTTCCACTTCACCTTTTCCTCCCTGTGGCCTGGTGTCTTTCCCCTCCTCTCCTTTGATACTAAGATCATCGGTTATCTCCTGATTCCAGAATCTAATGAAGACCCCTCAGGCTCATCTTCCTGCAATATTTTTACTCTGATGACAACTCTCATTCTAGTGGTTGTTTCTTCCCTTGCTTTCTATGATAACACATCATATACTCCTTTTTTTTTTTTTTTTTGAGATGGAGTCTCACTTTGTCGCCCAGGCTGGAGTTTAGTGGCGCGATCTCGGTTCACTGCAACCTCCACCTCCTGGGTTCAAGCGATTCTTCTGCCTCAGCCTCCCGAGCAGCTGGGACTATAGGCACACACCACTGCGCCCAGCTAACTTTTGTATTTTTAGAGACGGGGTTTCACCATGTTGGCCCAGGCTGGTCTCAAACTCCTGAGCTCATGATCTGCCCACTTTGGCCTCCCAAAGTGCTGGGATTGCAGGCGTGAGCCACCGCACTGGCCCAGATACTACTTTCATTTAAGTCTTACCTTGTTGCCTGCTTCTTCTCAATCTCTTTTATGACTCTTCTTTTTTTTGCCCATGTCTTAAAGGCTGCCTAGATGCTCTTCTCACTTCATGCTCTCTGTGGGTGGCCACATCCATTCTCATGATTCCACTTACCACCTGCAAAATAACTGCTTTGAAATATCTACCCTCAGCTCAACTCTCTTCTGAGTTCCAAATTTTATACTCAATCACCTATTAGACATATTTATTTGGATATCTCACATACATCTTCGACTCTTATATCCAAAACTCAACTCACCATCTTACCTTTTCCCCACAAACCTGCTTCTCTATTGCTTCCCCAGCTTCCTAAGTAGCATCACTAATGTACGACCCAAGAACATGGAAGCCATCTTAGAATCCTCCCATGCTACACCCTTTACTTCTAGTAGTTTTATCCCTGTAATTTCTCTCTTATCTTACTCCTCTTTTCTAATCCTACTATCACTACCTTAATTTAGACCCTCATTATAAGCTGGGGAATAGCCAAAATTATGTTGATGACACGTAACCTGTCCATTTCATTTATCTTATTAAATAAACCCTTCAATGGCTCCTCAGAGCCTGGACCATTTGCATGACATATATTGTCCATGATTTGGCTCCATTTACCTTTCCTGTTTTTGCTTCCCACACTAGCCCATATGCTCAACACTCCAGCCAAGCCAGTTTGTGCAGGACCACCACCACTGAAGCCTGGATGCCACCCTTCATGGCCAGAGCTATTTTCTTTCATGCTCTTGTGATCTTGAACATGTCAGTTTATTCTGCCTGAAAGTCCTTTCTCTAACTTTTCCCTCTGCTATGCTTCTAATCCTTCAAATCCAGTTCCATTGTCATCTCTGTGACACTATTTGCTGATGTCCCAGCCCTGGTCTGGATTAGGAAGCCCCCTATATCCACAACCCCATGCTCTCCTCTATTGTACCTTCTGTTGTCAGTTGAGAGGTCTGTCTTCACAGCTTACCATGAGTTCCTTAGTCATGTCTTAATTTTTGTATCTTAACTATAAAGTTGCACATAGCAGGCACCTAAATGTATCTTCAATAAATGAAGGAAGCAAGAAAATAAATGAATTTGGATTCTTCTATTTGAAAAACTTCCTGACCCCCTAAAACTCCTATCCCTTACGCCAGTTATAGGTCTCTCTCCTCCCCTGTAGTTAGGCCTCCTTAAAGAATAAGCTCTACTCCAAGTCTTCAGTTCCTCACCTTCCACTCACTCCTTAGTTACTGAGTGCTAATTAGCCTTCATCCTTACCACTCCACCTACCACATTGTCCCCAAGGTCACCAGCCTGCCCCCTAGGCCCCAGCCAAATCCAATGGATACTTTTCAGTCCTTACCTCACTGGCCTCCTCTGTGTCATTCCAACCTAATGACCTCTCCTCACTTCATGGCTTCTTCTGTGGCCATTCCCTGGGCTTCAGTGGCACCACTCACCTCCCTTTCTTTCTCCTCCCTGTCTGGCCACATCCTCTCACTTTCCTTTGAGGGCTCCTCCTCTTCTCAACCTTTACATGTTGGAGCTTCTCAGCATCTGTCCTAGACCTTCTTTTCTTCCTAATGTACATGCTCTCCCTCTGTAATCTCATTCACTCCCTTACCTTCACTTACCATCTGTCACACTTACTATACAATACAGCTTACTGTATACAAAGCAACACAAATTGGGTTGTTGAGGACATTTCAGGTTAATGGGTCTTGCCCAAACAGTAATTTTTCATTTTTCCCAGTGAGAAGATCCAAAAAGCTTTTCAACCAACCTAGAAATGTAAACCTTTAAGGATGAGGATGAAACAATCAAAAGTGTACTTCTATGAGTTAATGGACTTTATTGGACATATATTTAAATTCATATATCATATAAAAATATATAACTGATAAATATTGTCTTTTCCATTCTCATAAATTATGAAGCAATTTTATGCATACTCAACACAAGCAGTGTCTTTCTCATCATTAGGATCACTTTTTCAGCCATCTTACATGTTTTCCCAGAACAGATGTCCTTCTCTTCAGTTTAAGCGAAGGGCTTGGGAGAGGACACAGCACAGTTTGAATTCACAGATGATGCAGTCCTTGGAAACTTTATCCTAAGTCACAAGTTTCCTTTGCATCACACTAGAACAGTTGGTTTTTTGCATGCACCCTGCCTGAGTATATTCATGACTTCAAAACATCACTTAATGTAATACTTTTTAAAAATTATATTTCTGTTAACTTTTTTTACTGAAATATAACATCTATATGGAAAAGGCCACAAGCCATCATAAATATTCAGCTCAATGAACTGTCAGAGTGAAACATCCCTCAGGTCCATATAACCACTCAGGTCAAGAAATAGAACATTTTCGGCAGCCCAGAAACCTCTTCCAAGTACTACTGTATTGCTTTTTAAAGCAATCTTTAAAAAGCATATTTTGAGACATCCAACACATGCGATTATGAGGTCATACTACCAGGAATAGTTACCAAAGCTGTGTTAAATTTCTTTGACTACAATACATCCAAAATAGCATTGTTGAGGACATTTCAGGTCAATGGGTCTTAGCCAAACAGTAAAAATAGTTAGCATTTATTGGACACTTACCATATAGTGCCAGGTATATAGTGCTTTATATATATTACATAATTTAATCCTTAGGCCCACTTTATAGATGAGAAAACTGAGGCAGAGACAAGTTAAGTAACTTTCCCAGTGCCACACAGCTTGTAAATAGGAGAGTCTGGACCCCGAGCCAGGGAGTCTGGCTCCAGAGTCCACAAGCTTAGTCACCATACCATACTGCCCTATCCAGTGGTTTGTTGTTCAAAATAAAGTAAATGAGAGCAAACCCTGTAATATGAGAGACCTTGTAAGGACTCAAATATAAGGTTACTCCCTCTTTCCTGAGGGATGATTTTGGAAAAACAAAAAAGCAAAAACTTCACCCTATATTCAAGCTTATACGGCATTTGCAGATGACTCCCAAATATTTATGTCCATCCCAGACCGCTCCTCTAAGTTGCAGACCTACCTACCCAACCAGCACTTCAAAGTCAGCAGCCCCAAGTCACAGTCATCATCTCCTCATACGAACCCCCTGCAGCCTCCTGCTGCTCCTTTTGTGGAGCACAGCCAGCCTCACCACCATCCATCCACCCAGCTGCCCAAGCGCCGTGGATATGATCAAGGACCCCAGTCTCTCCCTCACTCCTCTTCCAAAATCACACTCCCTTCTTCTTCAGCTGAAACTGTGTTCCTTCTCCACAGAAGTTCCTGATTTCTTTGTGCCATTTGTACACATCTCAAGTCCAGAAAACCTGTTTTTCTCACAGTCTACTCGCAGTCCTAAGGAAGAAGGACAGGAGTCAGAACTCTTCCCAGTTCCTTTAAGATTGCTTGCTCTTTGTCTCTGTCTGATTTCCCCTCTCCCCATATTCTCTCCCAAGTTGGTTTTTTGAGCCCCTTCCCACTTCCCTGCCCGGTTTCCTCCTCACTTAATTTTTCTAGGGAGTATATCGTGAGTGGGACCACCATCCCCAAAGCTCTTCTTTCCAATATCTCCCGATCTCTACCCTCAAATTTGGGATAAAGAGAAAGTGGGGGAAAGGGAGCCTGGGGGTGAAGGAGAGAAAAGAGACAGAAATCATGGGATAATGAAAAGTGACTAACAGGGGAGAAGGCCGAGGTTACGATGGAAGAAGGGGAAGAGACAGCGGGTAGTGAAAAGGGCAGGGGTGAGAAAAGGGAATGAGGAGAAGGCGTGAGGAAAAGGGGATGATGAGGTGAGGCGAAAGACACAGGGAGAAGGGGATGGGGAGAAAGGTGGGGAGAAGAGACGGGGAGAAAGGGATAGGAAGAAAAGGATAAAAGGAGAGGTGGGGAAGGAGAATCTGATGTAAAGAGGCTGGAGAGAGATCAAGCAGAAGGGGTAAGGAGAAGAGAAAGGGGAGAAGAGCTGGGGAGAAAATGATGGAGATGGGGCGAGAAGAAGAGGATGGGAGAAAGGCAGAGGGGAATGGAGATGACGGTTGGGAAAAAGAAGGGGCGAGAGGGAGACCAGGGCACTGAGGGAGAAGAGGGGAATAGGGGATGGAAAGAAGATGGAAGAGGAGGAGGTGAGCAGCAGGGAGCGGCGAGAAGGGGAAGAGACGAGAGGGCGTAGAGAACCGAATGGGAGGAGAGGACGGGAGAAGTGACGGGGAGAAGGGAAGGGAACCGGGACGGGGGCGCGGCGCGGCGCTGGGGCCGGATCCGGAGCCGGGGCCTGGGGCCGGGAAGTGGAGGGGCGGAGGGAGGCCGGGCGGGCGCCGGGGGGAAGGGGGGGCGGCGGCGCGGAGCGCGGGTGGGGGCGGGGGCGGGGGCTCCGCGGGCGGAGGGGCGGGGGCTCGGGTTACCGCGCGGAGGGCGGGGGGAGGGGAGGGGAGGGGGCGCGGGGCCGCGGCAGCGGAGCTCGCATCCTCGGCGGGGCGGCTGTGCAGGAGGCGGCGCCCGGGCGTCAGCGGACGGACCGATCGACGGCCAAGGGCGCGCGGACCGACGGCGGCTGCCCGGAGGGGATCGCGGGCCTCGGAGACAGCGACTGCGGACGATGCGCGGCCTCAGGCCCCGCGCGAGCGGGCGCTGCCCGGGGGGCTGACCGCGGCCGGACGGCGCCCCAGCACCGGGCGAGGGAGCCCGCGTCGCGCGGAGGTCAGTGCCCGCGCCCGCCCGGCCCGTCTGGCCGCGCCCGCCCTGCCCGCCGGCCTCCCCTGGGCTGCGGCAGCGGCGGCGGAGCCGGGGGCTTTGTTCTGAGCCGGAGACAATGGGGGAGGGGGGGCCTGGGCCTGCGGGACCCGGGCGGGCGTGAACGTGAGCGTGGGGGCAGGGCCTGGGGGTCTTTGTGTGCGTGTGTCATCGAGTCGGGGAGGGTGGCGGCGGGAGCGTGCGCCGGGGGTGTGGGGTGCGACAGCGTTGTGTTCCAGTGCATCGTCGGAGTGTGTCAGTGCGTGTCACTGGGAGGTTGTGTGTCCCTGGGCGTCTCTCTGGCTGTGTGTGCATGTGCGTGTCACTCTGAGGGTGTGAGGGTCAGAATGACCGTGTGTCATGGTGAGCGAGTCCCTGTGAGGGTGTGTTGCCCGCTCTGTGGGAGCCCATGTGTCAGAATGTGGAGGATGGGTGTGTGACAGAGACCAACTGAGACAGAGACAAAGAAACTGAGTGGGGAGAAGTACAGAGAAGCAGAGGAGAGGCAGGCACAGCCTGAAGTGGATGGAGGGGGGGGTCACCCAGACGTGTTCTGAGTGGGAGATTGGAGCAACTGGGAGTTTGTGTCTGGGATACCCAGCTCAGAATCCCGTGCAGGGGACAGAGCAAGGTCACCGCAGGCGTGGGTCCCACGTGGAGGGGGTGGGGAGAGGGAGGTCTAGAAGCACAATGAACTCAGTGTGGCGGGCTGGGCCCACAGCCACAAGGTCATAGGCCAGAAAAATATTGTCGCTTATGTCAACTTCTCAAATACCCATAGGGACACAGTCATAGCCCTACTCAACCCACAAGAGGACACAGTCCCAGGGAACACACATCCTCAAGAGATACCCTCACAGCCATCATACACTTCCAGGAAGCCCACCCCCAGGAAGCACCCCCAGTCAGAACCAACACACACCTACAGCAGACTCTATCAAGCCAACACACACCTACGGAAAATGCTCTCATGACAACACACACCCACAGGAGAAATGCTGCAACCAACATACTCCCACCGGTTCATTGTCAAGGCCAACACATACCATGGAAGACATTGTTACTGCTAACACTCTCCAGAAACACTGTCACCAGCAACAAACAAGTAGACCAGCACCTCTCAGGAGACATTGTCACTGCAATCCACATCCATCAGAAGCACTGTCACAACTGTCACAGCACATCTTATTAGGTTTACTTCCTTGGAGCTGCCCATACATAGTGGGTGTCCTAGAAGCCTGTCACTAACAGGAGGCTGTGCCACAGTTGCCCTTACCACACAGCCACTTGTACAACCCCCAGGAGACAGTCATGGATGGCATGCACACCACAGGAAGACCTGTCCCAACTTCTGAATAAACTCTGCTTAACTTATCAAGCTCACACCTTCACCCCTTCTCATACGTAGATCTCCCAGGTATACCCTCTTGTTCCCTGAAAACTTCGAGATCTGGATAGTGTATCCTGCCATGGTTTCTCAGTGTCCTTCAACACCACAGCTTCACAGATTCTTGACCTCCTTAGCTCCTGTTACCTTCCTCCCTCCCAGGACCACTCTGTAGAACTATTCCACCTTTAAAATTCTAAACTCTTGCATTCCTCTCTCTACCCACAACCTCCTATATCCTTCCAGCTTTCAGATGTTCTCGCTCCCATTACACTCTTTGACCTCATAATGACCTCTTGCCCTTGACCTCTTTGTTTTCTCCTACTCTGTTCCTTTCTGACTTTGTGCTTTCTTTCCAGCTCATATGCTAAGGATCATCCCTTCAACCACTCCTTGGCCACTGTGTTTCCTTGTCTTCTATACTCATCCCTCAAATTATTGCCCCTAACTAGAATGATTTCTCAACCACACCAGGGGACGCTTCTATAAATTCATACTTCTAAAAAATTCAAACCTCAACTGGGCCCTTCATAAATAAATAGATGATTTTTTTTCTATTTTCTTCACACTCATTACCCCACATCCCTCACACCATTGTTTTCAGTAGATTAATTAATCAAAACGCTAATTCATTCATTTAACAAACACATACTAGGCACCTACTCTGCTAGGCATTGTGATGAGAGTTGGCAGCACAAGTGTGAACAAAATGGACATGGTCCTTATCCTCATGGAGCTTACAGGCTGTGGAGTGAGTGTTGTAACACAGCAGCACACAGCAGAGTAACCTAGGCCAGTGTAGGGAGGTCAGAAGAGTCTTTCTGGAGGAAGTGGCATTTAAACTTAAACTTGATGGAGTGGGTGGAGAATATGCCAAGCCAAGGGAGCAGCATGTAAAAGCCCACATGAAGGAAAATAGTGTGTGTGTGAGGGATAAAGCAGTTCAGTGAGCCTGACACTTACAGCATGAGGTGACGAGAGAGGGAGAGTCTGTGGGAGAGGTAAATGGAGGCTTAGACCATGCAGGGTCTAGGAGGCCACAGAAAGAAATTCATTTAACCCAAGAATAATGGAGAGTCACCAAATCATTGGAAGCTTGGAGCGATATGATCAGATTCATTTTAGAAATACCACTCTGACAGCCATGTGGAGACTGGAGAAAGAGCCTGAGAAGAAGGACAGTTGGCTGTTGCAGAAACTCTGGAGGGTATAACACTGGCCTGAACTGGAGTAGTGGCCGGAGAGAAGGAGAAAGTGGATGGTTTCAAGAGCTCTTTAGGCAGTGGGATCAGCAGGGCTCAGTGACAAAGCAGACATGGTGGGGTGAAGGAAAGGAAGGAATTAAGAGTGGACAACCTGGTCTTCTGGCTCACTGAGGAAATTGAGGCCATCTGTTTTGAATTCCCTCAGATTTCTGCCTCCTCCCTCAAATTTTATCTGCATCCTCTTCAATCTTTTCTCCTTCCTTCCTATAAGAACGAAGTGCTGTCTCTTCTACTTAAGGCCAATCCTCTACCTGTGTTACGGATCCCATCCCCTTCCTCTTCCACAGGGACCTCACTCAACTGATTATTCCATGTGTTTCCCACGTCTCCAGTTCCTTCCTTTCTCCCATTCCTCCTGGGAGGACATAAAGATCCTCCAGCCTCTCCTATCTTTCTTTAACCCTGTAATACCCCGTTAACTAAGAGGCTTCCTCACTTTTCTTCACTGTCACATTTTGTGAAAGAGTCTTCTGCATATAGCTGTTCCTACTTCCTCACTTCCCATTTGTGCCTGCCCCTCAAATGTAACTGCTTTCCCTAGGAGAAAGTAACATCTCTTCTGCTCAATCTGGAGGATCTTTTCAAAAGTCCTTAACTGCCTGACCTCTCGGGAGGAGCTGACATTATTGACCATTCTTTTCTCCTTGAGTTGTTTTTGTTGTTTGGCTTCTGAGCCATGATTTTATTCTATCAACATTTAACAGGCAAATAAGTGGAAAGTTACATTATGGTATGTATCTCTTCTGGAGCTCCTCCTAGCTGTTCTCTCAGTCTGCTTTGAGGGATCCTTTGTATGCCCCCTGAATGTCACTGTTCCTTAAAGTTCTGGCTTGGACCTTCTTATTGTCTCACTGTATACACACCTCTAGGTAATCAATTTCATTCATTTTTCAAGGCTTTTATTAACATCTATAGGCTGATGACTCACAGACATCTCTCTTCTAGGCCACATTTCTGCATACCTGCTGCATGCCTGCTCTTTACTGTATAGCTCACCGACCCCTTATCATGTGCAAACCTGATCTCATCATTCCTTCCTTCCCCAAATGACCATCCCCACTCAGGTTGCAAGCTGGAATCCCAGAAATTAACTGTCACCATTCCCTTCTCCACGTATCCCATAATCCAGAAATCCCTTGGAACGTGTTGGTTCTATCTTCTCTCCAGCAATCTCTGATATCCCATCCCCTTTTCTCCATCACCTCTGCTGTTGCCCTCATCTACCATCTTTTCACATGAATTTTTGCAAGAGCCTCCTAACTTTTCTTTCTACACTTCTCTTCCTTCTTTCAATCCATTCTTTTCATTGGAGTAACAGACACCTTCCTAAAGTACAAATCCAACTATGTCACTCCCTGCTCAGCATTATTCAAATGCCTTCCATTTTCCTTGAACAAAATCTTTTCTTTTTAACAAAGGTTATGAGATCATAGTCTGACCTCCCCAAGCCTCCCAGTCTCATCACCTGCCCCATTTCCCCAGCCCCCTCACGTTTTGAGTTTCAGCCATACTGAATTTCCTGTAGTTCACCAAAGACACTACCTTTTTCCATGCTTCTGACCCTTTGCACATACTGCTCTGCCTGCCTGAAAGGCCCTTCACTCCCTTCCCTCCTGGCTTATCCCTTCCCTTCCTCATATCTGGTCTCAAACCCTGCCTTTAATGACTCCACCGGGCAGGCTTGAACTCTGTGTTTCGTTGTTGTCATTGCCTCTTCCCTGTCTTATCTCCCCAAACCGCGCTGGGACCTCCTTGATGGCAAGAGTGCGTATTACTCATCTTTGTGACTCAGGGTCCCACACAGGTGCTTGGCTGTGAACAAAATGAATGAATACATGGGTACCTCACAGCACATCCCTCACCCTCGTTCACTCTTCAGAAGACTGACACCTAGTCTCAGCTGCCCACATAATTAAGAAATTTTCACACTACTCACTTACTCTGCTGGAGACACTTCCACTCCCCTCACCTACAATTTATTCTTCCTTCGTCTCCCTCGATCCTCTTCCTCTCCCTTATCTGTACTTTATCTTTCATTCAGTTAGCAAATATTTAAGAAGTACCAGAAGTTTGCAGACCCAAATCCATTGAGCCAGGTGTCTACTGGGGCTCTGGGAAGGGATGGAAGAAGCAGAAGCTGTGCCAGACTACAAGGCATTACAGTGCCTCACCAGATTCTTTCCCCAGAGGTGTCCTAGGCTGCTCCTTCCTTTAATGCCCTCTTAGCCCACGGACTCACCCACCCTGAGCCCTCCAACTCCTGGCATCCTGGCCTCAGTCCTCCCCATATTAGGTTCCTTGATTCTTGTACTCTTTTCTTCTTCCCTCTCCTGCCTGTCAGTGGTAACAGAGGCAAGACTGGACTCTCTCTTCTCTGATGCCCTGGTATCTGCTAGGAAAAGCCCCTCCCAGGGGTTCATGCTATTGTCTCCTAGCTTCTTCCCAGCTTCCTGCTGACCCCCCTTCCTTCAGCTCCTGTATCCATCTTCCCTAGGTAACCTTCTGACACCAGGCCACTTTCAACCACTGCCACTTGGGAGGGGCTTCCATTTCCCTGTGTCTCCTGGTGAAAGGGCACCTCCTCCAGGAGGTCCACCTGGAACTTCCAAGCCCTTCTCTGCTCACTTAGTATGCTGCAGTGTCCTTGTTATTTTTTTCTCTTTCTAAGCTACTGGATAGAAGAAGCTTGTTATCTCTCAGAGCCTAGAACACACCTCTTATATGGATGGTGAGAGAGAAAGAAGGAAAGGAAGAAAGAGAAGAAAGAGGGGAGAGGGAGCCACACTTTAGACTTTCCAGACACACTATTTATGGCCTGGATGACTTAGCTTCTTTGAGCTCCCCTTTCATCAGGTGAAAATGGAGGTAGCAGTATCTCCTTAAGAGAGTTGTTTTGGGGATTCAGAAGGAAAATTATTAAGTGTTCAGCTATTAACTTAGTTAATTTTACTTCTACCATCTCAGCCCCTCTACTATGCTGTCCTACCCTCAGCTTCCCACTTTTCCAAATTTGTTCTTCTCCTTCAACATTCTGGTTGCTACATCTCCAACTTTTCTGCTAGCTCTGGCCTTGCTGGCCTCTTCTACAGCCTAGACCCTGATTGTCAGGGTCAGAATTTAGGGCAACCCTTGCTGCATGTCACTACCCCGTGCCCCAGCTCCCTCACCCTGCCCTGCCCGTCCCTGCCGAGTCTCCCTACCTGTGAACATCATGAAGGAAAGGACTTGATCTGTCCACGTCACCTCTATCTCTAGGGCTTAGTATGGCATTTGGCACATGGTAAGTCTTCAACAAGTATTTGTTGAATAACAGATTTATCAATGAATCACTTCACATGTGTACCCTACGACCTCCTCTCCCCTCTCCATTTTTTCTTTGTCTCCTGGAGGCCTCCAGTCATCCTCCATGTTCCTTCCCCTCTCTTACCACCTGCCCCCATGCTCACCTGGACTGACAATTGTCTCAACATTGAGCTCCTCCTCCTCTCACCCACCCTGCACACACTGCCAGATGTATTCTCCTAAAACAGAACTTTGATCATTCTCCTTCCCTGCTTTGCTGCCTGACCAGTTATATGAGCTTTTATCAGAGCATCCCGAGCCCTCCAGCAGGCAAGCAGTGTGGTCTAACAGAAAGCACTAGCTTTGGAGTCTGTCAGGACTGCATTCTAGATCATTCTAAATGTCTCTCTGCTACCTTCTTTGAGCCCTCAGTTTCCTCATCTGTGAAATAACACTTACTGCAGAGTTACTGTGTGTGTGTGGCACACAACAGCAGCAGCTAACATTTAGTGAGCGTTCACTGTGTGCTGGACATTGTGCTATGTTTATTGTTAGCATTATTTCATTAACTCTCATATCAACCATTTAAGGTAAGCACTTTAAACCCCAGAGGTTTAAGAGGAAACTAACACTTAGAATGTTTAGTAACTTGCCTAGACTCATGCTTAAGTGGCCGAGTCAGGATTTGAACTCCAGCCTGACAGTCGAGCCTGCCTTCTTAACCACTATAATAATATCTCATGCTCACATACTTATAAAGCTTACTATGTGCCAGACACTACTCTAACAGCCAAATACAATGTAGTAGGTATTATTATTGTCCTTATTTATAAATGAGGAAATGGAAGCACTGAGAAACTAAGTGGCTTGCCCAAGGTCACACAGCCAGTAAGTGAAACTGGGAACCAAATCCAGCTGGCTTGGCCCTGGAGTCTGCATCTTAACCACTATCCTGTCCTGCCTTGCTATGATATATTGTCTCCCTATTCTAGGGGTGTAGTAAGCATGTATTGGTGAATGAATCCATGCTGATGTCTGCTCTATGGCTAGCTATTGGTTGATCCATTCTTTCTCATTTCCCACTGCAAGAGGCTTGCACCCTTAGTACTCTTCTGGCACAATTTTCTCCACGATCACTAGAGACCTCCTCACTGCTAAATTTAGTGTCCACTTCTCAGCCCTTATCTTACTTGAATTCTCAGCAGCATTGGACATTATCGATCCCTTTCTTTTTTGAAATGTTTTCTCCCTTAACTTCTGTGATACTGCCCCCAGGAAGAATAAAGGTCTCTTCAACCTACTGCTTAATGTAACTAGTTCTCAGGGTTCTGTCCAAGACTCTCTGCTCACTCTACACATTCTATCTGATGGAGTCTCTAAGGCCACAGCTTTCAGTTACCCCATGATTTGTCCAAATCCACATCTCCAACCCTGGTCTCTATGCTAAGCTGCAGGCTTGCAAACCCAGCTGTGCTTGAATATCTTCACATGGGGATCCCAACAGTCACCCCCCAAAATGGCTTTTCCTCTGCAGTGTCCAAATGGAACCACTTTAGTAACCTGGCCAGAACCCTGGTAGGCAGGCCGAAGTCTAGAGTCCTTCCACTCCCTCATCTTCCTGGAGAGTCAGTGACCAAGTCTTCTTACCTTCACCTCCTCACATCTTTCATGTCTGTATCCTCAGCCTCACCGCTGCTAACCTGGACTCTCCCAGAGGCCTCATTCTTCACCTCTCTCCTCCAGATTCTCTTCCTTTTTCAGGCCTCCCTTGCCCTGTGAGGACTCTGTCCCCTCAACTTCCCTGTAATTTCTTATTCTCTCCATCTTTCTCTCCTCCCTGAATCTCAGGCAACATAGACTACATAGTCCTGCGACCAAATTAAGGCTGTGTTAACTCAGGAAAATTGTTTCACTCTGAGTCTCAATTTCCTTGTTTGAAAATGGAAGCCGGGATTCCTTCCTCACAGGGTTGTTATGGTGATTAAATGAGATACTGTCTGTGAGCTGCTTGGCACAGGGCCCAGCGCACCATAAAAGCTCAGAAAATAGACTTTTCCTCTGCCTCTTTTGCTCACATCTGTCCTCAGCTTCTCCCTGGAGTGCTTCCTGGGAACCAGTCCTCAGGAGGGACAGAGCCAGGCCCGGGCACTGCTCTGGCCACTGTCCTATGGGGCTGTCCCAGGGATATCCAGGGAAGCTAGTTTGTTAGCTGTCTCCTCCTCCCTCCTGAGCCCCCTCCTCCTTCTTCCAGCTCTGGCCCAGCACGCACCGGTGGGGCTGTGGCTGTTCCTGCCTCAACTCACCTCCCCTTTCTGAATTAGCTCTGCTCCCTCTTTCCTCTGCCATACACAGTCACTCTCCCTCAGTCTTGTTCCCTGTCATCCCCCTACCAGAACCTCTTCTCACTTCCTCTTTCTTTTATGCCTGGCCCTGTATCCTCACCCCTTTGCTCACTGAGGCTACCCTCTTCTTCCTCCACTTCTAGCCCATCTACCTTTTGTGGCGCCCCTCCTCACCCCTGTTGTCTTTCTGCCCCTCGCTGGCCCTGGGACAGGAAGTTGAGGGAGGAGGCCTGGGTGGTGCCAGCTCCCCCAGCCTGTTTCCCCTTCAGCGCCTCGGGCCACTCCTCTACTTCCTCCTGGAGCACCCCCTTCCCTTGTAGTCCCCCTGCTCCTCCCCCCCAGCCCACCTCTCTTTCCTCTCCCATGTTCCCCCTGCTTCCAGGTCCTGTAGACACACAGGCTGGGGGTGTGAGGGAAGCTCTGTTGGTGAGGGAGGGGGAATTGACATCACGTTTCAGGCCCCAATGAACAGTCTTGCCCCTCCCCCTCCTAATGAGAACCAGCTGTGGTTCCAGAGGCCCAGATGTGGGGATGGAGGAGGAGAGCAGGATGGAGTCAGAGGACCAAGTAGCAGGACCGGGGACAGAGTGAGGGCACGTAGCAAGGCAGAATCAGGTGGGAGAAGAGCCATGACAGATTTGGAAGAAGGAAGAAGACAGATCTAGGCAGGAGGCAGCATATGCTGGGGAAAGAGACAAGATGGAGGGGCAGGCCAGATCTGGGGAAGGGATGGGACAGACCTGGATGGGGAAAGATACAAGAGCAGGGAGGAGGAGCCAATCTCAGGGAAGAGGAGTGAGAAACACTGGACGGACTTGGGGAGATGGTGCAGGGGAGAGCTGGAGCGAGCATGAGACGGTCTCGGGAGAGAGTCTGGAGTTCGAGTTTGGAACTGGAAGGCTTGCAGCAGGAAGTGATGAGGCACAGTCCAGACAGAGGCCCCAGGGACCTGGAGGTCACAGCTGCAGCCGCAGAGCTGACCACGAGTGCCCCGGCAGCATGTGCGAGAGCATGCCTGCGTGTGGGTGGGTCTTCAAGTGTGAGTGCATGCTCGCCTTGTCAGTCTGTGCATACGTGACACTGGGCCTGTGTGTGTGGAGGGTGGGTGTGTGTGGAGGGTGGGTGTGTGTGTGTATGTGGGGGCATATCAGAGGGTGTGAACATGCCTCTTGGTGTGAGGGCCATGAGAAAGTGTCTTTCTGTGTGTGTGTATGTATGCCTGCATACGTGTGGGGGTGGGTTCCATGTGAAGGAATAGGCTCATCTGTGTGGAAAATGTGCTTCTGTGTATATATGTGAAAGGGTCTCTGTGTGTGTGCACTGGCTGTGTATGTTAAAGCAAGCCTCTGCGCACGTGTGTATGAGCATGTGTTGAATGTACCTGTGTGCATGTGCATCTGCCTGCATGGGAATGCATCTTCGTAAGCCTGACAGCATGAGAGAGAGTGCCAGGCAGTGCATGGGGCTGTGACTTTGTGAGTGTGCACCTTTGCGTGTCCACCGTGAAAGTGTTCTGCAAGAGTTTGCAGTGGTAGGAGCACAGGTTGAGAGAAGGAGTTGTTTTCACACAGGGCATCTGCCTGGACATGAGTCTCTCCTCTTGAAGTCTGATCATTCACCTGAGATTTATCTCAAACCATTCATAGATTGCTTCATTCAGAAAACGTGTTTATCATGTACTATATGCTGTGCTCCATGCTACATACAAAGATGAAGAAAATACAGTCTGGGCTCACAAACAGCTACTTGTCTGGGTAGGAAGACAGGTAACTATAATACAGAGTATGATAAGCACATTGGCCTCACTATTATCTTCCCTCCCTCCAAACCATGACTGCTTTCTCTCCACTAACTGATTAAATCAATAGAGCCATTCTTACCCCTTGACCCCTAGCCCAGCCTTTGGGCTTAGATCCCTGATCTGGGCCCTGGAACCATCCTTGTACTCTCATCCTCTCCCTTCTTCAGATCAGGCCTGGGTTCACCCTGACCTCCTTGTTCTGAATCCCTCTGACCTGTTATTCCATGTGGCACACATACAACCCCAGCATTCTGAAGCTGGGATGAAGGCAGAGAGGGGGCCTATCAGGGGATGGTGCTGGGAATTAATGAAAGAGAGTCTAGCAAATACCCAGCTCTGTGTTCCTTTCTTACATTGTTTCTAATTTTCACAAAACCCCACAGGATAGGTGTCAGCATAGCCATTTTACAGATTACGGACATAATGCGCAGCCTGGGGCTCAAACCCAGTCCAAGCTCCAAAGCCCCTGCTCTTTTTGTTGCTTCACACAGATGGGAGAGAGGAGGTGGGTCAGAAGTGTAAGTAGGGGAGTCAGAAACCCACCTCTCTCTGTGGAAAGGAAGTCCTACAGCACAGCAAATCTGTAAAGACCTGAGAACAGGTTTGTGTAGTCACAGGACTGACCGAGGGGCCTCAGGGTCCTGGGCTCACATGTGTTTGTGTGTGTTGTCTCAGTTGGCATGACCATGGATGTGTCTCTCTGAGTGTGTTACGTGAGTATGGTGGTGTGGAAGCATGAGGCTCTGACCATTCATTTAGCACGGGCTGCCTGCTCTTGCTATAACTCTACTAAATGCTGGAGAATCAAGAGGCTAACCAAGACCTGTCACTGCCCTCAAGGAGTCTCCAATCCAGTGCAGAGGGCAGACACATGAACAAATCGAGGCTGCTGTGCAATTTATTGTCAGTGTTTACCAAAAGTAATGAGAGCCCAGTAGTGTGTATAATAGGCTCTGCACAGGCAGGAGGGAGTGATTTTGTGGAGAGGATTTTTAGAGGTTATCTCATGACAAAACAGTAGCAAATACAAGGTGAGGAGTTAGGAAGGAGCATGGTAATAGATTTCATGTTGGAGTGCAAGGTATGGTGGGGGAAGTAAAGGTGAGGGACCATGGAGAAGTTGGCAGGGCTCAGATCATGAAGACATGTTAAGGACTTTATCTTGTAGATCAGAAGTTCTATACCTAGTTAGTGTCCATGAACCTCTTGATGCTATAGACATAAGTTTGTGTGGTTGCCTTTCTTTCCGTAGAGGGGCATTTGTTTTCTGCTGTCAGTTATGGGAACCAGTGGAAACCTTTCATCAGGAGTGGTTTGGTGAGAGTTGTGTAGGTATCTCCAGTCAGGTGGAGATGGATCAGAAGGTCCAAGCCAGTAAGTGGAAGACCAGTGAGGAGCTGTTGCAGGAATCACAAGGAGAGATGTTCGGACTGGGATGTGGCAATTTGGAGAAACAAGAAAGACCTGAGACATGTCTAGTTGAAGTGGTGGGGTTTACATGACTAATTGGAAATCAGGACTGAGGATAAGCAAGGACACAAGGAGAGCTTCTGGATTGCTAGTTGGACACCTGGATGGATGGTGGCCCTATTCACAGGAAAAGGAATGGAGGGGAAGCAGTTTGAGGTGATGACTGGGGATACTGAAGCCCAGTATATGGCTGGACATGTGTCTCCAGAGGTCTTCAGAGCTGGAGCTGGAGATTGGAAAGTCATTAGCAAATAGATGGCACATAAAAAATGATTGATACCTTTGAACTGAAGGCATGGGAGTGGATAAGATCACGCAGGCAGAGTATGGAGAGTGGGAAAAGACACTGCCCAGGACTGAACCCCGAAAAGCACCAATTGTGAAGGAGTGGGCAGAGGAAAAAGAACTTGCAAAGGAGACAGAGGAGTGGGCAGGGAAGCATGATGGAAATAAGAGGTGGGGGTCACAGTGTGAAACCGAGGAGAAGAGATTTCAAGGAGCCAGTGATCAGTGTTTCAGAGTTCCAGAATAACCCGATAAAAGGAAGATAAACAGGTGGCCGCCAACATAGAACATGGAGATGTTTGGAAGCTTAGTGAAAGCAATGTCACAAGAAAGGAAGCCTCACTGCGTAGAGGGAGGAGAGTGTGAGAAGTGAGAAAATGGGGGAAATGAAAAAATCTTTCAGAAAGGGCGATAGCTTCTGAATGTCCCTCTTTCCTCTGGTGACTACATCCCATCTTCAGTCTGTGCTCTCACTTATCCACAGATTCTTCTTAGTCACTAGAGTAAGGGGCTCCGGGGCATTTCCTTCCTGATCTTAAGCATCATTTGAAACCTCCCTTAGACTCAGAGGCACCACCCCTCTCTGGTTCCTTGCCCCGCCTCTTTTTCTTTCTGAGCGGTTAAGGACACCTTTATCCAGCTGGTAGTTCAGGTCAGAAATGTGCGCATCATCCTTGACTTCTCCCAATCCTTCTTCCCCTCACTTCAAACAGTCAGCAAGCCCGGCCTCTCTACTTCCTGAACCCCACCAGAGACCTATCCACTTCTCGCCATGTTCATTGCTTACACTCACCCAAGTTACCATCAAAGCAGTGTCATCTCCTGGATGCCCATAAGTGCCTCCTCACTGTCCAATCTGCGTGATCTTTGCTTTCCAAAGGACTGCAATAGCCATCTTCACAAAATATAGGTCATATTCTGGCACTCCTCCTTGAAGTGCTTTAGTGGCTTCCATTTGCCTTTAGGATAATGTCAAAATCTTCAATACAGCTTACAAGTCCCTGTCTCATTTCATACCCTCTGCCCCTAGCACTATGCTTCACACACATGCCCCCCCCACCCCACCCCACCCTCAGACACTCTGAGCCCCACCTTGACTGTAGGCTCTAAGCCTTTCCACATACTGTTCACTCTTCTAGAATGTCCTTTTCTCCTTTCTGTATCCCCCTTCTCTGGCCACCATTGCCTAGCTAGCACCTAGTTATTTAGATGTCAACTTTAATGTCACTTCCTAGGCAAAACACGGACTCCCTGACTCCCTGCCTGTGTTGCTTCTCTTATATTCCTCCTTGCTCTTTGTACGCCTTCTTCACAACTCTTACCATACTTGTAATTACTTGTTCAACTCCTGGACTATAAGCTCTATGAAGCCAGAGACCATTTCCTTTATTCGCTGTGGTATCCTCAGTGCCTCTATATTGTAGGTGCTCAATCTCTTGTTGAATGGAGAGAGGAGTAGGGAAGTAGAGCTAAGGAAACAACATCATTCCCTTCCAGCAGGGTGGTGGGTGGGGAGAGAGAGAGAGACTTGAGCATATGTAGTATTGATGGAAAGCTCCAGGAGAGAGGAAAAGGTTGACGGTTCAGGAAAAGTTACCAAATACATGGTTATAGAGGCTGGAAGAAGCGAGTATTAGTTCTGGATGAGAAGAAAATGAGAAAAGAATGTCCATATTTTTAAGCCTAGAAATAGGAAGAAGGGAGTTTGTGGGCATTCAGACCCGAAAAAATAGGATGCATAAAAATCTGCTGAGGGTAGGAAAGGATGAGATCTGCCAAGGGGAAGGCTGGAGTGGCCTCGAAGAGTCCTGAGGCAGAGATCCGTGTGGCCCAAGATGAGTGTGAGGCAGCACAAGGGCCTGCTGGGGGCTGAGCATATCTGAATGTTGATGTGGCCTCGTCCAGGTTATCTGGACTGCTGATCCCTCCTCTGTCATGACCCGTTTCCTTCTGTTTTCTCCCAGGTCAGGGAGCCTGAGCTGGAGCCAGGGCCCCAGTGGGACCTGACCCAAAGTCTGAGGTCAAGCTGGGCCCAGAGCCTGGCCTGGAGCTGGAGCCCAAGGCACAGCTGGACTACCCTTGTCATGCAGAAGGAGCTGGGCATTGTGCCTTCCTGCCCTGGCATGAAGAGCCCCAGGCCCCACCTCCTGCTACCATTGCTGCTGCTGCTGCTGCTGCTGCTGGGGGCTGGGGTGCCAGGTGCCTGGGGTCAGGCTGGGAGCCTGGACTTGCAGATTGATGAGGAGCAGCCAGCGGGTACACTGATTGGCGACATCAGTGCGGGGCTTCCGGCAGGCACGGCAGCTCCTCTCATGTACTTCATCTCTGCCCAAGAGGGCAGCGGCGTGGGCACAGACCTGGCCATTGACGAACACAGTGGGGTCGTCCGTACAGCCCGTGTCTTGGACCGTGAGCAGCGGGACCGCTACCGCTTCACTGCAGTCACTCCTGATGGTGCCACCGTAGAAGTTACAGTGCGAGTGGCTGACATCAACGACCATGCTCCAGCCTTCCCACAGGCTCGGGCTGCCCTGCAGGTACCTGAGCATACAGCTTTTGGCACCCGCTACCCACTGGAGCCTGCTCGTGATGCAGATGCTGGGCGTCTGGGAACCCAGGGCTATGCGCTATCTGGTGATGGGGCTGGAGAGACCTTCCGGCTGGAGACACGCCCCGGTCCAGATGGGACTCCAGTACCTGAGCTGGTAGTTACTGGGGAACTGGACCGAGAGAACCGCTCACACTATATGCTACAGCTGGAGGCCTATGATGGTGGTTCACCCCCCCGGAGGGCCCAGGCCCTGCTGGACGTGACACTGCTGGACATCAATGACCATGCCCCGGCTTTCAATCAGAGCCGCTACCATGCTGTGGTGTCTGAGAGCCTGGCCCCTGGCAGTCCTGTCTTGCAGGTGTTCGCATCTGATGCCGATGCTGGTGTCAATGGGGCTGTGACTTACGAGATCAACCGGAGGCAGAGCGAGGGTGATGGACCCTTCTCCATCGACGCACACACGGGGCTGCTGCAGTTAGAGCGGCCACTGGACTTTGAGCAGCGGCGGGTCCATGAACTGGTGGTGCAAGCACGAGATGGTGGGGCTCACCCTGAGCTGGGCTCGGCCTTTGTGACTGTGCATGTGCGAGATGCCAATGACAATCAGCCCTCCATGACTGTCATCTTTCTCAGTGCAGATGGCTCCCCCCAAGTGTCTGAGGCCGCCCCACCTGGACAGCTCGTTGCTCGCATCTCTGTGTCAGACCCAGATGATGGTGACTTTGCCCATGTCAATGTGTCCCTGGAAGGTGGAGAGGGCCACTTTGCCCTAAGCACCCAAGACAGCGTCATCTATCTGGTGTGTGTGGCTCGGCGGCTGGATCGAGAGGAGAGGGATGCCTATAACTTGAGGGTTACAGCCACAGACTCAGGCTCACCTCCACTGCGGGCTGAGGCTGCCTTTGTGCTGCACGTCACTGATGTCAACGACAATGCACCTGCCTTTGACCGCCAGCTCTACCGACCTGAGCCCCTGCCTGAGGTTGCGCTGCCTGGCAGCTTTGTAGTGCGGGTGACTGCTCGGGATCCTGACCAAGGCACCAATGGTCAGGTCACTTATAGCCTAGCCCCTGGCGCCCACACCCACTGGTTCTCCATTGACCCCACCTCAGGCATTATCACTACGGCTGCCTCACTGGACTATGAGTTGGAACCTCAGCCACAGCTGATTGTGGTGGCCACAGATGGTGGCCTGCCCCCTCTAGCCTCCTCTGCCACAGTTAGCGTGGCCCTGCAAGATGTGAATGATAATGAGCCCCAATTCCAGAGGACTTTCTACAATGCCTCACTGCCTGAGGGCACCCAGCCTGGAACTTGCTTCCTGCAGGTGGGTAGGCCTGGCACATAGCAAGATAGTGTTGGGGGAATCTGAGAGCCACAGGGGACCTCAGAGCAGGAACCAAGCCTTACAAGGTCATCTGTTGATGGTGACTTATGCTAGAGGGTTCTGCCCTATGTTGTAAGCTCCAAAATCTGTGCAGAGGATGAGGGTTAATGAGAAGATGAGAAAGCAGGGTGCAAGAGCTGAGGCAGATGGTCTTGGCAGGTGAGGAAATTAAGATTGGATCTAGTGGAGAAATGATTTGTGGTGTCAGGAAATGAAAGCCTCAAAGCTGTTCTGCAGGGCAGAGATGGAGATTCTACATACGTATGTGGCTTCTGTTCCCCAAAGAAGACACCAGAATTTATGGGGCCCTCCATTGCTTGTCAAGTGCTGGGTTGTGCTGGAAGAAATCCTCATCCCTGCCCTCAGAGCTGAGCCTTAATAGGCCATTTGGTCTCAGACATGAGAATGAGAGATAGCAAGAATTATCTCAATATCCAGAGCAGGAAGGCCTCTCAGGGGAAGAGGCAGGAACCCTGGACAGGCTGAGAAAGACACATACTGGCTGCAAGTCAGTCCTGGAGAAATGGAGGGAACATGAAACTGGAAAGGCACTCTGAGGCCAGGTTGCAGAAGTCCTTGAACACAAAGCAGTAGTTAGGACTACTTGGGAAGCAAAGGAGCTCACTGAACTTCTTTTTTTTTTTTTTGAGGCGGAGTCTCGCTCTGTTGCCCAGGCTGGAGTGCGGTGGCATGATCTGGGCTCACTGCAAGTCTGCCTCCTGGGTTCACGCCATTCTCCTGCCTCAGCCTCCCAAGTAGCTGGGACTACAGGCACCTCCACCACACCCAGCTAATTTTTTGTATTTTTAATAGAGACGGGGTTTCACTGTGTTAGCCAGGATGGTCTTGATCTGCCCTCGAGGAGATCACTGAATTTCTTTGAGCTGGGAAGTGAATGATCAGGTTGGGTTTTATTAAGTTAGCTATCTGGCTTTAAGGGTGATTGGATCAGCAGGTGTGTGACAGATCGTTCCTTGATTCATATGTTCAAGATTTTATTTAACTACTGTAAGCCTAGCACTGTGCTAGGCCCAGAGAACAAAGAAAAGAGACAATCCTGTTCCCAGGGTGGTCACAGTCTAGATAGGGAGACACATCAGCAACTAGTGCTGCAGCAGGTGGCGTATGAGTGCTGTGGAAGCCCAGAGGAGGGGCCTTGAAGAACTAATGAAACTTTGCCAAATGGATAATATGAGGTGTGCAGATGGAGACTCCAGGCCTAAGGAAAGAGCTGCTGAACAAATACCAGGACGTGTTCAGGAGACTGTATTGTTCAGGCTGGCATCAGCTGTACTAATGAGAAAGAGTCGGGGGAGATGAGAAAAGACAGTAGACAGGAGCCAGGTCACAAATTCAACTTTATCTTGAAAATCATAGGGAGCAAGTGAAGGACTCTAAGCAAATCTGATATGTCTTTAAGAAAGATTGCTTTGGCTGCACTGTGGAGAATGGCAGCAGGAGAGAGGACAGTGGGCAGGGAGTCCTCTTAGGAGGCTGGTGCTTAGTGTCCTTATGTCTCCAAACTCCACCAGACTCTTGAACATCTCCTCAGGGCATAGACTTCCAGGCTAGCTCTGGGCCTGGCTGACCTCTTGTCCTCTGGCCAGACTCTGCATATTTGCTCGCCTGCTGCTGTGCAGCTCCACCACCCACTCTTCCACGTGTTTACTCTCCTTCTTGTCCAGGACCAATGGGCTATGGCTTCCAGACTTCTCTCCTCACTAGTGCCTGAAGCAAGAGGGCAACTCTCCAGGTGGTTTCCTGGAGTTTTTACTATTAGTAACCATAGAGAATCGGGGTAAAAATGACCATTTGGGGTTTACAACTGTCACAAGAAGTCTTAATGTTTGATTTATTCAATATACATGTATTGAATGTCTACCATGTGCTAGTCACTGTATTAGAGACACGGAATACAGTCATGAATGCGTCACTCCCCTCATCTTAAGGAGTTTATAGAGGGGAGATTCATGTGCAAAGAAATAGTTTCATTCCAATAAGAACATTTCCATTTGGGGATATATATGAGGTACAGATAGGCAGTATGAGTGCTTTCCTGAAGGAAGGGATCCCTGAGTTGAGACTTAAAGAATGAGCAATTTATGAGAGTATCAGATGGGGGAAGGCTTCCAAGCAGAGGTGAGGTGCACAGAGGTGTGGGAGGGCCCAGTTTGTTCAAGGGCCTACTAGGGGCTCAGGATCTCTGGAGTTAAGACTGGAGATGGGAAGGTGGGAGATGAGACTGCAGGGAGGCTCAGCCAAGTCAGAGGGTTTGAGCTTTTTTCTATAGCAATATTATCAGATTTGTTTATGCAAATGGTAGTCAATGTAGAGCAGTGGTTCATAACCAGGGGTGACTTTGCCCCCCAGAAGGGATATTAGCAATATCTAGAGAAATTTCTGATTGTCACAATGGGTGGGAGACTATTGGCATCTAGTGGGTAGAGGCTGAGAATGCTGCTAACCATCCTGCAAGGCACTTAGCAGCTCCCATAATAAAGCATTATCTGGTCCAAAATGTCAGTAGTGCCAATTTGAGAAACCCTGGTGGAGAGTACAGATCAGAGGGTCAGACCTCTATGAGAAGGTAATCAAAATAATGCAGGGGAGCAATAACTCAGGACAGCTCAGGCCTAAGTCAGAATGGTGATAATGGTGATGGAAAGGAACAGACAAATAGAGTTAATGAGGACTTACTTAATCCCTGGTTGATTGATATACCAGGTGAGAAAAGGGAAGAACTGATTTCTGGCTTTAGCAACTGTGTGGATGGAAGAGTCATTAGAGCAGGTTTGGAATGATCATGAGTTTAGTTTTGGGCTGGTCGGATTTAGGGTGCCTGTGGGACATCCAGGTGGAGGTGCTGAGCAGCCATCTGGATGTAAAAGTTGGGAAATCTCAGAGGAGTGGTCTAGAGTGAAAGTATAGACGATGGCTGAAGTAAAAGGCAAGGCCCTGAGAGAATGTGTGGAGTGAGAAGAGGCCAAGGAGAGATTCCAGGGAACAGTGTGTAAGAACAGGCAGATAAGGGGAGATGGAGGAAGACTGGCAGTGGGTGGTGGGGGAAGCAGTGGGTGGAGAAGCAGGAAAAGTAGCATCAAGAAGTCATAGCAGGAGAGATGGGCATGGTGATGCATCCCTGTAATCCAAGCTACTCGGGAGGCTGAGGCAGGAGGATTACTTGAGCCCAAGAGTTCCAAACCAGCCTGGACAACATAGTGAGAGCCTGTCTTAAAAAATAAATAAAGGCCAGGCACAGTGGTTCACGCCTGTAATCTCGGCACTTTGGGAGGCCAAGGTGGAAGGACTGGTTGAGGCCAGGAGTTTGAGACCAGCCTGGGCAACATAGTGAAACACTGTCTATGCAAAAAATAAAAAAACTAGCCAGGCATGGTGGTGCACGCCTGTAGTCCTAGTTGTTCCGGAGGCTAAGGCAGGAGGATTGCTTGAGCCCAGGAGTTCGAAGTTGCAGTGAGCTAGGATCACACCACTGCACCCCAGACTGGGCAACAGAGAGCCTGTCTCAAAAATAAATTAAATAAATAAATAATTTATGTTTTGAAAAGTCAAAGCAGGAGGTACACCTGGAAAAGAGGTTGGGATAGGCATATGGAGTAAGTTTCGAGGCTAGTAAGAAGTTTAGAGAGTTCACAGATAAGTGTCTTTCTTTTCTCCTTGAAATAGTGCATCTGATGAGAGCAAGGGATGGGATGGGGGCAAGAGAAGAGGGATGAAGTTTATTATGGCTTTGGGGCAGAATGGGAGAGGGAGCCGACCAAGGTCGGACTGAGACGCTGAGCTGAGAATCTGCTGAAAATGGAGACTGTATTTGCAGTGAAACCTCTGAGCAGGGGTTGTACAGGCCAGGAAATTCACTTCTGCCTTGCTCATTTCCAGTCAGTGGCCCCTGTGCCTTTTGGGGTCACTTCCTGACAACTTCCCCAGACCACTGTTTATTGCTTTCTTCCTGCAGCGAGTCAGAGGGCAAAGGTCGTTAACAGCTTCTGGAGATGGTGCCGCAGCTGTGCTGCTGCCTGCCAGGATTGATGTAGGGGAAGTCTGTCTCCTGGGATATCCGGGCCCACAGCCACAGTAGAGAGTTGGAGCAGAAGCTGTTTCCAGGGTTCAGCCATGGCAGGGTCTTGGTGTCTCTCAGGAGGGTAAACAATGGCACAGATCATTTCTGTCAAGGGTCTGGGCCACAATCAGAAGTCCTTGGCCAGCTTTCTCTCTAAGCACATTTTCTGGCTGAGAAAGGGGAACTCTCCAGCTTCCTCTTGCAGCATATCCTGACCCTGAGGTCCTTATATCCACAAAGAGCGCTTTGTCACAGGCTACAGTTGTCAGCACCAGCTAACCCACTATTGAGGGCCTAATGTGTACCCAATGTATAAAACTTAGTGTGAAAGAAGGTTTTGTTACAAAGCAGGATGATCAGACCGTCGATTTACTCGGTGAAAAAATACACATAAAGCACCTACTATGTACCTTGCACTGTACTAGGCTAACGATGCATGAGCCACACACCCATAAATCTATAGAACAGACCCTATAGTGATCAGATCCCAGTATTAATCAGATCCCACTCTGTAATAATCAAACTCAATAAAGATCAAACCTATAAATCAGTCTCAATAATTCCACTGTCGGTGAGTTCTTGGTTTGGGGTGATTATGAGACTTGGTGAGGGTATTAACTTCCTGGACCCACCTGGAATTTGAGGTCACAGCCCTTTCTTCTTTCTAAGTACAGTTGGTCCTCATTATTTGTGAATTCACTTAATCTCGAAAATTTATTTGTAACTCCAAAATCAATACTAGCATTCCTGGACATGGGCAGAGAGATGAAAAATTTGAGTTACCTAATGTTCACATTCCCAGCACAGGGTGAACAAGACGATGTTCTGCCTTCTCATTTGGGCTCTCATGCTTGTAAACAAATGTCCCTTTCAGGTCTATTTACTGCAACTTTTTTTTTTCATTTTTTTAGTGCAAAAAGCTGATGATTTCACTGTTTAAATGGTCCCCAAGTGTAGTGCTGAAGTGTGGTCTAATGTTCCTCAGTACAAGAAGGCTGTGATGTGTTGTATGGAGAAAATACATATGTTAGATAAGCTTTATTCAGGCATGAGTTACAGTGCTGTTGGCTGTGAGTTCAATGTTAATGAATGAACAATGTATATTAAACATAAGATGTCTTTAAACAGAAACACACATCAAACAAGGTTATGTATTGACCAGCTGACAAAAAATGTTATGGCTAGAGGCACTTAGGAACCTAACTAAATGGTGAGGTACAGGCTGAGGTTGGGTTTGGGCCCATGTCCTACTAGTCCTCTCTGTGTGTCCGCCATCCAGAGACTTAGCACCAGTTGTTCATTCTAATGGCCACCTACCTCTGGCTTTTCTGGCAAAGAAGAGGGGACACCACTCACCCCAGCCTCTCCCTAGGTGACAGCCACAGACGCGGATAGTGGCCCATTTGGCCTCCTCTCCTATTCCTTGGGTGCTGGACTTGGGTCCTCCGGATCTCCCCCATTCCGCATTGATGCCCACAGCGGTGATGTGTGCACAACCCGGACCCTGGACCGTGACCAGGGGCCCTCAAGCTTTGACTTCACAGTGACAGCTGTGGATGGGGTAAGTCAGTAGACCAAGGGCAGGTTGGGATGTTGGGGTAGGGCACTCACCAGGGCCAGATGAGGCCCACCTGACCTATGGCTGCATGTCCCACCAGGGAGGCCTCAAGTCCATGGTATATGTGAAGGTGTTTCTGTCAGACGAGAATGACAACCCTCCTCAGTTTTATCCACGGGAGTATGCTGCCAGTATAAGTGCCCAGAGTCCACCAGGCACAGCTGTGCTGAGGTTGCGTGCCCATGACCCTGACCAGGGATCCCATGGGCGACTCTCCTACCATATCCTGGCTGGCAACAGCCCCCCACTTTTTACCTTGGATGAGCAATCAGGTGAGGATCCTCCCATTCCCGGGGCCTTCCCCCAGGTCCCCCTCCCCACCTGCCTAAATGATGTCCTACCCACCTCCTCCATAACCTTTCTAGCCCTATTATGTTTCCTTATATATCTCTGCTTCTATTCTTCCTCTCAGGGCTGTTGACAGTAGCCTGGCCCTTGGCCAGACGGGCCAATTCTGTGGTGCAGCTGGAGATCGGGGCTGAGGACGGAGGTGGCCTACAGGCAGAACCCAGTGCCCGAGTGGACATCAGCATTGTGCCTGGAACCCCCACACCACCCATATTTGAGCAACTACAGTATGTTTTTTCTGTGCCAGAGGATGTGGCACCAGGCACCAGTGTGGGCATAGTCCAGGCACACAACCCACCAGGTATCATTTAGCTTTATACCCACTTGGTGTCAGACCCAAATACCCCAGTATAACCCTCCAGCACCATCCGAAGATACCTTAGAGTATCACAGGGCAGATAGCCCCAGTATAAAACACTCCTGTACCAATGCCCAACACCTCCTTAGGCACAGTGCAGGCACACTGCTTCATGAGGCATAGGAATGTCACCTCAGTGCGTGCCAACCAACTTCTTTGCCAACCCCTGCCCCTCCTCCTAATATTTTGAAAGGCATGGGTGTGGGCACTGCCCAGTCCTTCTCGGGATCAGACTCTGGGTCCTGACTCAATAAGTGCCCCTCCATCTCTTTCCTGATCCCTTTTTCATCCTCCCTAGGTCGCTTGGCACCTGTGACCCTTTCCCTATCAGGTGGGGATCCCCGAGGACTCTTCTCCCTAGATGCGGTATCAGGACTGTTGCAAACACTTCGCCCTCTGGACCGGGAGCTACTGGGACCAGTGTTGGAGCTGGAGGTGCGAGCAGGCAGTGGAGTGCCCCCAGCTTTCGCTGTAGCTCGGGTGCGTGTGCTGCTGGATGATGTGAATGACAACTCCCCTGCCTTTCCTGCACCTGAAGACACGGTATTGCTACCACCAAACACTGCCCCAGGGACTCCCATCTATACACTGCGGGCTCTTGACCCCGACTCAGGTGTTAACAGTCGAGTCACCTTTACCCTGCTTGCTGGGGGTGGTGGAGCCTTCACCGTGGACCCCACCACAGGCCATGTACGGCTTATGAGGCCTCTGGGGCCCTCAGGAGGGCCAGCCCATGAGCTGGAGCTGGAGGCCCGGGATGGGGGCTCCCCACCACGCACCAGCCACTTTCGACTACGGGTGGTGGTACAGGATGTGGGAACCCGTGGGCTGGCTCCCCGATTCAACAGCCCTACCTACCGTGTGGACCTGCCCTCAGGCACCACTGCTGGAACTCAGGTCCTGCAAGTGCAGGCCCAAGCACCAGATGGGGGCCCTATCACCTATCACCTTGCAGCAGAGGGAGCAAGTAGCCCCTTTGGCCTGGAGCCACAGAGTGGGTGGCTATGGGTGCGGGCAGCACTAGACCGTGAGGCCCAGGAATTGTACATACTGAAGGTAATGGCAGTGTCTGGGTCCAAAGCTGAGTTGGGGCAGCAGACAGGCACAGCCACCGTGAGGGTCAGCATCCTCAACCAGAATGAACACAGTCCCCGCTTGTCTGAGGATCCCACCTTCCTGGCTGTGGCTGAGAACCAGCCCCCAGGGACCAGCGTGGGCCGAGTCTTTGCCACTGACCGAGACTCAGGACCCAATGGACGTCTGACCTACAGCCTGCAACAGCTGTCTGAAGACAGCAAGGCCTTCCGCATCCACCCCCAGACTGGTGAGCACAGAGACCCAAATCCTGAGACCGCATAGCCTTATCCCCAGCCTGGTGAACATTCAGACAGGATCCCCAACCCCCAGCTCCCATCTCGCCCCTGAGAATGAGGATTTAGCCCTGGCATTCCCTCCCCCACTCCCCAAACACCAGCTTCTTAGGTGCAGGCCTCAGGCTCTGCATCCTTAAACATCTCGTACATGATCGCCTTCTTGCACTCCCAGGAGAAGTGACCACACTCCAAACCCTGGACCGTGAGCAGCAGAGCAGCTATCAGCTCCTGGTGCAGGTGCAGGATGGAGGGAGCCCACCCCGCAGCACCACAGGCACTGTGCATGTTGCAGTGCTTGACCTCAACGACAACAGCCCCACGTTCCTGCAGGCTTCAGGAGCTGCTGGTGGGGGCCTCCCTATACAGGTATGTGAAGTGGCAGGACTTTGTCCTGAGAAGTGTGAGAGGGAGTGGGGATCTCCCCATAGAGCTGTAGGTGTAGGTAAGAGACTGCCTCCTGGATTGGGTGTGAGAGCCGAAAAGAGGTTCTGCCTGCCCACAGGTGAGGGAAGCTTTATCCTGAGTTGTCTGAAGAACAGGAAAGAGACTCACTAGGTGAGTTGTGTTCCCACAGGTACCAGACCGCGTGCCTCCGGGAACACTGGTGACGACTCTGCAGGCGAAGGATCCAGATGAGGGGGAGAATGGGACCATCTTGTACACGCTAACTGGTATGGGAGTGGAGAGAGGAGAATTGGTGGGTGATGGCATGCCCTCATGGCCTGCCCAGCTCTGGGCCCCAAGCCCTCATCTTCCTCTGCCTGTCCCCAGGTCCTGGCTCAGAGCTTTTCTCTCTGCACCCTCACTCAGGGGAGCTGCTCACTGCAGCTCCCCTGATCCGAGCAGAGCGGCCCCACTATGTGCTGACACTGAGTGCTCATGACCAAGGCAGCCCTCCTCGAAGTGCCAGCCTCCAGCTGCTGGTGCAGGTATGGCTGCCCTTCCTCCCCTTGGCTACCGCTGTAGGTCCCCTTCAGTAGCTCCAGCTTCACGGGAATCCTTTGGCTCCACTAGCAGTCAGGCTACTCTGACCACTTTCCTACCACCTGGGAAGCCAGCCCAGATCCCCTTTTACACGGGCCCTCACAATTCTGTTCTCCCTCCCCGGTCCACAACAGGTGCTTCCCTCAGCTCGCTTGGCCGAGCCGCCCCCAGATCTCGCAGAGCGGGACCCAGCGGCACCAGTGCCTGTCGTGCTGACGGTGACAGCAGCTGAGGGACTGCGGCCCGGCTCTCTGTTGGGCTCGGTGGCAGCGCCAGAGCCCGCGGGTGTGGGTGCACTCACCTACACACTGGTGGGCGGTGCCGATCCCGAGGGCACCTTCGCGCTGGATGCGGCCTCAGGGCGCTTGTACCTGGCGCGGCCCCTGGACTTCGAAGCTGGCCCGCCGTGGCGCGCGCTTACGGTACGCGCTGAGGGGCCGGGAGGCGCGGGCGCGCGGCTGCTGCGAGTGCAGGTGCAAGTGCAGGACGAGAATGAGCATGCGCCCGCCTTTGCGCGCGACCCGCTGGCGCTGGCGCTGCCAGAGAACCCGGAGCCCGGCGCAGCGCTGTACACTTTCCGCGCGTCGGACGCCGACGGCCCCGGCCCCAATAGCGACGTGCGCTACCGCCTGCTGCGCCAGGAGCCGCCCGTGCCGGCGCTTCGCCTGGACGCGCGCACCGGGGCGCTCAGCGCTCCGCGCGGCCTGGACCGAGAGACCACTCCCGCGCTGCTGCTGCTGGTGGAAGCCACCGACCGGCCCGCCAACGCCAGCCGCCGTCGTGCAGCGCGCGTTTCAGCGCGCGTCTTCGTCACGGATGAGAATGACAACGCGCCTGTCTTCGCCTCGCCGTCACGCGTGCGCCTCCCAGAGGACCAGCCGCCTGGGCCCGCGGCCCTGCACGTGGTAGCCCGGGACCCGGATCTGGGCGAGGCTGCACGCGTGTCCTATCGGCTGGCATCTGGCGGGGACGGCCACTTCCGGCTGCACTCAAGCACTGGTGAGAGTTAGGTCTGGGAGTGAGGGCGAGGAAGGTGCTGATGTGGAGTGTTGGGGTCCCCACCAACCTGCCTTACCGCTCACCTAGGAGCGCTGTCCGTGGTGCGGCCGTTGGACCGCGAACAACGAGCTGAGCACGTACTGACAGTGGTGGCCTCAGACCACGGCTCCCCGCCGCGCTCGGCCACGCAGGTCCTGACCGTCAGTGTCGCTGACGTCAACGACGAGGCGCCTACTTTCCAGCAGCAGGAGTACAGCGTCCTCTTGCGTGAGAACAACCCTCCTGGCACATCTCTGCTCACCCTGCGAGCAACCGACCCCGACGTGGGTAAGACCTGGGGGGGTGAATTATGAGTGGGATGGACTGGGGCAAGAAACAGCATTTTTACCCTCTGATCGCCCTCCATGCTGCCCCTCCTCAGGGGCCAACGGGCAAGTGACTTATGGAGGCGTCTCTAGCGAAAGCTTTTCTCTGGATCCTGACACTGGTGTTCTCACGACTCTTCGGGCCCTGGATCGAGAGGAACAGGAGGAGATCAACCTGACAGGTACATGTTGACAGGACCCCAAGAGCCTGAGTGAGGTGTTGTAAACACCAGTGTTACCTGGATAGAATACCCAAAGTACTACCTTTTAGAAGTTTTTGCCTATTACCACAAAGCTCCTGTTATGTTTTTGGACCCTTTTGGGGAGTCGAGAGTTTGGCAGGGTGCAAGGTCAACTGACTTCTAGACTGTCACAACTGTGACCGTACAAATTCTAAAATGCATAATGTCACAGCTATGCCCTCCAGGCCTCCCTCAGATACTGCAGCCATTTAACAGAGGAGCATTTTGATACTGAATATTGGAGAGGTCAAGTGACTTGCTCAAGCTCATGCAGCTTGGAAGTGGCAGGGCTGGGACTTGAACCCAGATCTTTTCATACCTCATTTAGTGCCTTTCCTGTTACACCACCACTAGTCCAAGATATATCTTGCATGCACCAAGCATGGGAGGTAGGACACATGTATGTTTATGTATGCATGACACATGTGTGCCTGAGAGGTATGGAGAGATGGACATTTTCTGGTTTGTGTGCACCTAGTGAACATGTATGAACACTGTGTGGTGTGGATTTCTCCATGTGGTGAGGGCAGACTAGACCTCATTGATTTTGCTTCCCCACAGTGTATGCCCAGGACAGGGGCTCACCTCCTCAGTTAACGCATGTCACTGTTCGAGTGGCTGTGGAGGATGAGAATGACCATGCACCAACCTTTGGGAGTGCCCATCTCTCTCTGGAGGTGCCTGAGGGCCAGGACCCCCAGACCCTTACCATGCTTCGGGCCTCTGATCCAGATGTGGGAGCCAATGGGCAGTTGCAGTACCGCATCCTAGGTGAGAACCTTCCCACTCCCACTTAATTCAGCACCCACTTGCCTGGTTCTTGCTCCTTCTTGGCTGCTGTCAGCCTCAGTGCATGTGTCTGGGTCTCCTTTTCCCTCTTGATGTCGTCCACCTTTTCTTTCATGCTTATACCCAGTGTAGCTAGGTATCTCATTCCATGCTCTTTATCTCCCTGTGTGTCTCTGTTTCTATCTTCCTATTTCTTTTCTTTCTCATTTGTCTCTCCCTGTAGAGCAGTCGTTCTCAAATTTTTGGTCTCAAAAACCCTTAACACTCTTAATTTTTGAGAACCCTAAGGAGTTTTTATGTGGATTATATCAGTATTTACTGTATTAGATAATAAAACTGAGATGATGTTAAAATATGATTGTGAAACAAGCCAATGAAGTATACAGCTTGCCAGTATTTCTGTGTAAGCACAAGGAAATACTAAGATTTCAAGTAACAATTTGTTGGAAAGTAGTTAATTTCAGAGATTAAAGCAGGTATAATTGAAGATAGCCAGAACAAACTGAATCTCTGAAGACACACAGATTCATGCTCTAAACTTTCTGTCTAGAATATTCTAGAACACACAGGAATACATAAGCACACATTCCCTTAACCAAGACATTATATCATCACGTCATAGAGCATCTGTAAATTCTACTGTACATCTGTGAGATGAGAATAAAAAGGCCATATAATGGCTTAGTAGTGCTATGAAATAATTTTGATCTTATGCACATGAAAAGGACTTGGGGGACTCCCGGGGTTCCCAGACCACACACAAATGATACCAGCTGCTTTATAGTATCTTCTTTTACTTTCTGTTTCTGTTTTTCTTCCTTTCTCTCATAAGGTTCACTTGCTTTTGTGCACATGCTCACTCTCTCCTGTTGTCTGTAAATCACCCCCATCCCCACGACACATGTATATTTATATGTGCATGCCCTTCTCTGCAGATGGGGACCCATCAGGAGCCTTTGTCCTAGACCTTGCTTCTGGAGAGTTTGGCACCATGCGGCCACTAGACAGAGAAGTGGAGCCAGCTTTCCAGCTGAGGATAGAGGCCCGGGATGGAGGCCAGCCAGCTCTCAGTGCCACGCTGCTTTTGACAGTGACAGTGCTGGATGCCAATGACCATGCTCCAGCCTTTCCTGTGCCTGCCTACTCGGTGGAGGTGCCGGAGGATGTGCCTGCAGGGACCCTGCTGCTGCAGCTACAGGCTCATGACCCTGATGCTGGAGCTAATGGCCATGTGACCTACTACCTGGGCGCCGGTACAGCAGGAGCCTTCCTGCTGGAGCCCAGCTCTGGAGAACTGCGCACAGCTGCAGCCTTGGACAGAGAACAGTGTCCCAGCTACACCTTTTCTGTGAGTGCAGTGGATGGTGCAGCTGCTGGGCCCCTAAGCACCACAGTGTCTGTCACCATCACGGTGCGCGATGTCAATGACCATGCACCCACCTTCCCCACCAGTCCTCTGCGCCTACGTCTGCCCCGCCCAGGCCCCAGCTTCAGTACCCCAACCCTGGCTCTGGCCACACTGAGAGCTGAAGATCGTGATGCTGGTGCCAATGCTTCCATTCTGTACCGGCTGGCAGGCACACCACCTCCTGGCACTACTGTGGACTCTTACACTGGTGAAATCCGCGTGGCCCGCTCTCCTGTAGCTCTAGGCCCCCGAGATCGTGTCCTCTTCATTGTGGCCACTGATCTTGGCCGTCCAGCTCGCTCTGCCACTGGTGTGATCATTGTTGGACTGCAGGGGGAAGCTGAGCGTGGACCCCGCTTTCCCCGGGCTAGCAGTGAGGCTACGATTCGTGAGAATGCGCCCCCAGGTGGGTCCCCAGCCATTTCTTCCAGATTCAGACTCCCAAATGGGCTGGGGTTGTGCTTTGAAAATGTCCCCCAAACTCTCCCAGTCTCGCGCTCACAGTCCAACAATACCGTTCTTTCTGCAGGGACTCCTATTGTCTCCCCCAGGGCCGTCCATGCAGGAGGCACAAATGGACCCATCACCTACAGCATTCTCAGTGGGAATGAGAAAGGGACATTCTCCATCCAGCCTAGTACAGGTAAGAAATAGGAGCAGGGGCTCTGTGCAGGACAGGCTACTGGGGAAGCAGGTTCTTTGCATCAGAGGAGCCTTTGATGGGTGAAGGGCTGTCCTTGAGTAAGGGGTCTTAGAGAAGGAGGCTCCAGGGCAAGCAAAGGGGGCTATCACTGATGCATTCTATCTCGCCCAGGTGCCATCACAGTTCGCTCAGCAGAGGGGCTAGACTTCGAGGTGAGTCCACGGCTGCGACTGGTGCTGCAGGCAGAGAGTGGAGGAGCCTTTGCCTTCACTGTGCTGACCCTGACCCTGCAAGATGCCAACGACAATGCTCCCCGTTTCCTGCGGCCCCATTATGTGGCCTTCCTTCCTGAGTCCCGGCCCTTGGAGGGGCCCCTGCTGCAGGTGCGGGGTGTGATGGAAAGATTGGGCGGGGGAGCAGGGCTAGTCAGACTTGTCTGTGGCCAGACCAGTCCCAGCAGCCTCCTACCCTCACCAGGTGGAGGCGGATGACCTGGATCAAGGCTCTGGAGGACAGATTTCCTACAGTCTGGCTGCATCCCAGCCGGCACGTGGATTGTTCCACGTAGACCCAACCACAGGCACTATCACTACCACAGCCATCCTGGACCGTGAGATCTGGGCTGAAACACGGTGAGGCCTGGCCCTGTGGACCCAAGACCCCATCTTGGGCCTGTCCAGTTTCAAGCCCTGCCTTGAACTCATCTGGTCCCTTGGCCACATCCTGAATTCCCCAGCCCTAAGCTCTGTCCTGAGTCCTCCTGGCCCTGCCCAGAGTTCCCCCTTATTGCCATGTCCCACCCGATGATTGTGCTTTGTGTCCAGGTTGGTGCTGATGGCCACAGACAGAGGGAGCCCAGCCCTGGTGGGCTCAGCTACCTTGACGGTGATGGTCATCGACACCAATGACAATCGCCCCACCATCCCCCAACCCTGGGAGCTCCGAGTGTCAGAAGGTGAGGCTGGGTAAAGTGGGTGGCATAAAGGGTGGCAGAGAGACATTTTTCTCCACCCTGCAGCTCAAGGTGGGGCTGTGTCCATTGCCAAACACACTAGTCTCATGTATTCCAGATGCGTTATTGGGCTCAGAGATTGCACAGGTAACAGGGAATGATGTGGACTCAGGACCCGTGCTGTGGTATGTGCTAAGCCCATCTGGGCCCCAGGATCCCTTCAGTGTTGGCCGCTATGGAGGCCGTGTCTCCCTCACGGGGCCCCTGGACTTTGAGCAGTGTGACCGCTACCAGCTGCAGCTGCTGGCACATGATGGGCCTCATGAGGGCCGTGCCAACCTCACAGTGCTTGTGGAGGATGTCAATGACAATGCACCTGCCTTCTCACAGAGCCTCTACCAGGTATTGACACCCATGGATCCACCTACACCTGGGCCTGGGTTGTTCCTGTTGGAGGGAAGTATCAGAGCTAGCAGCTGCTGAGGTGGGCTGGACGTTGGAGCTGATCTGGGAATGGGAAGGTCCCAAGTCCTGTGAACTACATCCTGGTTTTGCATCCTGTACCCAGAAAGGGGAGAAGGTGGGCATTTCCCATTCGAATACTTAGGAGTAGGGGCTCCAAGTTGGAATAGACGCCAAGCAGGGCACAAGGAACCAAGCTCCAGAACAGGCTGCATGGACAGCAGGGCAAATGGGAAGCCTGGCAATAAGCACTTTTCCTCACACTTCAGGTAATGCTGCTTGAGCACACACCCCCAGGCAGTGCCATTCTCTCCGTCTCTGCCACTGATCGGGACTCAGGTGCCAACGGTCACATTTCCTACCACCTGGCTTCCCCTGCCGATGGCTTCAGTGTTGACCCCAACAATGGTGCGTCTTTCCCAGGATCTGCCCCTTGCCTTTGACTGTGTTGGGCTGTAATCTGACCTCATTCCTTGAATTTGTTACTCAAACTCTTTAACTCCTGGATCTCTGGCCTAGGGAGGACATTTCCTCCCCTCTGTCTTCATTATAAGCCCCTTGTTGACTGCATGTCTAGAAGCTGTTCCCTAAGCTGTGAATCCTTGAGGCCATCCCCTTGTCTCCCAGCAGATAGGCCATTCCCTGAGTCTGACTTCCAAAACCATTTCCTAGATCCTGAAGGGTCACTCTTCTGTTCACTCACAGCCTTTGCTGAATATATTTCTTTCCCTTCCGTTCTCATCTCAGGGACCCTGTTCACAATAGTGGGAACAGTGGCCTTGGGCCATGACGGGTCAGGAGCAGTGGATGTGGTGCTGGAAGCACGAGACCACGGGGCTCCAGGCCGGGCAGCACGAGCCACAGTGCACGTGCAGCTGCAGGACCAGAACGACCACGCCCCGAGCTTCACATTGTCACACTACCGTGTGGCTGTGACTGAAGACCTGCCCCCTGGCTCCACTCTGCTCACCCTGGAGGCTACAGATGCTGATGGAAGCCGCAGCCATGCCGCTGTGGACTACAGCATCATCAGTGGCAACTGGGGCCGAGTCTTCCAGCTGGAACCCAGGCTGGCTGAGGCTGGGGAGAGTGCTGGACCAGGCCCCCGGGCACTGGGCTGCCTGGTGTTGCTTGAACCTCTAGACTTTGAAAGCCTGACACAGTACAATCTAACAGTGGCTGCAGCTGACCGTGGGCAGCCACCCCAAAGCTCAGTCGTGCCAGTCACTGTCACTGTACTAGATGTCAATGACAACCCACCTGTCTTTACCCGAGCATCCTACCGTGTGACAGTACCTGAGGACACACCTGTTGGAGCTGAGCTGCTGCATGTAGAGGCCTCTGACGCTGACCCTGGCCCTCATGGCCTCGTGCGTTTCACTGTCAGCTCAGGCGACCCATCAGGGCTCTTTGAGCTGGATGAGAGCTCAGGCACCTTGCGACTGGCCCATGCCCTGGACTGTGAGACCCAGGCTCGACATCAGCTTGTAGTACAGGCTGCTGACCCTGCTGGTGCACACTTTGCTTTGGCACCAGTGACAATTGAGGTCCAGGATGTGAATGATCATGGCCCAGCCTTCCCACTGAACTTACTCAGCACCAGCGTGGCCGAGAATCAGCCTCCAGGCACTCTCGTGACCACTCTGCATGCAATCGACGGGGATGCTGGGGCTTTTGGGAGGCTCCGTTACAGCCTGTTGGAGGCTGGGCCAGGACCTGAGGGCCGTGAGGCATTTGCACTGAACAGCTCAACAGGGGAGTTGCGTGCGCGAGTGCCCTTTGACTATGAGCACACAGAAAGCTTCCGGCTGCTGGTGGGTGCTGCTGATGCTGGGAATCTCTCAGCCTCTGTCACTGTGTCGGTGCTAGTGACTGGAGAGGATGAGTATGACCCTGTATTTCTGGCACCAGCTTTCCACTTCCAAGTGCCCGAAGGTGCCCGGCGTGGCCACAGCTTGGGTCACGTGCAGGCCACAGATGAGGATGGGGGTGCCGATGGCCTGGTTCTGTATTCCCTTGCCACCTCTTCCCCCTATTTTGGTATTAACCAGACTACAGGAGCCCTGTACCTGCGGGTGGACAGTCGGGCACCAGGCAGCGGAACAGCCACCTCTGGGGGTGGGGGCCGGACCCGGCGGGAAGCACCACGGGAGCTGAGGCTGGAGGTGATAGCACGGGGGCCTCTGCCTGGTTCCCGGAGTGCCACAGTGCCTGTGACCGTGGATATCACCCACACCGCACTGGGCCTGGCACCTGACCTCAACCTGCTATTAGTAGGGGCCGTGGCAGCCTCCTTGGGAGTTGTGGTGGTGCTTGCACTGGCAGCCCTGGTCCTAGGACTTGTTCGGGCCCGTAGCCGCAAGGCTGAGGCAGCCCCTGGCCCAATGTCACAGGCAGCACCCCTAGCCAGTGACTCACTGCAGAAACTGGGCCGGGAGCCACCTAGTCCACCACCCTCTGAGCACCTCTATCACCAGACTCTTCCCAGCTATGGTGGGCCAGGAGCTGGAGGACCCTACCCCCGTGGTGGCTCCTTGGACCCTTCACATTCAAGTGGCCGAGGATCAGCAGAGGCTGCAGAGGATGATGAGATCCGCATGATCAATGAGTTCCCCCGTGTGGCCAGTGTGGCCTCCTCTCTGGCTGCCCGTGGCCCTGACTCAGGCATCCAGCAGGATGCAGATGGTCTGAGTGACACATCCTGCGAACCACCTGCCCCTGACACCTGGTATAAGGGCCGAAAGGCAGGGCTGCTGCTGCCAGGTGCAGGAGCCACTCTCTACAGAGAGGAGGGGCCCCCAGCCACTGCCACAGCCTTCCTGGGGGGCTGTGGCCTGAGCCCTGCACCCACTGGGGACTATGGCTTCCCAGCAGATGGCAAGCCATGTGTGGCAGGTGCGCTGACAGCCATTGTGGCCGGCGAGGAGGAGCTCCGTGGCAGCTATAACTGGGACTACCTGCTGAGCTGGTGCCCTCAGTTCCAACCACTGGCCAGTGTCTTCACAGAGATCGCTCGGCTCAAGGATGAAGCTCGGCCATGTCCCCCAGCTCCCCGTATCGACCCACCACCCCTCATCACTGCCGTGGCCCACCCAGGAGCCAAGTCTGTGCCCCCCAAGCCAGCAAACACAGCTGCAGCCCGGGCCATCTTCCCACCAGCTTCTCACCGCTCCCCCATCAGCCATGAAGGCTCCCTGTCCTCAGCTGCCATGTCCCCCAGCTTCTCACCCTCTCTGTCTCCTCTGGCTGCTCGCTCACCCGTTGTCTCACCATTTGGGGTGGCCCAGGGTCCCTCAGCCTCAGCACTCAGCGCAGAGTCTGGCCTGGAGCCACCTGATGACACGGAGCTGCACATCTAGCTGTGGCCCAGGCTGGGCCCCGACCTGGGATGCGCACAGTGTCCCCAACGCAGGCCCCACTCTGAGCCTGCCCTGGGCAGCCTCGGACTATGACTGGCTACGGGGAGGCCACCACCAGGCCCCAGCTCTCCACCCTGAACTCCCCAGCCCCCTCAGAGTACTAGGACCACAGAAGCCCTGTTGCTCACTGACCTGTGACCAGGTCCAATGTGGGGAGAAATATGAAGGAGGTAGCAGCCCTGGGTTCTCCTCAGTGAGGGATCCCTGCCCTGCACCAGCACCCTGAGATGGAGCTGAGACTTTATTTATTGGGGGTAGGGGGATGGAGGAGGTCCCTCCAACATGTTTGGACCCAGCTCCTTTGGGTTCCACTGACACCCCTGCCCCTGCCCCTGCCCAGAACCAAGTGCCATTTCTCACTCTGGAGCCTTAATAAACTGCAATTTGTATCCAGTCTCCAGCTTTGTTCTATAGGGATGACTGGAAGACACCTGGCAGAGTATTGTGGATACCTCAGGAGGCACAGAGGGGTGGTGGGGTGGGGATGGCACTGGGAGCTCAGGAGCCTAGCCTGAGGCTGATGATCACATCTCTCTGCAGCTATTCTTTTCCCTCTAATATGGGCAAAGAGGCCAGCAGGGCCTTGAGAGGGATCAGTTGGGTGGGAGAGGGGATCTTGGGGATGAGCAGCTCTGGGCCCGAAGTTCTTAAAATAAGTTGGGGTGGGTACAAGAGCAGTCAAGTGGTTTATTTGTTCTTCTTGGGGGCCACTAAAAATCCACATTGTAAAAAGAGCTCAATTTGTTGAGCCTTTGTCATGTCAGGCTCTCTGCAGGTGGCTGCCTTGCTTAATCTCAGTGTAAATTTTCACAGTCATACAAAGGGATTTGGGAACCACTGGTGTTGCCTGTTCTTTGGGGAGCCAGGCTGTGAGGGAAAGGCAATTGGCCAGTGTTTGAGAAGTTCATGAGATTGAGGAAATTAGAAAAAAAAAAAAAAGTTGTGGTCAAAGGGAAATGTTTCTGAGCATGATGCTAGTAAATACAGCTCTAGGATCCACGCTTAGTGGGAAACTGGAGGGATCAATGGACAGAGAGAAGTCAGATTAATAGGAGTGAGGAAAAACAATGGCTTGAAAAAACAGAAGGTTATAGTCTAAGAAAGCATTCTATAATTATAATTTCAAAGGTAGAGCAGTTTTGAGAGATAGCAAGCCCAATGCAGCCATGGGACTGGTTTGCTTAAGTGAAGTGAAGGTAATGCTCACTGGGTTTAATGAGATGAAGAAATGGAAGGTTAGGGTGTTGAATGGGTCTTTTACCTAGATATTTTGATCATCTAGGTCAAATGATCGCAGGAGTTGGGATGGACAGAAAGGTGAAGTGCCATAATCTTCAGTGTGGGAATATAATCTATAGGTTAATGGAAGCCAGTGGCCTGTAGGACAACAGCAGGAGTAGAGGGATCTATCTAAAAAGTATTGAGGTCAGAACAAGGGATTTCACATGAGTATTGGATTAATGGTTTTGGAAGTTAAAATGACACTGCTGACACCATCTTCCATATGGATTTTTGGGGGGAAAAAAAGGAAGACTGGAAGGGAATTGAATCCTCAGGGTTTTAACTCTCATTGAAAATCCTCTTGTAATGACCCCAGTTGGAAGTAGTAAACTCAGACCTCCTTGTGGGCTTTGAGTTACCATTAGAAGAAGCAAAGGTCCGTTTCCATTTTATCCACCTGAGCCCACTAAACAAGATGCAAGATTCCTCCATGGCCCTTAGAACAAAGTTGATTTCCTTGAAAACCTTGGGAACCCATAATAAACAGGACCCCAGCTGATTGTAGATCTCCTGGGAAGCTACTTAAAACTGGAAACTGATTTGAATAAAAGGATCCTGGTCTTGCAAAAGCTTTACTCTGTTCATAAATGTAGTCGTAAAATGAAGACAAAATTGATAATATGGGGACATAAAGGATAAAAGAGGAAAAAAATTTTTTCACTGCAATCTTTCGAGGCAGATCACTTTTATATAAGTCTCCATATTGTAAATGCAGAAACCTAGGCTCTGAGAGGTTATTTTGCTGATGTCATACAGCTAGGAAGAACCCCAGTCTGTGGGTCTCTACAGCCCACTCACTTGTGGTGATTCCCAGGGGACCAGGCTCAGGACGCAGGTGGGGAGCCCTGGGCTTACTCAGTGCTTGACTGGCCAGAGGGGAGAATCCGGGTGGCGGCCCCACCCTTGCCTAGCATTTGGGACCACCCATGCAAGGGAGGAGCCAGTACCGTCACTAGTTACTAGGCAGAGGGGTAGTGGTGGTGGAATATAGAGCTCATGTGATCCGTCACATGACAGCAGATCCGCGGAAGGGCAGAATGGGACTCCAAGCCTGGTGAGAAATTGAGAGGGCTCGGGAGAAAGGGATCACGTTGGAGGGAGCACACATTGGGAGGGTGGGAACACAAGGACAACGTAGCTCCCACTGAAACCCACCTGCTGCCCCTACAGCCTCCTAGGGCTCTTTGCCCTCATCCTCTCTGGCAAATGCAGTTACAGCCCGGAGCCCGACCAGCGGAGGACGTGAGTTGACTTAGCACAGACTGCCCCCTTCCCCATACCCTGTTCTGCCTCCCACTGTCCTGGTCCTAGCTTCTCTCACCCCCGTGCCAGCTCCTAGTACGCACTCCATAGCTTCATCTCTATGTTCCTAGCCTCAGTCCCCTATCATTCACCTCATGTGATCTGTATCTGCTCCTAGGATCCTCCCCAAGGTCTCAGCTCCTAATCTGGAACCTTCCATGACCAATATTTTCCATCTCCACCCTAACCAAAGCCATGTCCCTGACCCCTGACCCTACAGGCTGCCCCCAGGCTGGGTGTCCCTGGGCCGTGCGGACCCTGAGGAAGAGCTGAGTCTCACCTTTGCCCTGAGACAGCAGAATGTGGAAAGACTCTCGGAGCTGGTGCAGGCTGTGTCGGATCCCAGCTCTCCTCAATACGGTGCCTTTTGGGACTGAGGACAGGATGTGGGATGCGGTGGAGGGACACAGGGCTGGGTTGGGCATGGGATGGCGATCATGTCAGAGCCTGCCAAGACACTTGTGTTCCTCAGGCTAGAAACCTAAAAGGGGATGTGGTTCAGTATACAGGCTTTATGATCAAATACGAACTCAAATTCTGACTCTGCTACTTACTAGCTACCAGGCATCTAGTACAACTTACGTTCCTTCCCCTACCCTCAAATCCATTCTAATTTCCTCTTTTGTTCACATACTAAGGCTGCCAGTTCTAACTCCCAAAGAGCCTTTGGATTAATCTCCTTCTTGCCGTCTTTTGTTACGACCAACTCCGTTATTTATTCCCACTCCTGGACTACTGCCCAGCTCCCCAGCTGATCTGCAGTCTCCTCCCTCCACCCCACCCCTCACTGTACTCCCCCACTCTGCTTCAAAACAGTCTCTCCAACAGTCAAAATGGATTGGTTCCTTCTCCTGGTTAAAGCCCTTCACAGCAGGGGGAGTGTGTGCTTGTGAACTGCAGAGGCTGGGGACGGGGCAGTGTGACACTAGTGTGCATGGCAGGAAACAGTGACTCACCATCGTGTTAAGCTTAAAATCAACAAGTATGCAAATTTGAGCTAAACTGAATAACTGGTACCGAAAGATTTGAAAACATTTACCGGACATAAGCTTAAAATTAAAATGGAAAATTTATATGTATTAACCTCATTCATTTTCATGATCATGGCAATACATGCTGTGGTGCGACATTTGCAACTTACTGGCCTTTAGGGTAAATCCATATTATTGGCCATGGCATTTCAAGTCTCTCCAGCCTTTTCTTCCTCTGCTTCCCAAGTACACCCTACACCTGCACACATAGCCCTCCTTTACCCTGTTCCAGGCTTTGGGAAGTCCTGATGTCTCATAGTTGAGGTCCAAAAGGGGGAGTTTGGGAAAGCAATGAATGAGGGCAAGTGCCTCTTCTGAATCCCTGCAGGAAAATACCTGACCCTAGAGAATGTGGCTGATCTGGTGAGGCCATCCCCACTGACCCTCCACACGGTGCAAAAATGGCTCTTGGCAGCCGGAGCCCAGAAGTGCCATTCTGTGATCACACAGGACTTTCTGACTTGCTGGCTGAGCATCCGGTGAGAGGAAATGATTGCTCCATGGAGGGCACCAGTCATCCCATCAGTGAGATGGATGGGAGGGAGTTGAGAGCTTGCTGGGGCTTGTGGGTGGGAGCTAATGCATGGGGAGACAGTGACTGACTGCCCAGGGATGCTCAGAGGTAGCTTCTTCTGTTCCGTTTTGAGCTTTCTGACCTCTGTTCTCTGACCTCCAGACAAGCAGAGCTGCTGCTCCCTGGGGCTGAGTTTCATCACTATGTGGGAGGACCTACGGAAACCCATGTTGTAAGGTCCCCACATCCCTACCAGCTTCCACAGGCCTTGGCCCCCCATGTGGACTTTGGTAACACCTATGGGGTGAATGGGGGTTGGGGCACACAGATCCAGGGGCTGAGGAAGTTTAGATGCCATTGGGGACTGGGGGTGGGGTGAGTTGTAAGGTGGGCATTACAGTCTATAAGATCTCCTCAAGCCTGACTTCTCCCTACAGTGGGGGGACTGCACCGTTTTCCCCCAACATCATCCCTGAGGCAACGTCCTGAGCCGCAGGTGACAGGGACTGTAGGCCTGCATCTGGGGGTAACCCCCTCTGTGATCCGTAAGCGATACAACTTGACCTCACAAGACGTGGGCTCTGGCACCAGCAATAACAGCCAAGCCTGTGCCCAGGTGAGCCAAGCAAAGAGCCCCAGGGTCCTCATAGCCTCCCCACAGTGTCCTCAATTCCTTACCACCCTGGGACTCACCCTCGGACCCACGATCTCTGCTCTGACTCCCTCCATAGTTCCTGGAGCAGTATTTCCATGACTCAGACCTGGCTCAGTTCATGCGCCTCTTCGGTGGCAACTTTGCACATCAGGCATCAGTAGCCCGTGTGGTTGGACAACAGGGCCGGGGCCGGGCCGGGATTGAGGCCAGTCTAGATGTGCAGTACCTGATGAGTGCTGGTGCCAACATCTCCACCTGGGTCTACAGTAGCCCTGGTACTACCAAGAGGACTGGACAGTGGGGAAGGGGGTGGGAGATGGGTGTTGATCCCTGCTCCCTCAAGGGAATGCTATAAGCTGGAGAGAGATCCTGACAACCCCCAGTGACTATCTTTGTGCCCATCCCTCAAAAAAAAAAAAAAAAAAAATCCAGGCCGGCATGAGGGACAGGAGCCCTTCCTGCAGTGGCTCATGCTGCTCAGTAATGAGTCAGCCCTGCCACATGTGCATACTGTGAGCTATGGAGATGATGAGGACTCCCTCAGCAGCGCCTACATCCAGCGGGTCAACACTGAGCTCATGAAGGCTGCCGCTCGGGGTCTCACCCTGCTCTTCGCCTCAGGTGACCTCCTACCCTAAACTTAGACAATGCTTACACCTCTGCAGCCTGGGAGCTTTGACTCCACAGTGATCCCTGAGCCTGGTCTCTGACTCATAATCTGAACTCAGACCTTCCAGTAGGGACCACTGACCTGACCTCTACACTCTGACCTCCTACAGTAACAAATTTCCCCTCTGACATCCGAACCCACATACTAAGCCCTAACCAATTAATATGAATGCTACACTTGGTCTCTCTCAGGTGACAGTGGGGCCGGGTGTTGGTCTGTCTCTGGAAGACACCAGTTCCGCCCTACCTTCCCTGCCTCCAGGTAAGTACTCTAGCCTACCACTCAGGTATAACCACCACCTTTCACTTGTGATCTCATGATGTAGAACCTTTGTCTTGACCCCACCATGTGCTCCTGTGGTTCAGCCTTAAGCTTTGCCTGCCCTGGTTGCTGTACTCCTGTCTCTTCTTCCTGCAGGTCCCAGGCCCCAAATCTCTTGTGTGGGATACAGCTCCCATTGTTCCTTTTCGTCAGTTCCCAGGCATTTTAGTGGAAGATTTGGTGGGTGTTCTGTAGAGAAAAGTGTGCACAGTCACCTCGGGCCATGCCTTGAAGGCTCAAAATCTCTTAGTCAATCCCATATACATGCTTCCCCACAGAGTCTAGTTCCTCCAGCAAGACCTGGGCTATACTCACCCCTCCCCACATATCTTGGAGGTCCCCTTGGGTCCCCTACTATCCAAATGCTGTCTTCTCCCCTCAGCCCCTATGTCACCACAGTGGGAGGCACATCCTTCCAGGAACCTTTCCTCATCACAAATGAAATTGTTGACTATATCAGTGGTGGTGGCTTCAGCAATGTGTTCCCACGGCCTTCATACCAGGTACGTGTGTTTGTGTGGATGGATGCAGGGTAAGAGTGAGGATGGGGGATCCTCAGTTCAGCTGACTGCTGGGCAGGCCACATGCCAATACTCACTCAAAAATGCCTTTCAGGAGGAAGCTGTAACGAAGTTCCTGAGCTCTAGCCCCCACCTGCCACCATCCAGTTACTTCAATGCCAGTGGCCGTGCCTACCCAGATGTGGCTGCACTTTCTGATGGCTACTGGGTGGTCAGCAACAGAGTGCCCATTCCATGGGTGTCCGGAACCTCGGTGAGAATCAGCCCATCTCCAAACTCTCACTCAGGAACTACCCTTACCCCCTAACACCTTGAACACCTTGCACCTAGAACCCCTGACTCCTTAGAGATGTCTGATACTTTAAAGCATCACTCCCAAAAAGTCCAATCACTCAGAACCCCTGACCTCTACTTGCACCTTCACTCTTGTAGGCCTCTACTCCAGTGTTTGGGGGGATCCTATCCTTGATCAATGAGCACAGGATCCTTAGTGGCCGCCCCCCTCTTGGCTTTCTCAACCCAAGGCTCTACCAGCAGCATGGGGCAGGACTCTTTGATGTAAGTATGGAAGGGAAGGGTGTGGACGTTTTCAAACAACTATGGGGAGTGCTAAGGGGGACTTGGGGGCAGTTAGGGTGGTGTGGAATAGCCTTTGAAATGTGAGTACAGGGTGAGGAGATATACTCTTTAAGTACTGGTACTAGTAGGCCCAGATCTGATGCCAGCCTCCTCCCTAGGTAACCCGTGGCTGCCATGAGTCCTGTCTGGATGAAGAGGTAGAGGGCCAGGGTTTCTGCTCTGGTCCTGGCTGGGATCCTGTAACAGGCTGGGGAACACCCAACTTCCCAGCTTTGCTGAAGACTCTACTCAACCCCTGACCCTTTCCTATCAGGAGAGATGGCTTGTCCCCTGCCCTGAAGCTGGCAGTTCAGTCCCTTATTCTGCCCTGTTGGAAGCCCTGCTGAACCCTCAACTATTGACTGCTGCAGACAGCTTATCTCCCTAACCCTGAAATGCTGTGAGCTTGACTTGACTCCCAACCCTACCATGCTCCATCATACTCAGGTCTCCCTACTCCTGCCTTAGATTCCTCAATAAGATGCTGTAACTAGCATTTTTTGAATGCCTCTCCCTCCGCATCTCATCTTTCTCTTTTCAATCAGGCTTTTCCAAAGGGTTGTATACAGACTCTGTGCACTATTTCACTTGATATTCATTCCCCAATTCACTGCAAGGAGACCTCTACTGTCACCGTTTACTCTTTCCTACCCTGACATCCAGAAACAATGGCCTCCAGTGCATACTTCTCAATCTTTGCTTTATGGCCTTTCCATCATAGTTGCCCACTCCCTCTCCTTACTTAGCTTCCAGGTCTTAACTTCTCTGACTACTCTTGTCTTCCTCTCTCATCAATTTCTGCTTCTTCATGGAATGCTGACCTTCATTGCTCCATTTGTAGATTTTTGCTCTTCTCAGTTTACTCATTGTCCCCTGGAACAAATCACTGACATCTACAACCATTACCATCTCACTAAATAAGACTTTCTATCCAATAATGATTGATACCTCAAATGTAAGATGCGTGATACTCAACATTTCATCGTCCACCTTCCCAACCCCAAACAATTCCATCTCGTTTCTTCTTGGTAAATGATGCTATGCTTTTTCCAACCAAGCCAGAAACCTGTGTCATCTTTTCACCCCACCTTCAATCAACAAGTCCTCAATCAACAAGTCCTACTGACTGCACATCTTAAATATATCTTTATCAGTCCACAAGTCCTTCCAATTATATTTCCCAAGTATATCTAGAACTTATCCACTTATATCCCCACTGCTACTACCTTAGTTTAGGGCTATATTCTCTTGAAAAAAAGTGTCCTTACTTCCTGCCAATCCCCAAGTCATCTTCCAGAGTAAAATGCAAATCCCATCAGGCCACTTGGATGAAAACCCTTCAAGGATTACTGGATAGAATTCAGGCTTTCCCCTCCAGCCCCCAATCATAGCTCACAAACCTTCCTTGCTATTTGTTCTTAAGTAAAAAATCATTTTTCCTCCTCCCTCCCCAAACCCCAAGGAACTCTCACTCTTGCTCAAGCTGTTCCGTCCCCTTACCACCCCTGATACAACTGCCAGGTTAATTTCCAGAATTCTTGCAAGACTCAGTTCAGAAGTCACCTTCTTTCGTGAATGTTTTGATTCCCTGAGGCTACTTTATTTTGGTATGGCTGAAAAATCCTAGATTTTCTAAACAAAACCTGTTTGAATCTTGGTTCTGATATGGACTAGGAGAGAGACTGGGTCAAGTAAGCTTATCTCCCTGAGGCTGTTTCCTCGTCTGTTAAGTGTGAATATCAATACCTGCCTTTCATAATCACCAGGGAATAAAGTGGAATAATGTTGATAACAGTGCTTGGCACCTGGAAGTAGGTGGCAGATGTTAACGCCCTTCCTCCCTTGCACTGCGCCCCCTGTGCCTACCTCTAGCATTGTAACGACCACGTAGTATTGAAATGGCCAGTTTACTTGTCTGCCTTCCTTTCCAAGACCGTTGGTGCCTAGAGGACTAGAATCGTGTCCTATTTAACTTTGTGTTCCCAGGTCCTAGCTCAGGAGTTGGCAAATAAGAATTAAATGTCTGCTACACCGAAAACCTCACGCCTCTCATTCGTTGTGATTTTTGCATATGTTGTTGACTCAGGCTGAAACTCCTCCTCCTCCTACAGCAGCACTGTGTGCCGCCCCACTGCTGCCCCCACCTCTCGGGGCAGCTGGCGGAGAAGAGAGGGGGCTTTCCAAATCCACTATGAATCCTTAAAAGGCTGAATAAGGGAACTTGAAACGATGCAGACAGGCAGGCAACCCGTAGTCGAGGGACATAGGGCCATAAACGTCGAAGCCAGGTCTTGAGCGTCAGACAGAATGAGGTGTCCCAGAGCGGCGGAGGAGAGCCAGACGCACGCTGGTTCCGGTCTGGACGGAATCGCCGCGGAGCACGGCAGAGGCTAGGGCGGAATGGCTACGGCAGCGCAGTTCGCCAAGGCTCGGTCTCCGCCCTGCAGCCTATTTCCTCTAACCCGCAGATCCACTATGGGAGGAGGCGGGGAGCGGGCTGGAGAGCACTAACAGAGACAGGCGGGGCGAGTCGTGGGCGCGTGACGTCACCCCGGGGTGTGCGCGGCGCGAGCGGAAGCGGAAGCGGCTCTGTTCGCCGCCTCTCCCACCGGCCCGATGAGCTGCAGCGGCTCCGGCGCGGACCCCGAGGCGGCGCCGGCCTCCGCCGCCTCGGCCCCGGGCCCCGCGCCCCCGGTCTCGGCTCCCGCCGCGCTGCCCTCCAGCACCGCCGCGGAGAACAAGGCCAGCCCCGCGGGGACAGCGGGGGGACCTGGGGCTGGAGCAGCTGCTGGGGGCACGGGACCCTTGGCGGCGCGGGCCGGGGAGCCAGCTGAGCGGCGTGGGGCGGGTGAGGGCCGGGACGGGTGAGGGCGAGGGAAGCGTCTTGGGCTGGGTCCAGCGGCGGGTGAGGGCAGAGGGTATAGACAGACCTAGCTGGGGCCCTGCGCCTCCCACCTCTGTGTCTCATTTTGCTGGTTCTCCTCCAGCTCCGGTGTCGGCGGGTGGCGCGGCGCCCCCGGAGGGGGCCATATCTAACGGGGTTTACGTACTGCCGAGCGCGGCCAACGGAGACGTGAAGCCCGTGGTGTCCAGCACGCCTTTGGTGGACTTCTTGATGCAGCTGGAAGATTACACGCCTACGGTGGGCTTCCGCCCGAACAAGGCCACCTAGCCTGCTGTCAAAACTTTCAGCCACATCGTGCTTTTCAGCGTTCTCTTCCATTTGCTCCCCTAGTCGCTCTTCTGTGTTTGCCCTCTGCTCACCCAAACTGTGAGCTTCCTGATAATCAGGCCTATCCATTTCCCTCACCCTCCTCCCGCTCTGCTGACAGTTCTCTTAATTGATTTCTCAGATCCCAGATGCAGTGACTGGTTACTACCTGAACCGTGCTGGCTTTGAGGCCTCAGACCCACGCATGTGAGTAAACCCAGGGCAGGTTAGTTTTGGGTGCTTGTGCAGTATGTTGTCCATCTCCTTCTCATCTAAGTTTTTTCTCTCTAGAATTCGGCTCATCTCCTTAGCTGCCCAGAAATTCATCTCAGATATTGCCAATGATGCCCTACAGCACTGCAAAATGAAGGGCACGGCCTCCGGCAGCTCCCGGAGCAAGAGCAAGGTGTGAGGGGAGGCTTAATGAATCAGTAATTACCTTCCACAACAGTGGAGGCTTATCCTGCCACCCCTTTGGGGAAACTGAATCGTAGGGGAGGTGTAAGACTTACTCAGGGTCACCCATCTGGGATTGAAGTCCGGGATTCCTGTGCTCAGTTGGTGCTCTTCCCTCTTCCCTCAGGACCGCAAGTACACTCTAACCATGGAGGACTTGACCCCTGCCCTCAGCGAGTATGGCATCAATGTGAAGAAGCCGCACTACTTCACCTGAGCCACCCAACCTAAATGTACTTATCTGTCCCCATGTCCCCACACCAGCCTGTTTTCATAATAAACTTTATTGTGACAGGCGGGGCTGATCCCTCCCATGTTGGGAGACACCATGTGGCAAGTGACAAAGCTCTGAGCCCGCCCCTCTTGGGGCCACAGTGGTAGGGATGGGGGAAGGGGATGGACCCCATGGCTGGGGTAGTACCATGACTGGAGGCGGGGGAGGCAACCAGAGGCCTGCTGCTTTGGGGAGGTGCATTCCCCCAACCATGTCCCGACACCTCTGGAGTTCAGGCAAGGACCTTCCAGTCCTACTTGTCCTGCATCTTCTCAAGGATAGGCACAATCATGTCAAATTTGGGTCGCTTTGCAGGGTCTTCATTCATGCAGATCTTCATGAGCTTACACACATGAGGGGAAATACCTGGTGGGATGGTAGGCCGAAGGCCTTCCAATGCCACCTGCGAATACAAGAAAAAAAGCAGCCTCACAATTTGAGTCTGTCATGTAGAGAGAAGCCACTGGCCCTTGGGACAGGATTACTGTATATCCGAACAAATATGTGAGGAGCCAAGGCCCACTACAGTTATTTTCACCATCACCAACCACTCCCGCAACACAAATGTATGCTGTTGTGCTCTCACCTTCATTCCAATCTCCATATTGGAGAGGTCAGCAAAGGGTACCTCCCGTGTCACCAGTTCCCACAGAAGCACTGCAAAACTCCACATGTCTGCTGAGCGTCTGTTTGTGTCTTCAGGCTTCTTCTGCAGAGCTGGAGAGATAGGGCTTGTCTGTTCTGGCCCCCTTGCCTGTCCTGTCTCTGCCCCCTTCCACTACTTCTGAGGTGGTCCTTTTTTACCTCCCGACATGATGACTTCACTCACCTTCGGGGGCTACCCAGGCAGGTGCATACATGCGACCAGGACATTGGAAAGAGAACTTGACATCAGCCATGCTAATTCGGGCAGTCATGTCCTCATCAATCTGAGGAAGAGAAAACAGATAGAAGGAGGTAAGTCATAGATAGGCAAAGGGCTTTTGGGGCCTGGGCCAGGAGTGAGCTTGTGGCCTCACCATTACACTACGGCTATTGAGTGCATGTCGTGGGATGAGGGGCTCTAGTGTGTGTAGGAAGGCCATGCCCCTTGCCATGTCCAAAGCAAACTTCACAGCCTGGCTCTGGTCCACGACGAAATCTGAGAGGAGGCAAAAGTCAAATAGTTCAGAGAGGCTCCCTCTCTGCCATTTCCTCCCCAAGGAAATTCAACATCCCTACTCACTGGTGCCTTCATGTAGTACATTGTAGAGGGATCCATACGGCATCCAGTGTGTGATGAGAGTAGGATGAGGAGCAGGTGGAGACTGGCAGGCACCTAGCACTGGGAGCACATTTGGATGCGAGAAAATCCTAGAAGAGGGAGGGAGTGGTTGAGACCCAGTACAAAAGATCTCTTTCAGTGCTATTCAGGGTTCCTTGGAACTAGCAGCTTCCAGGTTACGCCTTGCACTACCTGAGCCGGGGACACTCTTCATTGAAGTCCCTGCTCTTCCTTGTACTCCAGTCTCGAACCTTCAGCACCTTCACGACAATGTCATTGCCCTGCCAGCGGCCCTTCCATAGCTGCAGGACAGGTAGGGGTTAGGAGGCTTGAAATGTTGCTGCCACTTCCTTGCCCACTAACTGGAGGAAAAACTTAAAACAGGTACAAAGCAAGTAATTTATGGGGGTTTAGTGAGGGAAGGGCAAGAAGGGCAGGGGTCACCTCTCCAGAGTGATTCTCGTTGAGCTTCGTCAGGAAGTTAAGCTGTTTGAAGTCAATGCCAGAGTGTTTGTTCAGGGTTCCATTTCCTAAGAGTGTGGGCAGGTCAGGTACCCAGCTTCACCCTAACCCAGCCCCAAGAGGCCAGGATTATTTCCTTTTACAACCCTTCTTCCCACAGTGGTGACTCACGGGGCCGAGTGCGGGTGGTCCCCTTCCAGAATGTGTCCTTGTATGGAATACGGTTGAGATTCTGGCCCATCTTCTCTGCCCGCTCTAGGGAAGAAAAACAACCTAAGCTGTGGTACAGAGGGAGAAGACAGGTGGGAAGGGACGAGAGGACACAAGCTAGGGGATGGGGAGATGGACCTCGGAGAAGCTCTCTCAGGGGTGCCTTGGCTTTGTCCACAGGCATCTCTCCATACTTGTTACAGATGCTGACAAGGGCCCCATTTGCCACCAGGTCCTGGAATGAAAAGGCCATTATGATGAGAGCCACTGCTACCTCGCTGGCAGTCACTGAACCAACCATGAATGCACAAATGTAGAACTTAATCCTGTAAGTGTCACACAGTAGTACTGACAGAATGGGTTGAGGGTTCCAAAATCTCCCACCAAGGCTCAGACTTTACTTCCTACCCATCTCAGGAATTAAGGGCTGAGTACTCACCTCTGCCACTTGATCTTGGCCCCAAAAACAGGCATAGTGCAGGGGCACATTCCCGTGTTCATTCACTGCATTGATGTCTGCCTTGTACTGCAATAGCTGGACCCCATGGCCAGACAAAAAGAAGAGGCAGAAAGTACAGTCAGTTCCAAATGAGATACTGGTGTCAGGGCATGGGAAAAGGGGGAAGAGCACACATGCTTTCTACTGTATGTTACAGTGCCTGTGACTGACCCTCATGGCATGTATGTGATGTGGATGACGAAGGAGTTTGTACGTACCTTCTGTACAATATCACGGTGTCCATGACTGGCTGCCAGATGCAGGGGGGTGTCATCCCCACGGTTCATTACATTGATCCGTGCCCCCCGCATGATCAACATCTCAACCACAGCAGAGCGGCCCTCTCGGCAGGCCCAGTGCAAGGGGGAGAAGCCATGATCGTCCCTTTGAGGAAGGGGCAATGGTCATTGAGCTGGAGGTGGGATGGGGCAAAGGTTTTGATTCCTGAAAAACTGATAATTACATACTCTCTGGGAAGGCTTACCTCTCTAGGACTTTGATTCTCATTCATGCCAGCAACTCCCAAAGCTGTCCATTTCAGACCTTCCCCTGAGCTTCAAACCAAACCAACCACCTAGATATCTCAACAACCTCTATAAAAAAATGTGTTATCTTCACCATATCCCACATCTCATTTCCTTAGGTGGTAGTGCTCTTCCCCTGGTTTCTCTTGCACCCCTTCTGCAACATCTATTGGTCCTTTCTGTTTTCCACCACATCTTATATGTCCCCCTACTTCAGCACTTGTTGCACTGGATTGTAAAAATCTGTTAATGGACTGTCTTGTCTGTTAGACCTTTAAGTTTCTTGAGGGAATGGATTGACAGCAGCTGTTCAGTGCATGTTAGTGGGGGAGAAGGGTGTCTTGGAGAAGGCAGGCCACAACTTATAGAAGAGGGAACAAACTTACTATTTGGCTCTGGTACTGAAACTAACATCTAAAAATGGAATGGAATTTAAATGATGTTTTGGAAGGGTTTATGTTGAAAAGGAGAAATGCTTTTGACTACTGATGAGGTAGATAACAAACCACCATGCAAAGCAGGATTCCCCTACTTAGCAATCCTGTGCATAGAAAACAGAAGAAAATGAGAATGGCTGTTTTGGGATTAAAACTATACCTGATTTTTTTCTTTTCCAAGAAATATGTATTTTATAAAGTAAAGTATACAAACAAAACAAAACAATTGGTTTGGAGCTGGGCCTGCCTGACAGCCTGGGGCCATAAAAGGAAATTCCCTCCAGTTCGGGGCTGCAGATTCAAGGGGCGGAGCAGGGGGCGGTCCGTGGTCTGGGCCAGCAGCCTCCGGATGCCTTAGTGTTGTGGTCACTTCCTGTGTGCGACTCTAGGCAAGGCCTGGAGCTGATCAGGGGTCTGGCCATCCAGATGCCCGTACAGCTGAAGGGGTTGGGGGGTGTGGCCTTTAAGTTAATCATTTTCCTCCACAACTTGCTCGCATCTGCTAACACAGAAATAGCCAAAAGCTTTTCCTTGAGATGGGATTATCCCCAGGAAGCATTACGCCCCCTGTTTATCAGTTGGTCTTGCCTCCTAGACCTTTAATTTGTGCCCTGACTTATCAGCTTCCAGTACTGCCTGTGGCGCCAGGGCAGGCCAAACTCGGGGGGCAAAAGTATGGGCACAAGGGTTCTGTTCACTATCAGGCTGCCTGCCACCTCAGGGCCTGGACTTCTATCTCAAGAAGACCTGCAAGGAATTAACCCCCTCTTCATATCCAGCATATAGCCAACTTTGGCCCCCATACTTTACTCCTCAAACCAGCACCACAACCTTCCAGTTTCATTAATTCCACCCCTTTTCCTTCTGGCAGCATCTTCCTAGAGTCTTCCTAGACTCAGCTAGAGTCTTCCTAGATGCTAGGCCCACTGGGCAACTGCCTAAGCCTCTATTTCCTCACCAACAAAACAGTAACAGTGCTTACTGTCTTTATCAGGGTACCCTTTGAGAATTATATGAAAAATGGAACAAATGACTTTGCAAAGTATTAAAGAGAAATAGTGTAGAACCTAATGGGAACCAGTGAAGTCTAGACTAAGATGACAGGTGATCCTGACCTGTCAAACCTAAAAACTAAACTCCACCAATTTTAAAAAATAAAGAATTTGATTTTGCCACTCTGAGTCACCATCACTACTGCTCTTCTTGCCTTCCTATCTCAGCCAACCTTGTAGAACTGGTGTACATTCACTTTCACTATTTGCTCACCTCTCAACTTTTGTTTTCTTTTTCTTTTTTAAGACAGAGTCTTGCTCTGTGGCCCAGGCTGGAGGGCAGTGGCATGATCTTGGCTCACTGCAGCCTCTGCTTCCCGGGTTCAAGCAGTTCTCCTGCCTCAGCCTCCGAGTAGCTGGGATTACAGGCGCACGCCACCACGCCTGGCTAATTTTTGTATTTTTAGTAGAGACAGGGTTTCACCATGTTGGTCAGGCTGGTCTCGAACTCCTGACCTCGTGATCCACCAGCCTCGGCCTCCCAAAGTGCTGGGATTACAGGCGTGAGCCACCGCGCCCGGCCTACTTTTCAATCTGCCACAAATCTGCTGTATCGAGAGCAGAGATTATGTCAGATTCTGGACTCTAGCACCCAGCACAGAAGGTGTTCATCATAGTGCCTTAAATTAAGGAACCCAATGTAGTCTGATTTCTTCACCCATTATTCTGAAACAACACTCACAGATGGTCAAATACATCCTAACTGCACACTGAGGGGAGCAACAGACACTGGGGCCTACCAGAGTGGGGCGGGTAGGAAGAGGGAGGGATCAGGAAAAATAACTAATGGGTGCCACGGCTTAATACCTGGGTGATGAAATGATCTGCACAACAAACCTCCATGACCTGAGTTTACCCATCCAACAAACCTGCACATGTACCCCTTAACTTAAAAAAAAAAAACCCAACTGTAAATTCAATGGCTACTTTAAAATATTAATGTTCTTTGATCTCTCAGTAGCCTGTACTGCCGTTGACTACCTCCCCTTCATTAAAACATTCTCTTCTGTAAGCTTTACTCACACATTTTCCTATTTCTTTTTCAACTTGCGGTTGCTCCTTTTCTGTCGTGCAGGCTTCCTGTCCCCTGACCTCTTGCCTTCCACTCTCCTGAGACGTTCTCCTTCACAACCACGTCTTCAAGTATCATCTATATATATGATATATATATGCTATCTATATGCTGATAGCTCTCAAATCTGTGTCTCCAAGTCAGATTCCTCCCCTGAATTGCAAATCTGCATAACCAACAACACACTCAACATTTCCACCTTGCTGTATTGTCACCTTAACTTTAACATGTCCAAAATAAAATGCCTCATCCTCCAGTTTTCTCCATCTCAGTAAAAACAACCAAGTTCCCAAGCCAGAACCCTGGTCCTCATCTTTGCCCTTACTCACTCCCCACACCAAGTTCCACAATTCTTCGTCCTAAAGACTTCTGGAATTTGATCACTTCTCTTTTTCACTCACCCTAATTCTAGTCCAAGACATCATTACTTCTACGATGAACTAGGCAATTGCCTCCTTTCCACCTGCTCTTCACAAAGCATCCAAGACGATACTGAAAAATGGACAATCTCATTATGTCACTATACAGCTTTAAAACCTTGCTTTTAAAATAAAGACCTTCTTATAGCCTAAATATGCTTGCATGATCTGGCTGATCCTTGGAGACCTCTACAGTCTTATGTCCTGTTCTTTTCCTCTTGTACCCAATGCTCCGACCCACAGAGATCATCTATCCTCCAGCCATATGGAACTCCAGACAATTTCCTGTTCTCTCTGCTCTGTGCCTTGCCCCCTAGCCTTTGGCCATGCAGTCTACTGAGGCTGGAAAGCTCTCTGTAGCCTCTGCCTGTGAAACTCTTATTCTGCAGTCAAGATTCAGCTCAAACTGCGTCCTCTGTGAAAACCCTCTGCCCCCCACAGGCTATGCTTAGCACTCATTACACTGGCTAGCAAAGGCAGCCGCCACCACCAGACATGAGCACTCCACTCCACGTAGCCAGGAGATCTCTAGCCTTCCTCTCATCCACCAACCGTTTCAGCTCACCCCTGGTTGAGGTCGTTCTCCGTGTTGTCCAGCCACAGGCGAACGGCGACTGCGTTGCCCTCCCGGCACTGAGTGAAAATGTCGTCCATAGCAGCGTCCCGGCGCCGAGTCCCCTGGATTGGGGAAGCCTGAGGACTGTGGAGTGATCCAGGGAAGGAGGATGAACCCCAAGCTTTATCCTCTACAGGAGAGAAGTGTTTGTGTTGGGGGTAGGGGGCCTGAGCTGCGTCCCCGGCTAGTGGGGGTCTGTGAAGGAGTTCGGGGCTGCGGGATGATCCCTGGCTGTGTCCTCTAGACGCGAGGTAAAGGCGGGTCAGGGTGGGCAGGGGGTGACGAAGAGGTAGTGTCTGCTGAACGGATGTCCGAGAGCAGGCAACTAGACCCTATCCGCGAACAGAGTTGGGGGAAGTGGGGAGGTTCAGGCTCCGTATACTCTGGGAGAGGGGACCGGGGGTCCTCCCCAGGGTTGGCTCCGTTCCTTACTTGGGACTCAGGAGAAGTGAGGGGTGACAGGGGGCGCGGGTCCTCTCGCACTCACCGGGACTCGGGCTGCAGGATCCTTCTCCGGGGAACTCCCGTCCGGCCGCGCCCGCAGCCCGCCGCCGGCCCCGCCCCGCCCGTGGCGCTCTTGGGCAGCGCGGGCCTCCGTCCCTCCCCTCCCACCGCCTCCCTGCCCTTCTAGCCGCGCCTGGCTAAACTCGATGGTTCGCTGCGCCGCGCCGGCCGCTCTAGCAACCCCTGGCTGTCACGCTTTGGTTTCCGGGTCGGTTCTGGCAGGTCTGAGCGCTCCGACTTCCAGAGGAGCGCTGTGCACGTGGAGAAGAGCGGGGACTCGGCGACCCTGCCCTCCCGACCCTCATGTTCGAAGAGCCTGAGTGGGCCGAGGCGGCCCCAGTAGCCGCGGGCCTTGGGCCCGTAATCTCACGACCTCCGCCTGCGGCCTCCTCGCAAAACAAGGTGAGTGACTCGCGGGAGCAATGGGAGCTGTTTCAGGCCGCGAAGCGGACATTGGTGGATCCCAGCGCTGTGTGTATTGCGGGGAGGGACACCTGTGGCACCGTTAAGGGCGAGTCCTGATCTGAAGATCCGAGAACTTCCAAAAGAAACTGACGTTGGGTCAGAGAGAGTTGTTGAGTAGAAGTTGGTGAAGCGAAGAGGGTTCTTCAGACAGGAAAAAGTACGTACAAGGGCCCTGGGACAAGAGAGCATGTTCTGTCAGAGTCACAAACACAAGTGGTCCTTGTGGTTGAAATACATAGTAAATGAAAGGGGCATATATGCTGTTCAAGTTCAAGAGGTAGAAGTTTTGCGTATATTGAGAATAGAAGCCAATGAAAGGTTTTAAGCAATGGAATTATTTCTTCAGATTTGTATTTTGAAAGGGTCGTCGGTTACAGTGTGGAGGATGGATTGGAGACAGTAAGAGTTGTCAGTATCATTGTTCAAAGGAGGGTGTGGGAAACTTAGAATCAGGGTAAGTGCCTGGCCTAGGATTACCTGGTAGGACTGCAACACAGAATCAGCCTTCCCGACAATACATCTTCTCCTTTGAGCCTCTGCAGATGTGAGGGCCCTGCTTCCTCAGGCTTTTCTTACCCTTCAGTCTGCCTCCAACATGGAATCGGCCTGCTTTGTTTCCTCCTTTTTCATCCCCTAGCCCCATTACCATTGTCCAAGCCGCTGGCCTCTCTGTCTGCAATTTCTCCCCTTCAGTTTGTTTTCTACACTGCAGCTAGAGACATGTTAAATATTTAATATACGTGTGTGATCATGTGTCTCCTGTGTTCAGAAGCCTCCTTACCTCTTACAGAAATGTATCAGCTCTAGGCAAAAGCTCAAGGTGAAGGGTTGGAATTCCTGGTCTCTGGCCTTGGTCTTGTTGCTTGTGGCCTTTGCATTTTCCTTTGGGGAAACCTCCATTAGCTCATTTACACATTGAAGAAAGTGGGATAGGTGGTTTCTCTGCTCTCCAGCTTCCCAGAAGTTGGGGTGGTGACATAAAAGTTCTTCTGGGTTCTGGCAGGCTTGACTGGGAAGAATTCAGATGCTTCTGCCAGTCTGAATCAGGTCCACATCTCTCCCTTCTTGTTCTCCAGGCCTCATCCATTCTCTTTAGGCCCACTGTCATCCCCTGTTTTCCTCCAGGGCTCCAAGCGCCGCCAGCTCTTGGCCACATTACGGGCCCTAGAGGCAGCATCTCTTTCCCAGCATCCCCCCAGCCTATGTATAAGTGACTCTGAGGAGGAGGAGGAGGAAAGGAAGAAGAAATGCCCCAAAAAGGCATCATTTGCCAGTGCCTCTGCTGAAGTAGGGAAGAAAGGGAAGAAGAAATGTCAAAAACAGGGCCCACCTTGCAGTGACTCTGAGGAAGAAGTAGAAAGGAAGAAGAAATGCCACAAACAGGCTCTTGTTGGCAGTGACTCTGCTGAAGATGAGAAAAGAAAGAGGAAATGCCAGAAACATGCCCCTATAAATTCAGCCCAGCACCTGGACAATGTTGACCAAACAGGTACCATTGGATGTGTATATGTGTGTGTGTTGGTGTGTGTGTGTCGGGGGGTCAGCTGGTTCTACATACAAGAGTGATTATCCACTGCCATTAGGATTGGGGCTAATGGTGTACTCAGGCAATAAGAAGTACTTCTCTGCAGGCCACAGTCACGATCTCAAAGACAGAGGTATGGCTGGGATGACTTGCCGTGACTCCGAATGTAAGAGATCTTGCCTCATGTGCACCTTCCCATCTCCCTCCCTGTAGGTCCCAAAGCCTGGAAGGGTAGTACTACAAATGATCCACCAAAGCAAAGCCCTGGGTCCACTTCCCCTAAACCCCCTCATACATTAAGCCGCAAGCAGTGGCGGAACCGGCAAAAGAACAAGAGAAGATGTAAGAACAAGTTTCAGCCACCTCAGGTGCCAGACCAGGCCCCAGCTGAGGCCCCCACAGAGAAGACAGAGGTGTCTCCTGTTCCCAGGACAGACAGCCATGAGGCTCGGGCAGGGGCTTTGCGAGCCCGCATGGCACAGCGGCTGGATGGGGCCCGATTTCGCTACCTCAATGAACAGTTGTACTCAGGGCCCAGCAGTGCTGCACAGCGTCTCTTCCAGGAAGACCCTGAGGCTTTTCTTCTCTACCACCGCGGCTTCCAGAGCCAAGTGAAGAAGTGGCCACTGCAGCCAGTGGACCGCATCGCCAGGGATCTTCGCCAGCGGTGAATGGGGGTCAGGGACTGTGAGAAGCCATGTGGTGGGTCAGTCATAGGCTCAGATCAGACCAATATGTGACCCTTGCCTTCCACTCTCAGGCCTGCATCCCTAGTGGTGGCTGACTTCGGCTGTGGGGATTGCCGCTTGGCTTCAAGTATCCGGAACCCTGTGCATTGCTTTGACTTGGCTTCTCTGGACCCTAGGGTCACTGTGTGTGACATGGCCCAGGTAAACCCCTATGTTATCTGGCTTGTGCTCTAGGGCCAACCTCCGTATGCTAATCTCTAACCCTTCCTTCCCCTTTCCCATCCTGGTATCTCAGTGCTGGCTTTCTTCTTCTGCACTGTGTGCCTTATACAACACTCTCACTCTCCACAGGTTCCTCTGGAGGATGAGTCTGTGGATGTGGCTGTGTTTTGCCTTTCACTGATGGGAACCAACATCAGGGACTTCCTAGAGGAGGCAAATAGAGTACTGAAGCCAGGGTAAGAGCCCCCAGGACACAGATGCATGTATGTATGTGTGCATGCATGAGTCTGTGCACTTACACAGAACTTTCTGTCTTTCTCAGGGGTCTCCTGAAAGTGGCTGAGGTCAGCAGCCGCTTTGAGGATGTTCGAACCTTTCTGCGGGCTGTGACCAAGCTAGGCTTCAAGATTGTCTCCAAGGTGAGGGCCCCAAGACATCTGTACCTGTTTTTGTCTCATGTGGCCCTATTCAGGGTACTGGTGTTCAGGAAGGAGGCTTTAGGCACAGGAACAGACATTTTGCTCCCCAACGGAAGTGGGAGCCCTGGGAAGCTTTGTGAGCAGAGGCAGTACATAGAGGGAGGTGTTTTAAGGAGTTGGGATGAGGATTTGGTTCTCACTGGGTCTTTTCTGCCCCTAGGACCTGACCAACAGCCATTTCTTCTTGTTTGATTTCCAAAAGACTGGGCCCCCTCTGGTAGGGCCCAAGGCTCAGCTTTCAGGCCTGCAGCTTCAGCCATGTCTCTACAAGCGCAGGTGACCTCTGGATCTTCCTTGAAAGGGGAGGCAGATCTCAAACTCCAGGCTCAGAACTGTGAAGACTGTTTCCAGCCTGGCTGTGAGCCAAGACCTGGTTCCTGGTGGACCCTGAGGACAAAGTGTGATAAAACCTCTGGCTCAGACTTGCTCTACTGAAGGCTTCTTGGTTATAAGATGCATAAAGTCACTGGGGCTAGCTAAACAATAAAGAGTTTATTGTGAGAACATGGGGATATCTGTCTCATGACACTTCAGGTGTTATGAAAACTAGATGGTTTGGAATTCAAGGCATCTTTAGGTTTTGCTCTTCTTTCCAACTAAGAAGCCACATGGCCTTCCTGTCCTGCCATCTCCACTCTGCTGTCATCTGATCTGTCTACAGATCAGCTTCCTCTGCTCACCCATAGCTTCTGCTCCTTCAGCTTCAGTTTGCCCAGGCCTTCAAGGTTGCAGACAGGCAGCTGTTGCTGTTTGACTCTGAGGCAACTGGTTGTCCACCAACATCTTGGCTCAAGACATCAGTCTGAGCCACCAACTTGAGACTGTTTGGTTGTCCCCATACCGAGCATTTCTAGTGGTTTATCTTTCCCCTCTCCCCTCATCTCCATTTTTGGAACCATATAGCATCAAGCCACTCCCAACACCTATTGTCCTGTGGGACTTTGGGATGTATATAGCTGAGAGCACAGATTTTGGAATCAGGTAGACCTGGATTTAATTCTTGGCCTGCTACCCAGAGGCACTTAAAGTCATTTAATCTCTGTATATCACATTCCTCATTTGGAAAATGGTAGAATTTTTGTCTTGCAGGGTGGTTGTGTGGGTTAACTGGAGAAATCTGTAGCCAGGGCTGGGAACATAGGAGGTGCTCAGTAAACTAGCTATGACTATTATGTGTTGTAAGCCTTATTGTTTTTTGAAGATCTTCCCTAGGCTGGTTGGAGGCTGAGGGGTAAAGAATGGATTTGTTGACTAAGGAAGCCTCTGGGAGAGGCTAGACCTTTCAACAGGCCTGCTTCATAGGCTATTTAATGACTTTTAATAGATTCTGAGCTTCTGTCCTTGGAGGGGTAGTGAGGGAGCTGGGTCTCTGTTCATAAACAACTTGTTGATGCCATGTGGGCTTGGGGGCATTGGGCTGTTCATTGGCGGAAGAGTCTGTCCACTATCTCTGCCTTGCAGTGGACTCAGATCAGCATGTCCTGGGAAAGCTATAGGCAAGGTGCTGAGGGAAGGTGAGTTTGAATGATAGATTCTAGGCCTCCCCCAAAAGGTATCTGCCATGTGCCCAGGTATAAAGATATGGCCTCTTGTACTTGTTTCCAGGAATACCTGACAGTACCCATTGGGAGATCATAGGTTCTATGCCCTGAGCCAGTTGGATGCCTCTAATAAGGGGATGGAGGTTTTGAAACAGGCTGTAGTCCAGAGGGCATGTTTGGAGGCTGGGCTGTGAATCATTAGGCAGGCACTACACAGTGCCTCTACACGTACTGTTCTTTCTGCTGGATATTCATCGGACTGGCAGTTTGCTCATCTTTCCGAACAGCCTAGTTGTTTCCTATTCTACTCCCAAAGCAAAATCAGTTCTTCATCTGTACTCTCAAAGTACTATGTGAAGAGTGCTACTTCAGCTTCTAAATATTGCATTGTGATTCCTTTGTGCATTTGGCTGCTGTTTTCTCAAGCCATGTTTATCTTTGTATTCCCGGAGCTTGTCATTTGAGATATAGCCAGTGTACTTATTCACCTAGGGAGAGATAAGGAATGACAGGGTCCAGTTGAGTGGGATAGATGAGAACAGGGGTGTTATAGAAACCCAGGTACTAGGGCACAAGATGAGGGCACTGTTGACTAGTCATGATGGAAGAAGTAGGCAGACAGGAGAACTTCATTAGGTAGAATTGGTGGGATGTTGAGGTTGGTAAGAGAGGAATCTGAAGTAAGTTCCAGGTTGCTCAACTGTGGGTAGGCTGGTGATGCCATTCAAAGTGTTGGATTTTAGGAAGTGGGACATGCGTGAAATCTGTGCTGGGGGTCTGGGAATCAGCAGCCTAGAGGTGGTAATTAAAGTCAGAATAGATGAGATATTCAGGGTAAGATAATGAGAAGAGAAAATGGCTCAGAATAGAACTGAGGAGCATGTCATGGATGGGTAAAGGAAAATGAAGCAGTGAAGGTGATGGAAGAGGAGAAGGTTCACCCAGAGATGTAGGAGTAAAACCAGGAGAGTTAATTTTTTTTTTTTTTTTTTTTTAAGACAGAGTCTTGCTCTGTGGCCCAGGCTGGAATGCGGTGGCGTGATCTCAGGTCACTGAAACCTCTGCCTGCTGGTTCAAGCACTTCTCCTGCCTCAGACTCCCGAGTAGCTGGGAATACAGGCACATGCCACCACGCCCAGCTAATTTTTGTATTTTTAGTAGTGACGGGGTTTCACCATGTTGGCCAGGCTGGTCTCGAACTCCTGACCTCGAGTGATCGGCCTGCCTCGGCCTCCCAAAGTGCTGGGATTACAGGCATGAGCCACTGTGCCCAGCCAGTGTTTTTTTTTTTTTTTTTTTTATGGGAGGATGGGCAGGTTGTTAGCTGTCGAGTGCTATTGAGATGAGAGAGAACTCAGAATGCAGTGGGGTAAGGATTGCTGAGTAATGTGGAGGGCCTGTTTGAGGTAAATGGCAGTGGTAAGAGGTTGCTCCATTATGAAAGCCCTCTTCCAGAGTTCCTGATAGGGCCCCAGAAGTTCATTTCTGATTGCTTTGATTTTTTTTCAGGGGAGCAGGAAGCCAGTTTATCATTTGAGAGTGAGAATAGGGGAGAGGAAATATCTTCCAGGCCCACAGTGCATAGAAATACCCAGTCAGGGCAAAATGATTTATCTGTTTACCTCTCCTCATCACTTGGGCCCAGAGCAATCAGCAGTGATTAGGTAGAGAGGAGCCGAGCAGAGGGAAGAGCATACCAATCACTCCTCCCTTTCCCAGTGCAGGCTCCTAGACTTAGCTGGGGCAGAGCTGGGAGAGGAAAAAGGGATTTAAAACTGCAACAGGTGCAGATTATTGTTACACAGGATTAGACATTCTAATTAATTGAGATTATGTTTGTTCCTTAAACTGATCACAGGACTATCTATTAAGAACATCACAACCTCGCTGCAGCTTTTCTCCATAGCAGGGAGAGTACCTCCCAGTGAATAAAATTTGGAGGGTGGTAAGAGACAAGAATAAAATTGGGTTTGGTTATCCGTGCCTCATGCTTGTTCAGCATCCCTTTGAGAGTTCTCCAAATAAATAGTTACTGCTTCTGCAGTTATTGGTGTGCTCCAGCTTCTGTTCCCATAATATAGTCCAGTCCTAAGGGAACACAGTTCTAAAAGAAACAACATGATCTTGGCAGAGACACCGCTCAGCTCCAAACCCAACCATTTATGTAACTGCACAAAACTCTCTACAGCTTTTCACAGAGACCAGTAATTAGAACCTTTCATCCCCTGGTCATCCTCCTTCCCAGGTGAATTCTCTGACCAGCCATCTGGTTTTAGGATACCCAACTCCTGCAGTAACTGCCTTACTGGTGGTCTAATTGCTTCTACTCGTGTCCCTAAAGCAATTAATTTTCCACACAGCCATGTGATCTTTTTAAAATGTAAATCAGCTTATGTCACTTCTCTGCTTAAAATCCTTCAATGGATTCTCACTGCCTCGAGAACAAAAGACAAACTTTTCAGGCCCCGTGTGATCTTGCCCAGGCCTCCGTCACCATCACCATCTGCATCTTAACCCACTCCTCCCCTTTCACAAAACTCCAGCCACACAGACTTGCTTTTTATTCCTCAAGCTTTCCAAACTGTTTCTACTGAGAGTCTTTGCACATGCTCCATCTTCCTTGAATACTCTTTCCCCAGTGAGCTCATTTTCATCTTCCTGAATTCATACCACTATTACCTTTGCTTCTGTGGAAGAAACTGGCCAGATGCTCACCCAAATGTCCTCTTTCTGGACACAGGTAAACTGCATTTCCCAGCTCCATGCATCTAGGCCTATGTGAGTAGTTCTCAACAGTGGAAAATGAGTGGAAGTGATGTTTCAATACTAGACCAAGGCAGTTAAAGGGTGGCTGAGCCATTTCCATTATTCTCTTCCTCCTTCCTCTTCAAGGTAACCTTGAAGCACATGTTTTGACGGTGATGGAGTCATAGCATAGAAGAAGTCTGAATACCTGAGTTACTATTTAGGGCATAATAGCTACTTGACCAAAAACATCCATATTGGACTTTGAACAAGAAAATAAACTTGATTACATTCTGCTAGTGAGTTTTGAGGGTGTTTTAGCAGTTATCATTATATACACTGGATATATCTTCTATGGTATCCTGTCCACCTTACTCTTGACCACAGTACCCTCTTTGTTTCCTTCAGGGTGTTTCAGATATTTAATTATCTTGCCAGATGCCAGTCAACACTTTCTTTTTGTCCCATGAGTTTAAAATCAGGGGAAAACATGTACTCCCAATAGGAAGTTGAGATACTCTTTTTTTTTTAAATCCGTCATTGTGACTGTGACCGGAAAAACAAATCCCACTAAAGAATGTCCTAAACAGATGTTTTTTTTTGTCATATAACCTGGAGTTAGGTGATTTGGCATTGGTTCTGGAGCTGAAGGATGTTAGGGATGAGGTCTCTGTAGTTTTCTTGTCTCATGGTCACGAAATGAAGTGTTATTGATTAAGCAGGGATGCCCTACTTAGTATTAGACTTCTTGGAAGTCTCCTTAATTGCCACAGCCCCTATCTTTTTGGCTTCGTTTCAAGGGTCCTTCTACATTGTTAATACTCTGGTATAAATACGTTCCATTATTCCCTATAACATGACTGAAACCAATCTAAAGTATTAACATTTTAAATATGTTTTTGGGCCAAGTGCAGTGGCTCTTATCTGTGATCCCAGCTACTAGGAAGGCTGAGGTGGGAGGATTGCTTGAGCCCAGGAATTTCAGGCTGTAGTGAGCTATGATTGTGCCACTGTACTCCGGCCTGGATAACTGAGATCCTGTCTCAATAAATAAATAAAACAATTATATATATGTATAATATATAATATTATATATACATATGTATGTATGATGCTTTTCATCCCCACCCTTTCCCACATCTCAGGAACCTGTCAGCAACTTATCCAGTTTAAAGCTGCTGTTCCTCTACCTCAGTGGTTTGGGAGAACATGGTCATTATTTCACTCATTCTTTACTTCCTGTCTCTTCTAGGATTGGAATGGGGGAGGGCATATTAAACGAAGAAAGTCTCAGCTTACGTGATTAAGGTACCATTGGTGTGTTCTGTGCAGACAGGCATTTAACTGTTGACTCCTTTGTGAGCTCTTGGGGTTCTCTGGAGCTCTCCATGAGGACTGGGGCACTAACTGACTTTGGTTGCCTCTTTTTGATGCACAGCCCACACTGCCCTTCAGCTCTTCAGCCCCTGACCCTGACAATGTACCCACAGCCTCCTCGTGCTAAAGTGCTTCACCCTTGTACGCAGCTCTCCTGGGAATGGTCCCAACAAACCCTCAAGACTGGTTACCTTTCATGGAACCCACAGGAAATGCATGCATATTTGTCCTGCCAAACTGGAAGTGCAGCCCAGCCAGCAGCTTGCTTTTCTCACCCTGCCTTGTCGCAGCCAGCCTGACTCTTACTTATACATCTGAGAAGTGCCAGTCTCTATAATTCACATGGCTCCAAATCCTCATAAGTGGTTCAGGTTATGTTCTCCCAAGAATCCTCCATGCCACATTCCACCCTGGTGGCCAGATGGAGATGGGTCTGTACATTTCTGAGCTTACCAAGTCTCTATCTAGAGAATATAATGCTGAATGAATGTAATGCCTCTCCCTCACATGGGAACACTAAATATCTACAAATGGTTCTATTGGAGCCCTCCTCACTCAGTTTAGAATGAAGGGAGTGCACTACTCCTTTGTCTTGCAGGGAGAAGTTATCCCTATTCCTAAAGATTCCCATCAATGAATCTTTTATTTCTAATCTCACATATAATAGAAAGTGTAGTGGTCTGTGGATCAGCTTTACTATCTTAGAATAAACTTCATGTGGATATATCTAGTACCTTTATTTGGAATGTGTTGGTTCCTATCACCTCTTGTCCTCAGTTTCGGTATGTTATCCAAAGATCTTAGATAACTGAAAAACTCTAATTTAACTTTCTCTTTTATGCAGATATTCTTATTATATGTGGTTTCCTTTTTTGTGTGTGCTTTATTTCTGTGGAGTATTGCCTACAAATCTTGTCTTCTTTTTAAAATCACTCAACTGTGTTTTTAATATTCATTCATGTTATCAGTCAGGACCCAGTCAGGAAAACAGAAACCACACTAAGTATTTCAAGAAGAGGACTTTTAATACAGAGACTTAATTACAAGTATTAGAAGACTGAAAGAGTAGAAAGAAGTTGCTGTTGTAACTAAAAAATTAGTAACTGCAGAAATCAGAATATTCCAAGGCCTGTGAAAACAAAAGGGAAGAGGTGATGTGATTACCAGAAACTAGGAGCTCAGAGAAGGGGCCTTCTTTGACTGATACTGACTTTTATGGGAGAAGCTCCCTCCAGGTATCTTGGTGCTTATACCTCTGAGGAAAGGCATGGCCCTGAGGGTGGGAAAGCAAGGGATGACTGATCTCAGACTGCCAAGTGGGTAGTCAGACTGCTGCAAATATCTCTGAGAAGTGTGGCAAAGCTGATGTTGAGTGCAGAACTAGCTAGTAGAAGCCAGATGTCTGCAGCTGAGATCATGTGACAACTGGAAAACAGGAATGAAGTCTCTCCTATCTTTAAGGGTTCCTTTAGGGTATCCCATTGGCAGACCCTAACAGGAAATTTGGCAATGGGGTCTGGGAAATGTTTGTAGAACCCCAGCTACAGCAACACAGCCAGAATGTGGGGGTGGGGGTGGGTAGAGGAGAGAATTGGGGGAGTTGCAGGGGGAGAGATGGAAAGGCTAGCAGCTGAAAAAAAATAGGTAAATAACCAGTGTATTCCATGTAGCTGTTAATCTAGTTTGTTGCTTCCATCAGCTGCAGGAGTATTCCATAGTATGCATCCACCATAGTAAATTTATCCATTCACCTGGTTGCCTCAAATTCTTTGCTACCTGGAGAAATTAAAACCCTTGAAGCTAGGGTTCTGAGTACAAGATCAGTTCCACCAATTAGATTTCTTCATTTGAGATTTGGGAGGTAAAGGCTGTCTTTCTGCTGTTTTGGTTGTTGCTGCTGGAAAGCAAGTTTATGTACATATTGGGCTTTCTGCAACAGCTTTCCAGCTTTGAAAACCTGCAGCATTCCCATTGAAGCCAAGAACAAAATAAGGATGCCTACTGTAATGGATAAAGTTCAACCTCGGACTGGACATTCAACAGGTAAAATAAATCTACTCTGTAATAGTATAAGTTTGACTACAATAAACTGTGGTTAAGAAGAAAAATTGGCCGGGCATGGTGGCTCATGCCTGCCTGTAATCCCAGCACTGTGGGAGGCCAAGGTGGGCGGATCACAAGGTCAGGAGTTCAAGACCAGCTGACCAACACGGTGAAACCCCATCTCTACTAAAAATACAAAAATTAGCTGAGCTCTGATGGCGCACACCTGTAATCAGGAGGCTAAGGTAAGAGAATTGCTTGACCCCAGGAGGTGGACATTGCAGTGAGCCGAGATCGCAGCACTGTACTCCAGCCTGGGCGATGGAGCAAGACTCAGTCTCAAAAAAAAAAAAGAAAGAAAAATTATTGGAAGGATAGCAATAAGTAATTCACAGAACTGTGAAGTCTGGAGGTGAGGCATGAAACAGATAGGAATCAACAGAGGATGAACCACTGCAAAAACTAAGGTAATATGTTAGAATCAGTCTGGTAAGGATGGCACTGCTGGCACCACTGCTATTGGGCTTTTCTCTTGCTCTTGGTACATAGATTAATGAGAATTCTCAATTAATGAGAATTGAGTTAATCCTCCTCCTAAGTTCATGACACTATGTTAGGATCAGTCCATGAAAGGCCCCCCTCCTGTTCTTTTATTTGTTCCCTTCATTCCTGATTTGCACTTCAGTTCCTCTTGTGTTCCCCCACAGTGCATTCGTTGTATGTCCCTAGACACATATGTGTCTTTGGCAATATATATGGTGGTTTTGGTGTATGTATGTTGTGGCAGAGACTTGCCAGCTGTTTCTAACACCCATTTTCTTCCTGGGAAATCAGCTGGATTGTATTTTCCAGCTTCCCTTATAGTTAAGGGTGGCCATGTGATTGAGTCTAACCAGTTGGATGGTAGTGAAACTAATGTATGTTATTGCCAAACTTGGGTCCTTAAATTTTCTTATGCATAGTCTCTCATATCATAATCAAATTGCTGAGAGCCAAAGATAAAACATGGAAAATAATAGACACATGTACAGAGAACAAGGATATGACTTAAAAGGCAATGTCTCATCAAAAACAATGGAGGACAGATGATACTGGAATGACATATTCAAAGTGCTTAAAAAGGAAAAAATATGTCAAACAATAATTCTATATCAAGCAGTTTTGTTGCCTGGACTCAACATGAAAACAAGATAAACACATCTTGAATGGGGCAGGAAGGAACAAAAACAAGAAATTTATTGCTAACAGACCTGCATTACAAAAAATTAGGTTCTTTGGGCTAAGGAAAAATGGTACCAGATGGTAACTCAGATCCACAGAAAAAAATAAAAAGCACCAGAAATGGCAAATATGTGGACAAATGTAAAATCTCTCTATTTTCTCTTCTTATTTATTTAAAATACATAGAACTATTTAGAAAAAGTATAACACTTATGTATTGGACTTATATATTGATTATATATACATGGCAATAGCTCAGAAGGTGGGGTGGGGTGGGGGAATTTATTGGAGTTATATTGCTGCAAGTTTACCATATTTTACCTGAAACAACTTAGATTATTACCCCTAAGTGGACTGCAATGAGATTTATAGTGTAATCCCACTAAAATATAATGTGAGAGGATTGCCTGAGGCCAGGAGTTTGAGACTAGCCTAGGCAACATAGTGAGAACCTGTCGCTACAAATAATAATAATAATAATCAAAGCTCTCACCTCAATAACCTAGGAAAAAAATAGCAAAATAAATCCAAAGCAAGCAGAAGGAAGGAAATAATAAAGATAAGAACAGAAATCCATGAAATTAGAAACCGAAAAACAATAGAGCAAGCCAATGAAACAAAGGGCTGGTTCTTTGAAAAGATCAATAAAATTACAAACCTCTAGCAAGACTGACAAAGAAAAATAAGAGAAAAGACACAAATTACCAATACCAGAAATTAAATATCACTATAGACTGTACAAACATAAAAAAGTAAGGGAATACTGCAAAACCTCTATGCACATGTTTTTGACAGTTTAGATGAAATGAAACAACTCCTCCAAACACAAAGTGCCACAACTCATGCAATATGAAATAAATAATTGAAGTTGCCCTGTAACAACTCAGGAAATTAAATTTATAATTTAAAAATTCCCAAGAAAAAAAAACTCCAGGCCCTGATTGTTTCACTGGGGAATTTTACCAAATGTTTAAAGAAGAAATAACGCTAATTCTATAAAATCTTTTTCAGAAAATAGAGGAGAACACCCACCAATTCATTTTATGAAGCTAATATTACTCTGACACCAAAACCAGAAAGAGATGTTATAAACAAAGAAAACTACAGACCAATATCTTTGATTAATATAGACACAAAGTTCTTAGCAAAATTGAATGCAACAATATGTAAAAAAGAATTATACATTAAAACGAAGTGGTGTTTATTCTAGGGATGGTTCAATAATAGAAAATAAATCAATGTAATCCATCATATTTTAAGGCTAAAGAAGAAAAAATTACAGAATTATATCAATAGGTGCAGGAAAAAGTACTTAACAAAATATAATACCCATTTATGATAAAAACTCTCAGAAAACTAGGAATAGAGGAAAACTTTTTTAACTCCATAAAGACCATCTATAAAAATACATACAGCTATTATTACACTTAATGGTGAAAAACCAGATGCCTCTCCATTAAGATTAAAGAGAAGGCAAGGATTTTCACACTCATCACTCTTATTGAGTTTAATATAGTGCTAGAAGTTCTAGCCGGTGCAATAAGGCAAGAAAGAAATAAAAGGTATATAAATTAGAAAAGAAGAACTAAGCTGTCCCTATTTGCAGATGACATGTTTGTCTACATAGAAAATCCCAAGGAATCTACAGAAAATTTTTAGAATTAATAAGTCAGCTGCGTGCGGCAGCTCACGCCTGTAATCCCAGCACTTTGGGAGGCCGAGGTGGGCAGATCACAAGGTCAAGAGATCGAGACCATCCTGGCCAACATGGTGAAACCCCATCTCTACCAAAAATACAAAAATTAACCAGGCGTGGTGGCGTGCACCTGTGGTTCCAGCTACTCAGGAGGCTAAGGCAGGAGAATCGCTTGAACCTGGGAGGCGGAGGTTGCGGTGAGCCGAGATCAAACCATTGCACTCCAGCCTGGGCAATGAGAGCAAAACTCAGTCTCAAACAAACAAACAAAAATAAGTCAGTTCAGCAAGATTGCAAAATACAAAATGAACATAAAATACAAAATACACTATTTCTATATACTAGAAATGCACACATAAAAATAAAATTCCATTTACACTCAAAAAAATACTTGCTGTAAATCTAACAAAACATGTATAGAACTTCTATGCTGAAAACTATACAACACTGATGAAAGAAAAGATCTAAACAGAGAGAAACAAAGATCTACATAGAAAACAAAGATCTAAATCCATGTATATGGATTGTAAAACTCAACATAGTAAAGATACCAGTTATCCTCACATAGATAAAGAAGTCTAACAATTCCTATCATAATCCCAGCCAAGATTTTTTGGAGACAAAGAAAAGATTATTCTAAAATTTATATGGAAAGGTAAGGGAATCAGATAGCTAAGATTTTGAAAAATAAGAATAAAGGGAGGACTGAATCTACCCAATTGTAAGACTTACTGTAGTTACGGTAATCAAGATTGTGTAGTATTGGTGGAAGGAAAGAGATAGATACCTAAATCAATAGAATAAGATAGAGAACTCAGAAATAAAGCCACGCAAATATGTCCAACTTATTCCTTTGTTTTTGACACAGGAGATTCTATAACTTTTAATTAATCAACTGAACTGAATGGGTACACATTTATTAAAGCATTTTAAAAGACTAGAACAATAATCATGTCATAATCTACAAATATGAATGTTGTTTTTAGAATGGCTGCTCCATATCCCTTTATTTGGATATATTATAATCTAACTAGTACTGTATTATTGGATATTTGTTTTCTCTGATTTTTGTAAATGTTCATGTTCTCTGCAATCAACATCCTCTATATATACATGTTTAACGACTTTTTAAAAATCAATTCTTTAGGGAAAATAATCTTATAGGGGGATTTACTAGGTCAAGGGCAATGTACAATTTAAAAGTTTTTTTTATATGTGTTGCTAAATTGCCTTCCAGACTTATTGAACAGATTTAAATTCTCATCAGCAGTGTCTGAGATTGTCATGGGAAAACTTTTCAATGAAGTAACCCCAATTGATCTATAGCACTTTCGGTTGCTGAGAATGTCTAATAAAAGCAAAAGAACAAATGAAACAAACTATTTCCCAATGCAGTGCTTCATAACCTGGATGCACCCATTTCCTATTCCTTATGTTATTCCTTACTTCTTCCAATGTCTACTTTCTTTTTAATTTTTATGAGTATGTAGTACGTGAATATATTTATGGGGTACATGAGATATTTTATTACAGACATACAATGCATAGTAATCACATCAGGGTAGATGGAGTATCCATCACACCAAGCATTTATCCTTTTTTCTTTGTATTACAAACATTCCAATCATACTCCTTTAGTTATTTTAAAATGTACAATAAATTTTTGTTGACTGTAATCACCCTGTTGTGCTATCAAATACTAGATCTTATCATTCTAACTATGAATATATTTTTGTACCCATTATCCTCATTTGTCTGCCCACCTCCCACACTGACCACCACTATCTTTCCCATTTTTCTACTCTTTATCTCCATGAGTTCAATTGTTTTAATTTTTAGCTCCCGCAAATGAGCGAGACCATATGTTACGGGGTCTTTGGGGTGTTGTTTTTCTGTCCAGAAACCTTTGTGGCCGGTAGCTTCTTTGCCCAAGTTTTGCTCGGGCCCGCTGGGCTCATTTCACCCACTCAGCCTGGCAGGCTGTGCTTGGCTCACTCTACTGGCCTGGGTCCCATGCCTGCCAAGAGCAAGTCAGGCATGGAATGGCAAGGAGAGTGTGAGCAAACACAGGGTCTGGCTACTGCACACAGTTGGGCATGCTGGCTGCTGCAGCAAGGCGAGCAGCTCCAGTTGCCAGCACAGGTGCCAGCTCTCTGCGAGTCTGCAGCCAGACCAGGTGCATGGCAAGCAGCTTCCACGGCTGGCACCAGGGAACACATTGGTGCCCATAAACTTGGAGACACCAGGAATTGCAGGGTCCCAGAGAGGGGGTCACAGCCCTGGCTTGGGGAGCTCCCAGATCTGGGCTCTTTGAAGGGCTGCAGCTCTTCTTTCCTTCTCTTTGCCCCCAATGTGGTGGGCAAGGGGCATGTCTCAGCACTGTTTGTGTTACAGCTCTTTTAGCCTCGCCCTTTGGTGGGTCCCGAGTTTTTGTCCTGCGACCAGGAAGAATGAGGTATGCAGACAAGTGGAGAGCGAGCAAGACAAAGGGGAGGTTTATTGAGCAATAGAACAGCTCAGAAGAACCCCGCAGGGGGCAGCTCCTTTCTGTAGCCAGGGTATCCCAACAAGTATTCAGCTCCTAGCAGAGAGGGTAGCTCCTCTCCACTAGGCCACTCATCCCAACAAATGTTCAGCTCTCAGCAGAGAGGTGCCCCCCAATTGGTCCATGGCGGCCATGGCTGGCTGGGAAAAGTGCCACGAGTTCCCACTCCTGTCAGTGGTACTGGAAACCCAGACCCCAGCCTTCAGGCCCTCCCTGGCCTGAAGGTGGGGCCTCACCCAAGACCTACCCCCTTATGCCAGGAACCTGTCTGCCTCCTCTCAGCCCCTCCCTCAGCTTCCCTCCTATGCTCATTGGTGCCCAAAGCCCAGAGGGAGCCGAGGCAGCAGGAGGCTGGCGTGGCAGCCCTGCCCTGAGCATGTGCACACCCGGCCGGGCCATGACATAACAATGCCTGGGCTCGGCCCCGACTGTGCTGTGAGATCGGAGAAGTGCCGACAGCAGGGAGAAGCCACGCATGGAGACCAGGGCTCCCGCCTGCTCTTTGTAGCGGGAGGCCCAGATCTATAGCCTTGGTTTGAGTGGCTGCAGCTGTGCCCAGGAGGGCGGGGCTCCCGCCTGCTCCTGGTCCCGAGAGCACAGGGATGCCTGGGTCCACAGCTGTGCAACAGCACCAGGGGAGCTTCCGCCGGCTCCATGGAGCATGCAGCCCTGGCTGTGCCTCCCTGTGCAGCCAGAGGGATGGCAGCGGCCGCTCCAGACGGCCTGCCGCTGCCATCACGTGCAAAGTTTGTCTTTCTGTGCCTGGCTTATATCACTTAATATCTGTCCTCCAGTTCCATCCATGTTGTTGCAAGTGACAGGATCTCATTCTTTCCTATAGCTGAATATAGTATTTCAATCTGTATATGTGCCACATTTTCTTTATCTATTCGTCTGTTGATGGACACTTAGGTTGCTTCTGTATCTTGGCTATTGTAAATAGTGCTGCAATAAACAGGGGAGTGTAGATACCTTTTCTATATACTGATTTGTCTTTTTTGGGGAGAGGAGTATATACCTAGCAGTGAGATTTCTGGATCATATGGTAGTTCTTTATTCAGTTTTTTGTGGAACCTCCATACTGTTCTCCACAATGCTTGTATTAATTAACATTCCCCCCAACACTGTACAAAAGTTTATTTTCTCCCCATCGTCACCAGCATTCATTACTGCCTGTCTTTTGGATAAAAGCCATTTTAACTGAGGTGAGATGATATCTCATTGTAGTTTTGATTTGCATTTATCTGATGATTAATGATGCTGAACACCTTTTCATTTACCTGTTTGCCATTTGTATCTCTTCTTTTGAGAAATGTCTATTAAGATTTTTTGCCTGTTTTTAAAATCAGATTATTAGATTTTTTCTTCTTTTAAAAATTTTCTTTTTGAGATGGAATCTCTATCATCCAGGCCTGAGTGCAGTAGCGCGATCTCAGCCCACTGCAGCCTCCACTTCTTAGGTTCAAGCGATTCTCATGCCTCAGCCTGCCTAGTAGCTGGGATTACAGGTGTGCACCACCATGCCTGGATAATTTTTGTATTTTTTTTAGTAGAGATGAGGTTTCACCATGTTGGCCAGGCTAGGTCTCAAACTCCTGACCTCAGGTGATCTGCCTGCCTCAGCCTCCCAAAGTGCTGGGATTACAGGTGTAAGCCACCATGCCTAGCCTAGATTTTTCTTTTTTTTGGAGGGGGTTGGGGGGTACAGAATCTTCCTCTTGTCACCCAGGCTGGAGTGCAGTGGCACAATCTTGGCTCACTGCAACCCCCACCTCTCAGGTTCAAGCGATTCTCCTACCTCAGACTCCCAAGTAGCTAGGATTACAGGCACCTGCCACCACGCCCAGCTAGTTTTTGTATTTTTAGTAGAGATGGGGTTTCACCATGTTGGCCAGGTTGGTCTCGAACTCCTGACCTCGAGCAGTCCACCTGCCTCAGCCTCCCAAAGTGCTAGGATTACAGGTGTGAGCCACTGCACCTGGCCAATTTTTTTTCTTATAGAGTTAGTTGTTTGAGCTCCTTATGTATTCTGATTATTAATCCTTTGTCAGATGGATAGTTTGCAAATATTTTTTCCCATTCCGTGGTTTGTCTTTTCACTTTGTTGATTGTTTCTTTTACTGTGCAGAAGCTTTTTAACTTGATGTGATCCCATTTGTCCATTTTTGCTTTGATTGCTTGTGCTTTTGGGGTATTACTCAAGAAATCTTTGCCAAGATCAATGTCTTGGAGGGTTTCCCCAAGGTTTTCTTTCATTAGTTTCATAGTTTGAGGTCTCAGATCTAAGTCTTTAATCTATTTTGATTTGATTTTTATATATGGCAAGAGAGAGGAGCCTAGTTTGATTCTTTTGCATATGTATATCCTATTTTCCCAGCACCATTTATTGAAGAGACCGTCCTTTCCCCAACGTATGTTCTTGGCACTTTTGTCAAAAATGAGTTTACTGTAGATGTATGGATTTATTTCTGGGTTCTGTATGCTGTTCCATTGGTCTATGTGTCTGTTTTTTTGGCAGTACCATGCTGTTTTGGTTATTATAGCTCTGTAGTATAATCTGAAGACAGGTAATATGATTCCTTCAGTTTTGTTCTTTTGCTCAGGATGGCTTTGTCTCTTCTGGGTCTTTTGTGCTTCTATATGAATTTTAAGATTATTTTTTCGATTTCTGTGAAGAATGTCACTGGTATTTCGATAGGGATTGCAGTGAATCTGTAGATTGCTTTGGATAGTACGGACATTTTAACAATATCAGTTCTTCCAATCCATGAACATGGAATATCTATCAATTTTTTGTCTGTGTCCTCTTCAGTTTCTTGCATCAATGTTTTATAGTTTTCATTATAGAGGTCTCTCACTTGTTTGGTTAAGTTTATTCCTAGGTATCTTATTTTATTTGTTGCTATTGTAAATGGGATTACTTTCTTGATTTCTTTATCAGATTGTTTGTTGTTGGCATATAGAAATGCTACTGATTTTTGTATGTTGATTTTACATTCTGCAATTTTACTGAATTTGTTTATCAGTTCTAATAGCTTTTGGTGGAGCCTTTAGGTTTTTCCAAATAAAAGATAATATAATCTGCAAATATGGATAATTTGGCTTCTTCCTTTCCAACTTGGATGCCATTTATTTTTTTTTCTCCTGTCTGATTACTCTAGGTAGGACTTCTATTACTATGTTGAATGACAGTAGTGAAAATGGGCATCCCTGTCTAGTTCCAGATCTTAGAGGAAAAGTTTTCAGTTTTTCCCCATTCAGTATATTAGCTGTGGGCCTGTAATATATGGCTTTTATTATGTTGAGGTATGTTCCTTCTATACCCAGTTTTTGGAGGGCTTTTTTAAATCATAAAAGGATGTTGAGTGTTATCAAATGTTTTAAAAGCATCAATTAAAATGATCATATGGTTTTTGGTCTTCATTCTGTTGATATGATACATCACATTGATTGATTTGCATATGTTGAACCATCCTTGCATTCCTGGGATAAATCCCTCTTGGCCATGATGAATGATCTTTTTAATGGGGTGTTGAATTAGGTTTCCTAGTATTTTATTGAGGATTTTTGCATAAATGTTCATCAGTGATATAGTTTCCTTTTTTTGATGTGTCTTTGTCTGGTTTTGCTATCAGGGTAACGCTGGCTCACAGAATGAGTTTCAAAGTACTCCCTCCTCTATTTTTTTTTTTTGAATAGTCTGAGTAGGGTTCATATTAGTTCTTTAAATGTATCATAAAATTAGTCAGTGCAGCTGTTGGGTCCTGTGCTTTTCTTAGCTGGAAGACTTTTTTATTATGGCTTTGATCTCATTACTTGTTATTGGTCTATTTAGGTTTTGGATTTCTTCATGGTTTAATCTTAGTAAGTTGCATATGTCTAGGAATTTATGTCTTCCAGCTTTTCCAGTTTATTGGCATTTAGTTGCTCATAGTCTCTGATGATCCTTTGAATTTCTGTGGTATCAGTTGTAATGACTCCTTTTTCATCTGATTTTGTTTGGGTCTTCTCTCTTTTATTCTTAGTCTGGCTAAAGGTTTGTTGACTTTATCTTTTCAAAAAACCTGTTCATTTTATTGATCCTTTGTATTTTTAAAAATTGAATCTCACTTATTTCTGCTTGATATTTGTTATGTCTTCTTTTAATTTTCCGTTTGGTTTGCTTTTGCTTTTCTAGTTCTTGAAGATGCATCATTAGGTTGTTCATTTGAAGTTTTTCTACTTTTTTGATTAGGTGCTTATTGCTATAAACTTTCCTCAGTACTGCTTTTGTTATATCCCGTAGATTTTGGTCTGTCGTATTTCCATTTTCATTTGTTTCAAATATTTTTAAATTTTTTTTCTTATTTGTTGATCCACTGGCCATTAAGCATATTATTTAATTTCCATGTGTTCATATAGTTTCCAAAGTTCCTCCTATTATTGATTTTATTCCATTGTGGTCAAGGAAGATACTTGATATTTTTCACATATTTTTGAAATGTTTAAGGCTTGTTTTATGGCCTAATATATGGTTTATCATTGAAAATAACACGTGTTGAGGGGAAGAATATAATATGTATCCTTCAGCCATTGGATGAAATGTTCTGTAAATATCTGTAAGATCCATTTACTCTATAGTGCAGATTAAATCTGACATTTCTTTGTTGATTTTCTGTCTGGATGACCTGTCTAATGCTGAAAGTGGGGTAATTAAGTCTTCAGCTGTTATTGTATTGGGGCCTATCTCTCTCTTTAGTTCTAAAGATATTTGCTTTATATATCTGGGTGCTCCAGTGTTGGGTGCATATATGTTTACAATTATTATATCCTCTTGCTGAATTTACCCCTTTATCATTATGTAATGACCTTCTTTGTCTTGAAATCTGTTTTGTCTGATGCAAATATAGCTACTCCTGCTCTTTTTTGGTTTCAATTTGCATTGAATATCATTTTGTATTTGTTTATTTTTAGTCTATGTGTGTCTTTATAGGTGAAGGGTGTTTCTTACAGGAAAAAGATTATTGGGTCTTGTTTTTTCATCTGTTCAGCCATTCTATATCTTTTGATTGGAGATTTTAGTGCATTTACATTCAATGTTATTATTGATAAGTAAGGACTTACTCCTGTCATTTTGTTATTTGTTTTCTGGTTGTTTTGTGATCCTTTCTTCCATCTGTCCATCCATCTTCCTTTTTGTGAAGGTGATTTTCCCGGGTGGTATTTTTTTTCTTTTTTTTTTTTTTTTTGAGACGGAATTTCACTCTTGTTGCCCAGGCTGGAGTGCAATGGCACGATCTCGGTTCACTGCAACCACTGCCTCCCAGGCTCAAGCGATTCTCCTGTGTCAACCTCCCAAGTAGCTGAGATTACAGGTGCATGCCACCATGCCCAGCTAATTTTGTATCTTTAGTAGAGACGGGGTTTCACCATGTGGGCCAGGCTGGTCTTGAACTCCTGACCTCAGTGATTCACCCACTTCAGCCTCCCAAAGTCCTGGAATTACAGGCGTGAACCACTGTGCCTGGCTTTTAAATTTTTTTTCTTTTGTTTCCTCTGTGTATTTTCAAATAGCCTATCTTCAAGCTCACTAATTCTTTCTACTGCTTGATCCATTCTGCTGTTGAAAGACTCCATTGCATTCTTCAGTATGTCAATAGAATTTTTCAGCTCCAGGATTTCTGCTTGATCCTTTTAAATTATTTTACTCTCTTTGTTAAATTTATCTGATAGGGTTCTGAATTCCTTCTTTGTGTTATCTTGAATTTTTTTTTTTAGCTTTCTCAAAACAAGCTGTTTTGAATTCTCTGTCCAAAAGGTCACACATCTCTGTTACTCCAGGATTTGTCACTAGTGCCTTATTTACTTTGTTCAGTGATGCCATGTTTTCCTGGATGGTCTTGATGCTTATGGATGTCCATCAGTGTCTGGGCATTGAAGAATTAGGTATTTGTACTCTTTGCAGTCTGGGTTTATTTATAACCATCCTTCTTTGGAATGCAATCCAAATATTCAAAGAGAATTTAGTGTTGTGATCTAAGTCTTTGGTCACTGCAGCCATATCTGCATTAGTGAGAACCCCCAGCCCAGTAATTGCTGTGGCTCTTGTAGATTCATAGAGGTAGCACTTTGATGGTGTTGGGTAAGATTCATGAGCATTCCCTTGATTATGAGGCAGAGACTCTTGTTCTCTTCTCTTAATTTCCCCCAAACAAACAAAGTCTGTCTGTCTGTGCTGAGCTGCTTGGAGCTGGAGAAGAGGTGACACAAGCACCCCTATAGCCACCATCACTGTGATTATGCTGGGTTACACCTGAAGCCAGCACAGCACTGGGTCTTGCCCAAGGCCTGTAGTGACTACTGCCTGGTTACCGCTGATGTTCCCTCAAGGCCCAAGGTCTCTACAGTCAGCAGGTGGTGCATCTAGCCAGGCTTGTTGCCTTCCCTTCAGGGTAGCAAGCTACCCCTCAGTCCAGAAATACCATCCAATAGCTGGGGCCTGAAGTCAGGAACCTTAGTAATATACTTGGTGGCCTATTCTACTGTGGCTGAGCTGGCACACAAGCCGTAAGACAAGTCCTTCCCACTCTTTCCTTTCCTTTCCTGAAGCAGAAGGACCCTCTCCCTATGGCCACCACTACTTCAAGCCTGCAGCAAGTATTGCGTGGCTAACACCGTTGTTCATTCAAGGTCCAATGGCTCTTCAGTCAGCTTGTGGTGAATGCTGCTAAGCCTGGATGTCTCCCTGCAGGGCAATAGACTCCCCTCTGGTCCAGGGCAGGTCAAGAAATGCACCCAGGAACCAAGGCCTGGAATCAGGAACCCCAGGGAGCCCACTTAGTACTCTACCTCACCTTGGCCAAGCTGTACCCAAGTCGCAAGACAAAGTCCCCATTATTCTTCCCTCTCCTTTCTTCAAGCAGTAGGAGTATCTCCCCATGGCCACCACAGCTAGGAATGTGTTGGGTCACCCCTGAAGCCCTCACAGCACTGGGTCTCACTGCAGGCCCCTGGGTAAGTACTGCCTGACAACCACTGAGGTTTATTCAAGGCCCAAGAGCTCTTTAGTCAGCAGGTGATGAATCCTTCCAGGACTGAGTCCTTCCCATGAAGGACGTGGGTTCCCTTCTGGCCCAGGGTGTGTCTATCTTGTAGAAGATAGGACCTGAAATGGGGGTCTCAGGACTCCTGCTCGTGCTCTGTTCTACTGTGGCTGAGCTAGTGTTCAAGTTGCAAAACAGAGTTCTCTTTACTTTCCCCTCTCCTCTCCTTAAGTGGAAGGAAAGAGTCTCTCCCAGAGCTGCAAACTGCACTGCCTGTGGTTGGGGGACAGGTAATGCAAGCAGTCCTTTGGTTGCCTCAGCTGGTGTCTCACTAGGTCATGTACACCCCAAGTCCACTGGCTCCAAGCCCAGCACAGCACCAGTACTTGCCCAGAAATTGCAGTCCCTGTGGCCTAGACTGCCTTTCAAGTTTATTTAGGACACCAGGGCACTTTAGCCTATGGTCATGGGGCTTGCCAGAACTCAGGTTCCAGCCACCGGAATGGACATTTCCCCTCTGGCTGGGGCTGGTCTAAATTCTCCCTTCGTGGGCACTGGCTGGATTCTGTTTTTGCTGTTTTCCACCCAGATAGGCAGCACTGAGTTCCAATGCAAAGTCCCACAATCACTCTGCTCTCCTTCCAGCAAGTGCACAGATTCTCTCTGTGTGCCACCTGGCCACAGAAAAATAAATAGAAATAATGAAAATACAACAAAGCAAAAGTTGTGAGATGCAGCTAAATAAATGTTAGAGAGTGATGTATAGCTTTCAATGCTTATATGGGAAATAAGAAACACCTAAAATCGGCCAGGCACGGTGGCTCATGCCTGTAATCCCAGCACTTTGGGAGGCCAAGGTGGGTGGATCACCTGAGGTCAGGAGTTTGAGGCCAGCCTAGCCAACATGGTGAAACCCCATCTCTGCTAAAAATACAAAAATTAGCTGGGCGTGGTGGCACGCACCTGTAATTCCAGCTACTCGGGAGGTTGAGGCAGGAGAATCGCTTGAACCCGGGAGGTGGAGGTTGCAGTGAGCCCAGATCGTGCCACTGCACTCCAGCTTAGGTGACAGAGAGAGACTCTGACTCTGTATTAAAAAAAAAAACAAAACTCGAAAAAACCCTAAAATAAATAATCTAAGTTTCCACATTAAGAAGCTAGAAAAAGAGAAAATTAAAACAAAAATAAGTAAAAGAAAGGAAATTTAAAAAGATAAAAGTTGAAAGTGATAAAATAGAAACTGGAGAACCAATAGAGAAAATCAATGAAACACAAAGCTAATTCTCTGAAAGGATCAATAGAATTGACAAATCTTTTATTTAGACTGATCAAAAATACGAAGACTGAAAATATGAATGAAAGCAGGGACATCCCTATAGATCCTACAGACATTAAAAGGATAATAAGGGACTATTATGAACAACTTATACCAGTAACTTCAAAAACTTACGTTCTATCTAAGATAAAATTTTTGAAAATACCACAATGGACTCAGAAAGAAGTGGAAAATCTGATAGCCTTGTATCTACTAAAGAAATAGAATTTGTCATTAAAAACCTCTCTCTCTCTCTCACACACACACACACACACACACACACACACACACACACACACACATCAAAACAAAAAAACTCCAGGCCCAGATGGCTTTACTGTCAAATTCTATCAACCTTTTAAGAAATATCACTCCTACATAAACTCTTAGAAAGTACAGTAGGAGAGAACACTTCCCAAATCTCTTCCTCCCTCCCTCCCTCCCTCCCTCCCTTCCTTCCTTCCTTCCTTCACTTTCTCTTTCTCTCTCTTTCCTTTTTTTTTTTTTTTTTTTTTTTTGGGGACATAGTCTTACCTTGTCACCAAGTTTGGAGTGCAGTGGTGAAGTAGTGTAATCACAGTTTACTGCAGCCTCCACCCCCTGGGCTCAAGCAATTATCCCACCTCAGCCTCCTGTGTAGCTGAGACCACAGGTGTACACTACCACACCGAGCTAATTTTTCAAATTTTTTACAGAGAGAGATTCTGTCTATGGTGTCCAGGCTGGTCTTGAACTCCTGGGCTCAAGCTATCCTCCCACCTCAGCCTCTCAAAGTCTCAGCTCATTTTGTGTGTGACCATCTGAGACATAAACCTGAAAGTGGAATTGGTAGAACAGAGTATACTTAATTTTACTAAGTGCTGTCAGATTGCTCCCCAGAGTAACTACACCAGTTTCCGCATCTGCCAACAATGCTTGAGGATTCTTGTTTTCCGCTATCTCACTAAATCTTGGTATGACAGAGGCAACAGAATGCTGTAGAGATCATGGATTCTGGAGACAAATGCCTGGGTTCCAAAACAGGTTCTACCATTTTCTGGCCGTGTGACCTTGGGCAGTTTACTGAATGTGTGTCTCAGTTTCCTCATCTATAAAATGGAATAATAATAGTACCTATTTTACAGATACTAGGGCTTCATAAGCATTAGTGTATGAAACTGTCATTTTTTAATATTTCAGACATTTCCCCCATTTATCCTGTTCTGAATATAAATTTCAAATTAGACTGTAAAGCTGCAAAACTAAATGAGTTTTTAGGTGAGCTGCAGAGTGCTAGTCAGATTTTTTTCGTTTTTGGATTATTAGTCTATGTAGTATACAGAGCAGGATCACAATTTTTCTTACAAAGTTGGATACATAAATAAAATGTAGCTTTTTTCTCAATTACTGATCTGATTTTCCTCACAAATCTTACTCCTTCCTCTTCACTGGGTAGTGGAAGAGGCTGGAAATAAATTTGGTTTCATTTCATTAGGTTTCATTTATTCTCTTTGAAATAAATGCTCAGAATTTTAAATTCCTCCCATTCTAATGCTGCTCCTCTCTAAAGTGGCATCTGGGTATAGAGAGGAGGGCTTATGTGACCTTTTGATGTTAGACTGAAGGGATCCTCAAGCCTAACACTGGCTTTGGTTGTGCACAAGTTGGAATCCTCTGGGTAGTTGGCTCAGTTTCATACCTGGGCATTCTGCCAACATTTGCCTCTAAAGCTGATGAATTTGTGGTCTTGTGCCCCCTGTTCCTCCCCACTCCCCCCAGTTTGGCCCTCTCTCAACAACTCTCTTTGGTGCTGGAAACCCCAGTGATTCTCTGCCGCATACTCCTGTGGGCCTAAAGCCTCTCTAGTCAGTATCTACGCCATATAGGGATTAAGAGACACCTCTTCCTGACCATGCTGCTCTGCTCTCTTAATGCTGTTGGGACCACAGTTAGTCCATCCGTGCTACAGAACAGCTTCCTTCCACAGTTCCAGTAGGGAAAAGGCAAAAGCCTCTTTGCCCTTGGCGCTGCTGCTTCCTTCTCTGAGGCTTCGCAGCCCCAGGTCAGGTTGATTACATCATATTCTTCCCTTTCTTGTCTCTACTCCATTTACCCCCGTTCATCAGAATGGGAAGAGACATATTTCTCCCCTTTGTCAAGCCTCTTACTTCTTCCTTCCTTTCATTGTTTGGGATTTTAACTTCCTAATGGGATTTTAATTGCTCTAGTAGAACTTAATAGTGCAATTATCAAATCTGGAACATTTTTACATAGCAGTCATTGTATTTGGGCTATGCTGTCATATGGAACTCATTTAATAATCTCTACTAGACAAAGTTTAACAACTTGGCTGGGCATAATTCAAGAATGACTTCAGTCTAGAAAATGGCATGGATATGTAGAAAATATTCTAACCAATTTCAGATGGTTTTACAGATATCTCACTATTGTTCCCTGCTCCCACTGGAGGACAAATAGTGGTAATGGTAAACATAGACAGATGGTTCATTTTTCCAAAAGGACTTCTTTTAATACTCTACTTATCTCCTTTCCTGAAGGCACAGCCATGCACCCTAGTTGACTGTAGAAAAGGGCTCTGAGGAAAGTGGGAGTTTTTGCCTCTCTGCTCAGCCTTTTGTTAAAGAACATCAGTTGCACCACACTCACTGGTGAGTTACCATTTTGAAGAGGTTGTGAAGAGTGATGCTCAGTACAGGCACACCTCATTTTATTTTTTGCTGTGCTTTATTGCACATCATAGTGTGTTTTATAAAAATTGAAGATTTGTGGCAACCCCGTTTTGAGCTAGTCTATCAGCACTATTTTCCCAATAGCATGTGCTTACTTTTTGTCTCTGTGCCACATTTTGATAATTCTTACAGTATTTCAAACCTTTGCATTATTATTATATCAGTGTGATCAGTGATCTTTGATGTTGGTATTGTAATCATTTGGGGGCACCACAGGCTGCACTCACATGAGATGGCAAACTTAATCGATAAATGTCGTGTGTGTTTTGACTGCTTCACTGACCGCCTGTTCCCCCATCTCTCTCCCTCTTGTTGGGCCTCCCTGCTCCCTGAGACAAACAATATAGAAATTAGTCCAATTAATAATCCAACAGTGGCTTCTAGGTGTTCAAGTGAAAGGAAGAGTTGCATGTCTCTCACTTTAAATCAAAAGCTAAAAATGACTAAGCTCGGTGAGGGAGGCAGGTCAAAAGCCACGGTAAGCTACAAACTAGGTTTCTTGTGCCAGTTAGCCAAGTTGTGAATGCAAGGAAAAAGTTCTTGAAGGAAATTAAAAGTGCAATTCCTGTGAACATGTGACTGATAAAGCAAAACACAGCCTTACTGCTGATATGGAGGAAGTTTTAGTGATCTGGATAGCAGATCAAACCAGCCACAACATTCCCTTAAGCCAAAGCCTAATCCAGGACAAGGCCCTAATTCTCTTCAATTCTATGAAGGCTGAGAGAGGCAAGGAAGCTGCAGAATAAAAGTCTGAAGTTTGCAGAGATTGGTTCATGAAGTTTAAGGAAAGCCATTTCCATAACATAAAACTGCAAGGTGAAACAGCAAGTGCTAATGTGGAAGCTGCAGTGAATTGATGAAGGTGGCTACACCAAACAACAGATTTTCCATGTAGATGAAACACCCTTCTGTTGGAAGGAGATGGCATCTAGGACTTACTGTAGCTAGAGAAGAGAAGACAATGCCTGGCATCAAAGCTTCAAAGGACAGGCTGACCACCTGTTAGGGGCCAGTGTAGCTGGTGACTTTAAGTTGAAGCCAATGCTCATTTAACATTCCGAAAATCCTAGGGCCCTTAAGAATTATGCTAAATCTGCTATGTCTGTGCTGTCTTAATGGAACAACAAAGCCTGTATGACGGTACATCGGTTTACAGCATGGTTTACTGACTATCTTAAGCCTACTGTTAAGACCTACTGCTCAGAACAAAAAGATTCTTTTAAAGATTTTGCTGCTCATTGGCAATACACCGAAGAGCTCTGATGGACATGTACAAGGAGATGAATGTTGTTTTCATGCCGGCTATCACAACATCTATTGTGCAGCTCATGGATCAGAGAGTAATTTTGACTTTCAGATCTTATTAAGAAATACATTTGTAAGGCTATTGCTGCTATAGTCTTATAGTGTTATTAAGAAATTCATTTTGTAAAGAAATGAAAATTTAAAAAAAGAAATACATTTTGTGAGACTATTGCTGCTATAGGAACCACTATAGATAGTGATTCCTCCAATGGATCTGGGCAAAGTAAATTGAAAACCTTCTGGAAAGGATTCACCATTCTAGATGCCATTAAGAACATTTTTGATTCATGATAGGAGGTCAAAATATCAATATTAACAGGAGTTTGGAAGAAGTTGATTCAACTCTCATGGATGATTTTGAGGAGTTCAAGACTTCATTGGAGGAAGTAACTGCAGATGTGGTGGAAGCAGCAAGAGAATTAGAATAAGAAGTGGAGCCTGAAGATATGACTGAGTTACTGTAATCTCATGATAAAACTTTAATGGGTGAGCAGTTGCTCTTATGGATCAGCAAAGAAAGTGGTTTCTTGAGATGGAATCTATATTTCTGATGCTGTGAACATTGTTGAAATGACAACAAATGATTTAGAATATTACATAAACTTAGTTAATAAAGGAACAGCAGGGTTTGAGAGGATTAACTCCAATTTTGAAATAAGTTCTGTAGGTAAAATGCTGTAAAACACCATCACATGCCACAGACAAATTCTTCATGAAAATATGAGTCCATTGATATGGACTCGTATTCACTGTTGTTTTATTTTAAGAAATTGCCACAACCTTCAGCAGTCACCACCCTGATCAGCAGCTATCAATATTAAGGCAAAAAAGATTACTAGCAAAAAGATTACTATTTGCTGAAGGCTCAGATGATTATTAGCATTTTTAGCAATAAAGTATTTTTAAACTAAGGTATGCAATTTTTTTTTTTTTTTTTTTTTTAGACAGGGTCTTGCTCTGTCACCCAGGCTGGAGTACAGTGGCACAATCTCGGCTCGCTGCAACCTCCACCTCCTGGGTTCAAGAGATTCTTCTGCTGCCTCAGTCTCCTGAGTAGCTTGGATTACAGGTGCCCGTCACCACACCTCGCTAATTTTTGTATTTTTAGTAGAGACAGGGTTTCACCATGTTGGCCAGGCTGGTATACCTTGTTTTTTTTTTTAACTTAACATAATGCTATTTCATGCTTAATAGACTACAATATAGTGTAAATGTAACCCATATGCAGTGGGAAACCAAAAAGTTCATGTGACTTGCAATATTCGCCTTATTGTGGTGGTCTGGAACCAAACCCACAATAGCTTCAAGTATGCCTGTATACACTTCTGTTTGCATTTCCTCCCACCACGTAGCTGGTACCTAGCCATAGAGCAAGGGAGCTGAGTTTATTAATACTACGTAAGTTTTGATGCTTGGGGGCAAGGAGTGAAGCTCATATAGGCCTTTGGTTCTGCCATACTCTAACTCAACTTTTGTCGGACAGGCTCGCCCTGGCCTAGCAGGCAGTCATGCAACTAATAATAACAGAAAATATCAAAGCAGCAGAACTCTTGATTCCTTAGCTCCAGCTGCTTGCTCCCTCAAATTTCCCATCTCAGTTAATGACACATGATACACCTAGTTTCTCAAGCTTAAAATCCAAATCACCCTAGATTCTTCCTCTTCCTTTATTCTCCACATCCATTCCATCAGTCCTGCTGGTTTTACCTCCAGAATAGTTCTTAAATCTGTCAGTTCTTCATCTCTATTTAAACCCTTGCCCAAACTCCATTATCCCTTACTTGAATTACTTCAGTTGGGTCCAAATAGATCTTCTACCTTGTCACCCTGGCTTTTCTAGCATCCATCCACCATAGAACAGGCAGAGTGACCTTTGAAAAAATGCAAATTAGATCATATACTCTCCCACCTACTATTTGACAATACATTCTCATTATACTTTTGAAAAATACAAGATCATTACCACGGCCACGTGAGCCACCCCTTTCTATACGTTCCCATCATTTTGGGTCGCTCTGCCCCTCACTCGCCATGCTCTGGCTGCATACGCTGTTTCTTGAACACTTCAAGGTTGTTCCTGCCTCAAGACTTTTGTACCTACTGAGGGCTCTACCTGAATGAATATTCCTTCTAGATCTTTAAATAGCTACTTTCAAATATGCAGAAAGCTTCCTTGACCACTCAGATTATACTAACTGCTCCCGTCTCATCACATACCCTCTTGACGCATCGGTCTATTTTGTTTTCTTTATAGGACTTCAAAATCATCAAAATTATTTATATGTTGGCCTTTTATTGCCTGTTGCCCTACACTAGAATAACCTTATTAGCACATAGAAGAATACCTGGTTCCAAGGAATGCTCAATGAATAATTGTTGAATGAACATAGGACCTTGTATCTTACTTGGCTTTTTTCATATGCATGACTCACTGAGAGAATCCATCGTAGGAGAGGAATGAGTGGTAGGGCAGGATTGAGGCACTGCCAAGAACACCACTAAATGCCTTAAGAAAGAATTTTGAGTGCTAATGTTCTCCTTTCAAACATATCCCTTGTGGATTTAGCACAAGTGCTGAGACCACAGTAGAGAGCGGGGCAAGGATTTAGGATTCTGTGTGTCAGCCACTGCTGGGTCTGCCTAGCTTCTTGGATACATGATTAACACCAAGTCCCACCCCACCCCAACTGTACCCACACTTTCCCCTTCCCGGCTGCCAGGCACATGCCCTCTTCTACCTTCGGTGTGAATATACCTCCTCTTTTCTCAGTTATGCACACTGTACCTTTCTCCTAGTGTGTCACATTCTGCCTTCTTGGTGTGCACACACCCTACTCTACCCCCATATCTCAGAAATCTTTCATGGAATCACTACAACTTTATTTTGGTAGACGGGCTCAAGACAGGGGTGGGCTGCACACATGGACCCTCCTTTGGACACAGGTGTTGGGGGTGAGCTTGGTGGGTAAAGGCAGATGCATCACGATGTTCCTGCTCTGCAGCTTAGCGGTGCCAAGGGGCCCTCCCATGTACACAGGACACGAGTACACAGTCAGGTCGGCTGGGGCTGGCAGGTCACTGGTGCCCGGGGCCTGTGTGCTGATGCTGACGGGAGGCAGAGGGCTGGGTTGGCTGGAAGGACTGTCCTGCAAGGCTCCAGCTATTGGGTCCCACTCCGCATGTAGGACCTGTAGCCCGATCAGCAGCAGCCCTCTCTCTGGAACCGTGGGATTTGGACCATTCTCCACCTGGGGGCGTCAGAAGCTGGTCAGGCAAGGCTAGGAAGCTGGGAGGTGGCAGGTGGGAAGTGGGGGTTAGCGGGTAGGAGGTCGTGGTGAAGCGAGATCGGAGAAGCTAGCAGGGTTACCGGGGGCAAGATCACCAAGAAGGGGTAACTGCGAGGTGTAATTAGAGACTTCGAGGGGACTGGAACCGCGAACGAGGGGCGGCGCGAAGATACCCTGAAGTGCAGAGGGTTGCTGTTCATCTCCAGACGTTTATACTGGAGCTGACTGGAGACCGAGCCTCGGCTACCAGGGAAATTCGAGCTGGGCACATTCTGGTCCAGGGCAGCTTCCCCACGCAATGCCAGCAGCAGGCGGCGCGGGTGGCGAAAGGCTGACAGGTGGAAGACGCGCTCTGGTACATCACTGCTCGCGTCCGCGCCCACGCCCAAGTAACGAACCAACAGTTGCCCACGGCGCGACAACTGTCGCAGCCAGTGCCAGGGCGGCTGCGGACCGGCCGGCGCATGAGGTCGCCAAGGCAAGGGTAGGCGGCCAGTCCAGAGAGCGTGGGCCACCGCAGCACAGCGGCGGGAGGGGCACGGGGGTGCGCCCTTCAGCTGCTGCAACAGGCAATCAAGGTCGCGTTGTAGCGTGCCCACCAACTGGCTCAGTTCTAGAGCCTCGGTCTCTAAGACGCCCTCCAGAGGCCGCCGTGCATTTGGCCCCAGCACTGACCACGGGGCGTCGGACTCGTCTTGGCGAATCACGTGGGTCAGCAGATCCTGCAGTGACTCCAGCCTCCGGTTGACTTGCACTAGGCGTTGCCGCAGTCGCCTTTCCGCAAGCTGGGCGCCTCTTCGAGACTCAGGAACCCACACGGGTGAACTCCGCTGCAGCGCACTCAAGAGAGCGCGACTCTGGCGTCGCAACAGCCAGGCTTGGGGGCCCTCACTCAGTCCGCAGAGCCGGGGTTCAGGTGGTGAGGGCAGTAGGTGCATCTGGGCCTTGCACTCTGCCATTGCATCCAGCTCCCTTAGCTCTTGGGGATAGAGGTGAGGGGTGAGGGACAAGATGGACTCTCCCCACCCTAGACTCGAGAGAGTAGGCCTTCCTCTGAGCCTTTACTGCCATCACCCCCATAACAGTATGAATATTACCCCCTCATATACCTTTATTGAGACTGCTGTCCACATTTCTGTGGGGGGTGGCATTGCATTGCACTATTCCCTACCCCAAAACAGATACCTGAGTGAGGCTTACCTGGGAGGGGCATGAGCGTGGCCAGCAAAGACTGAGGTGTGTGTGGCTGGACCCAGCTCCCACTACTGGGGCTCAGGCAGGCTTGTGTGAGGCTAATCAGGGCCTCCCTGTCCTCAGTGTCCCCCAGAGGACCCCCGTAGAAAACTGAAGCTGAAGATGAGGTTAGAGTCTCTCAGTTCCAGTACCTTCAGTTTCCACCACCGCCAAAACCAAAGCTGTGAATTGTATCCCACCCCCACCCTCTTCCAGGCTCTCCTGGGGGCTGATGACTCCAAGGGGGAGAGGAAGGGTCTCACCAGCCAGCTCTTGCATGGCAGCACGGGGATTGCTAAGACTTGCCCACAGCTGGTCTTGGGTCTGAAGAACCTGGGTTAGAGTCACTTGACTCCTAGAGAAGGGGAGCGGAAAGCAGGGTTTCACATATCATCTATATGCTGAGGACTGTCAAGTCTTGTCTTCAGTTCAAACCTCTCTCCTGAGCTTCGGGTTCATTGCCACTTGGCACCTCAAATACAACTTGCTTTCAACTGAAATCATCATTTCCCCCCACAAAACCTGTTCCACCTCCTATTTCAGTGAGAGGTACCGCCAGCCACCCAATTATCTAAAGCAAAAATCTGAGAGTCATCCTCGACACCTCCTTCCTCTTCACCCCATATTTATTCTCTATCCCTTCCATGGCTACTACCCTACTACCCATACCACAATCTCTTCCCTGGAGACTTCCAGAGTCTCCTAAAGCTGCTCTGCTTGCCCCCAGTCCTGCCTCCTCTGATCCATTCTCCATGTTGCATCCAGAGTGATCCTTCCAACACACAAAAAGGATATTGTTTCTTCTTCTACTTAAAACCCTTCAGTGGCTTCCCACTGTCTTCAGGATAAAATCAGGCACCTTGCCCTAGTCTTTTTTTTTTGAGACAGAGTCTCGCACTGTCACCCAGGCTGGAGTGCAGTGGTGCAATCTCGGCTCACTGCAAGCTCCACCTCCCAGGTTCACGCCATTCTCCTGCCTCAGCCTCCCAAGTAGCTGGGACTACAGGCACCTGCCACCATGCCTGGCTAAGTTTTTGTATTTTTAGTACAGATGGGGTTTCACTGTGTTAGCCAGGATGGTCACGATCTCCTGACCTCGTGATCCATCCGCCTCGCCTCCCAAAGTGCTGAGATTACAGGCATGAGCCACTGTACCTGGCCTACCTTGCCCTAGTCTTAAAGGCCCTTTATAATGAACCTTACTTCTCCCTCCTCAACACCCAGCATGTCCACGTCAACCACACTCAAGTCTCCTCCCTTCTACTGAGTTTAGGTCCCTCTGCTCAGAAAGGCCCATCTCTACCTGATTTGCCTCTGCTTTTAAGACTCAATTCAAAGTAAAATCTCAAAGTCTTTGGAGAAGCCTTCCTTGACTTCCCCTTGCCCTTGCTCTTTGGAGCTTCCAAAGATGAATTAGTTTTACTCATCCCAGCATATGGAAGATACTCAATGTTTGTTGAGTGATTGACTGAGCAGGAATGGGTGGGGGTCCCTCACCAGCGCCCCCTGTGTGCCTGCAGCCTTGTTCCATAGAGCTGCCGGTGTAGCAGGAGGCCATGGAGGAGGAGCAGAGGTAGTGCCTGGGTGGGGGGTTGCATGTAGAGTACTTGCTGGGCTAGCTCCACACTGTCAATCAAAACATGGCCCAGCTCCAGGGACTGGTTCCAGAAAACAGGCATGGAGTGCTGAGTCAGCACAGCTGGGGAGGAAGGAGAGTGCTGAGTCAGCACAGCACAGTTGCCCTCCCACTTCCAATTTGAGAGCCTGTAGGGGGTTAAGCTCCTCACCTGGCAAAGAAGCACTAGACTCTGCAGGCACAATAAGCCAAAGACGAAAATCTCTGTGAACAGTGCTTACATTCCTGCTTTCAGGTTGGTCTAAAAGCTGTTCTGATTCCAGGTCTGCAACCACTAGAGTCAGACAAGGGTCTGAGATCAGTCCTTGGATAAAGGGTCAGGCAGAAGTCTAGGAATCAGACTTGAGGCTAGGGGTGTCAGGAGTCAGATACAAGGCCAAGTGGACAAGTTTGGTGCTAGGTCACTGGCCATGAGGCCTGAGATTTCAAGCTAAGGCCCAAGTGTAGGATAGGATCCTGGAAGCCAATCTAGGCAATAAACTCACCCTTGGCTCTGCCTAACAGTTCCAGCAAGAGCTGTAGCAGCTCTTTCGGCCAATGGGGCATCAGATGACAGTTGTCCAGCACCAGCCAGTGCCCCTCATACATAGCCTGGGATAGAGTGCTGACCACAACTGAGACTGGGTCCCAGGCTTCAGAGCCCAGGGCTATCACCTGCAGTTGCTTCTGCCCCTGGGGACCAAAAAAGAGATGGCAGCATGACTCAAAGTGATCCTAGGGTGACCCGAGGGACCCAAACTAATGCTACCATGATCCCCAAAGTCCCTACGTAGTACAGAAAGATCCATGAAAATGCTTGGAGGGGGTCCCCCATGCCCCAGCCCACAGGAGCCTGGTCACTCTGTGGCCAAGAAACTAGGTTCAAACCTGCTGATACTTGGCAGCCAGTTTCTGGATGACAGTCAGAGGATGCAGAGTGGCTGAGGGGTGGCCAGGCGGTGGCAACAAGATCAGCATGGGCTGAGTAGCCTGACTATGTTTAAAGGGCATGGTGGGAGCATACGTGTTTTCATCCAGGGGCCGACCCAGGAGGCTAGTGGTGAAGTCTGCCAGGGCACCTGCCAGGCACTCAGGTCGCAGAACGCGCCACAGGATCAGCTTCTGGAGGAGGCTGAGTGGCTCAGGCCCTGGCCCAGGTGCAGGACCCAGCACTGTGGATGACAGTGACAGGTAAGCCTGCCAAGCACTGGAGTGGCCTGCCAGGGAGGCACACAGGCCAACAAATGGGGGCAGCAGCTCTAACATCTCACATTCATGCCAGGCTTTTGGCCCAAGCCAGGCCGGTCGAGCCACATCTGAGACTGGCTTGCTGTGGACTGTGCTGGGAGAGGCTGCTAGTCCAGGCCAGAGTGCCAGTCTTTCCAGCTCTGATGCTTTCCCTGTTGCTTGCAGCAGAGCCAAAGCGCCCAATGCACCCACCAAGGGTACTTGGGTAAGGCCCAGTGCAGTCACGGTGCTGCCCAGCAGCTGGCGGGTCAGGTGTGCTCTCAATTGCAGTAGATGGCTGGCCAGGTCCTCCCCGTGATTAATCTCACGTGGCTTCATGCTGTCCAGAGCCTGCTTAGTGACTGCCAGCCAGTTCTCTGGGCTCATACAGAAAAGTGGCAGCAGGTTCTGCAGTTGGCTTAGGGCCTTTACCATGGCCATTCCATGCCAAACCACAGGTCGATAGGGTGCCCACAATACCATCTCCTGTAGTTTCTGCCCTTCTAACTCTTCACAATGAGCACGCAGCTGGCATAGCTTTCCTTGGGCCCTCACTATGTTCCGCAGAAACTTGGCTGGCTTCTGACGCTTCGGATTCTGGAACAGCAGCATCGTCAGCAGCCGCTCCTGCATACACTCATTTGTTGGATGGATCTGGCCCTTTCCCACAGACCCCAAACATCTACATTCATCTCCACCCCCTTACCCAGGTCCATCCAATGCTCATCTCAACCCACAGACTGAGCCCCCAAGCACCTCAGCAGCCTCCACAGCCTTGCAGGTATCTAGGGCTCTGATCTTTAGGTCCTGCCAGCGGGTCTCGAGTTCAGGATACTCTCTGCACAAGATTTCATGCAGCATCTGTTCTTCCAGTATTTCCATGTTCAGGCCCAGATCCAACACATTCAGCCCCTTTAGCAGTTCACAACCTAGCACTTGGGGTAACATGGGAGATGCTTAACCTCTTCCCCTTGGCAGAGCCAGGGGGTAGAGTAGACAGGGAGTATGGCTCCCTGCTATAGACCTGTGCCTGCTCTGGGCCAGGTTGAGTGAAGCCCTCTTAGGGCTGGTGCTGAGGGCCTAGTGTGTCCACACAACTGTGCTGGCAATTTGCCCTCTGGGCCTCACCTTTTTCCATGGCACAGAGGGAGAGGGTGGTGCTGAGATACAGACAGAAGCCAGGCTGCACCTGGGGTGGACTCAGCTGCTCCCGTTGCAGCAGCCATTGCAGTTCTTCGCACCCTAGACCCAGCTCCACATTGGTCAGTAACACAGGCAGGCCTGTGAGAGGGAGGCAAAGGCACCCTACCCACAATGCCAGCACCCATGATCCCCATTCCCCAGGCACGAGGTCTGGCTCTGACCAGCTTCCCTGTGGCTGATAGGAGGGTTCCCACAAGACGCTTCAATATAGTTAGTGCCTGGGATGAAGGATGGGAACTGAAGTTAGACTGAGGTGTGGGAGGCCTGTGGGGTCACAGAATGGGGCAAGTCAAAAAGGGGCCAGGGTGGGTGGGGACCAGCTCTCACCACAAGCAGCTGCCTCCTGGAGCTGAGAACCCAGCTCTGGGTCAGCACCTGAAAGAACACTAAGGTAGGGAAGGGATGGAAGCTGAGTCTCATAGGCTGGCTTTGACCCCTGGCTCTCTGTCTTCTCCTCCTCTTTCTCTTCATTTTCCTCTTGCTCTTTCTCCTGCTCATTTTTTCTTTCCTCTGCCTTCTGCTCTTTTGTCTGGTCCTCAGCCTCATTACTCTCTTCACTCTCATCATCTTCCTCTTTCATGTCCGTTTTACTCTCTCTCTTTTGATTTCTCATGAGGCCTTTCCCTGGGGCAGAAAGATTCAGAGGAGCTCTTCTTAGGGGAGGAATCAGACTCCTTAGGGGAGGAATTCACTGAAGGGCTCCATTTCATGAGGGAAGGTCTGCAGGAAGACATCTTAGGAAAGTTGCTTAAGCTCTCTATGACTCAATTTTCTTATCTGCAAAATGGGGTTGATATTAGTGGCGACCTCATAGGGTTACTGTGAAGATTAAATGAAATGATACATAGAAAACACTTAGATGTGCACGTAGTGAGCACTCAATAAATGTTGGCTATCACAATTATTACTCTAAAATTCCAGGGAGGGATCCTATTCATCCTCTGTCTTCACATAGCCTCTCTTCTGTATTTTCTATGCCTTTTCTTCTGCCTCTTGTAAGGGCACTTGCAGGATTTAGGGCCCATCCGGATAAGAATCAGGGTGATCTCATTCAAAGTCCTTAACTTAATTACATCTGAAAGGACCCCTTTCCAAATAAGGTCACATTTTTCTCACAAACTCAATCCCCAGCCTCTTCTTCTGGGGAATAAACACTCTATTCCTTTTCCTAGAAAATGTTCCTTCCAATACTCCACCCAGATGGGTCCCCGATCCAAACAGAGCCAACAGAAATATTCCCCAGGATTTCTGAACATTGGATAAATTTGGGTAGTGCTGAGTAGACCAGGGAAGTGGAAGATCATGGACCAATCAGTCATGTAGATTCAGAATCATTGTAATAAAGAGAAAAAATAAATGTGACCAAATTTGTTCCTATAGTATAGGCTGGTGAAATCTGGGACATCCTGATCACAAAAATACAGTGTCCTCATTATGAAGGGAAAGACCACATGAGGCTGAGTGTTGGGCAGTTCAGATACTCCGGAAGCATTGCATTTATTATGCCTGCTTACCTCTACCCTCAGTGAGGGCTGGCGCAAAAGATCGATTCTCTTCCAGAGGCAGCGGGTCCAACCAGATGAGGGCCTCGTTGCTGGGGTCAAGCAGCAGAGGCCAACGGCAACTACTGTAGTGTGTGGGGCTTCGCAGAAGCAAGCCTGCCAGGTGGGCCGACTTTGCCTGTGGCTTCAGGTTTCCATCCCACTGGTACTGCTCCGATTCAGAGCTCAGCAAGGACAGAATACTGAAGGGAGAGTGTGTAGCCAGCAGGGGGTTCTTTGGTGGTATGCTGACAGATTTTTGCTTCCGCTTCAGTGCCTGTGCCACATCATCTGGGCCCAGAGCCTCCTGAAAGCCCCTACACAGAGCTAACCACTCGTCCAGTAGCTCTTGGCGCCGCAATGGTGGGAAGGGACCCAGGTAGATGATGGCAGCTGAACATAGGAGGGTATCTCCAAACACAGTCATGCAGCGTCCCTTCAGCTTCTGGAGTGGAAGGGAAGACCAGAGGCTGTGTAGGCCAGTGAGGAGGGTGCAGGCAGAGATATGGCAGAGGGAGGGCAAGGTGGGGTGTGGAGGAAAGTACGGCAAGGAGTGCAGAGAGGGACAGAGGGAGGCAGTGAGGGCACAGGGAGGAGCAGGCGAACGGCATAAAAGGAACTTTGGGGGAGACATCTGGGAGGGGGATGGTTACCTGGAGCTGTGTAGTCCAGGCACGCATAGGCGTGAGCAGTGCAGCCTTCATGGGCCATTTGTGATACTGCCCACACTGTGCTTGACTGAGGGTCTTTGCCACGCAGTTGTGGGAAGCTTGGGCATCCTCCACCATCTTAGCCAGGGCCAAATTATGCTCCAGGGTCTCCTGGGCCTGAAACTGGTAGTAGCCCAGGCGGGCCTGCTCCCGAGTGAGTGTTGCCTCCACTTGCTGCAGCAGCAGGTCCGTGGGCAGTCCCCGGCAATGCGCCAGCCCATAGTGCAGAACAGCCCAGAGCCAGGCTGCCAGGCTGGCTGCAGGTCGGCTCACTGCCCGCAGGGCTGCATCGTCCATACCTGGAGCCTTCAGAATTAGATGTAACTTTATCAGCTCTGAGTCTGTTATCTTCTCCTTGGGGAAGAACACCAGCTCCTGGAAGGATGTATGTTAACGGGATGGGGAAGCCACGGATGCTCTGGACCTTGACCCAACAGTTTAGCCTTGCCAAGTGTCCCTTTATGCCTCCCCTATCCTCCTTCATTGTGCTCCACCCTTCCTACCTGATAAAAATCCTCAGTGCATAACAGCTGTTTGGCACTGGCCCAGCCTGTTTCATGGTGGAACAAGTCACACATTGCATCAGTTACCCGGACCACAGATTCTGGTGGTGCTCGATAGCTCCGTATCTCCTCAAAGTCAGCCACCTGCAGCTGGCTCAGAGGCTCCAGAAATGCCTTGCTCATCTAAATGAGGAGAGATACCCTCTGAAGTGAGCTCCTGAGATGTTCTGTTCTTCCTTCAAGGTGTTTTTAGGGGAATCATCTCCTTGGAGTCCCCATGAGAGGCCACTCCCCAAGCCATCCTATTACCTTTGTCCCCTCCCCCCAGGAGATTCCATGATGAGTCACTCCATCCTCTCCTCTTGGTATCCTTAGAGGGGTTGCCCTCTTTTGAGAGAGGAGCAGTGCAGGGCAGGCGGCAGGAAGAGCCCACCTGCTCCAGGAAAGCCTCTCGCTGAGCTTGCAGGGCATCCCGTTGCCTGGCCAGGTTCTCAATGAGGTTCTCTTGATGCCGACACTCTTCCAGCTGCTGCTTGTATAGGAGCTTGCTTTGCTCTAGCTGCTGCTGAAACATGCTGAGACTCTGCAGAGACAGATCCAGGCCCTGCAGCTCCAGATCTTGGGCCACGCGGGAAACCCCAGAAGACCCTATGATCCTGGAACTGTAGCACACTCCTCACTTGAAAGACTGACCACGTTGAACTCCAAGTAGGCCACAGAGAGAGGCTGAGCTCTGGGTCTGTCACTTATTAGTCTGTGAGTTATATATCTAGTAACGCAGCCCCAAGTGTGTGGTTGCTTTTTCTGCAGCCGCTTCACCCGAAGACTATGCGTGTAACAGTTATGTTACACTACTCTATATTTTAGTTGACCCATTAGCAGCAGTTGTCACAGAAGACAGTTCCCTCCCTCTTGAGGCATCCTCCTCTCTTGGCCTTCATGATACTGTGTTCTCCTTGGGCTTTCTCTAACTTCTCTGGCTGCTCTTTCTCATTCTCTTCCTCTGTCAGCCCTTAACTATTCCTCATCAATTTTTTCAGAGCCTCCTTTCTCTTCTCACTCTACACTTCTAAATGCCCTCCCTAATCTCATGGCTTTGATTCCTACTTACGTTCCAACTGCCAAATCTCTCTCTCTAGCTAGGTTCCCTCCCTGCCCCATACCGTGTATTCATTTGCCTAGTGGAAATCTTCCCTTGGGGGTCTCACAGGCCCCTCAGACTCCACATGTCCCCAAATGAATGTATTGGTTATGCGTCCTCAGCTCTCCTGCAATCTGACTCCTCTCCTGTGTATTCTTTTTCTCAGAGAATGGTGGCAAGATTCCCAAGGAACAAACTGAGTTGTTACCCTTGGCTCCATCTCCTGAATCCCCCCAAATCCAGCCCATCTTTGAGACCTTTCAATTCTACCTCCTAAATGCCTCTCGTGTCCACTGCCCTTCCCAATGTCAGTCACTCATGCTCAGGCCCTCTCACTCCCGACCTTCTACACTGGCCTCCTAACTGGTCTCTCAGTTTCCACTCTTACTTCCCTCCTTTTATTCCCCCACTGCAGCCTGGCTGGTTTTCTAAAAACTGAATCATTGTCATTAACACTTGTCACTTCTACATTTGATTGACAATACCCCCATGACCAGGCCCCTACTCATCATTTCAATCTCATCTCTTTTCTCTCTCCTAGCACGCTACTTTCCAGCCATTCCTGACTTTCAGTTCCTCCAATGTGGCACACACTCTTTTGCCTCTAGGCCTTTCACATGCTGTTATATCAACCTGGGACATTCTGTCACTTGGCCCCTTTCAAACACTGATCAGATCTGACCTAACTTTCAGGCATCAACTGTCATGTACTTCATTCATTTGTTTATACAGTTAGTGAATGTTTTTGAGCTCCTACCATGTTATATACACGCTCTGTGCTGCACAGCGGGGCACTCTGCTTTCTCTAGAAAGTTTTTCTTGATATTTGGAGTGCTCTGAACTTACTCTGTTATAACACGGTTTTGTCATTGCCTGGATGAGTCTATATCTTCTTATCTTCTGCTAAACTATAAGCACCATGAAGGTAAGGATAGTGCCCTATCTCCTCTTATTAGGAAGCAATCTAACCTATTTTTTTCTTTTTTTTCTTTTTTGGAGACAAGGTCTCACTATGTCACCCAAGCTGGAGTGCAGTGGTGCAATCATTTCTCACTGCAGCTTCAACCTCCCAGGCTCAGGTGATCCTCCCACCTCAGACTCCTGAGTAGCTGGAACTACAGATAGGTGCTACCATGCCTGAGTAATTTTTTGTAGAGACAGTGTTTTGCTGTGTTGCCCAGGCTGGTCTTGAACTCCTGGGCTCAAGTGATCCATTGGCAGTGGCCTTCCAAAGTGCTGGGATTACAGGCATGAGCCACTGTGCCTGGCCTAACCTAATATTAATAGTAACTAACATTTATTGAGCTCTATGTGCCAGCACATTTAAATACTTGACATGTAAGATCTTGTTTAATCCTCATCACAACCTTATAAGGTTAGGGAAGTCTCCCTAACCTTTCTGGATCTTTGTTTTCTCATCTGTAAAGTGAGAAAAGAATAGCTACCTCAGAAAGGTGTGGGCAAGGATTCTATCATCTATCTATCTATCCATCCATCTAGATGTAAATGTAGGCATATATTGACATAGACATAAATATTAAGAAATGCCTGAACAAAAAATAAATTTTTGTTGAGTGCAATAATGAAAAAATTAACCAGTTAAATATAAGAGAGTAAAGAGATGGAGGGGCCCAGAATGAGTCCTGGGATTTGGCTCAGTGGGTGGTAATGCCTTTTCTTGGGGTGGGGAACACTGGAAGAAGTACACACTATTATGGCTATTGAATGAACGACCAAGGGATCTGACTCTGAATGACCCTGAGACTACGAACATCTCTTATCCAGACCTTTGGCTTACTGTGTTCTGCTCTGGTGTAACTGACTCACAGATCAAGGAATACTAGGACCCCTAAACCAGATCAACAATCCTGGTATTAATCATCTTGGGAAAATGTAGGGCAAAAAACTGGGAAAGGGGATTTCTGTTGCTCTCTGACTTTCTTTTCTTTCTTTGCAACTTAACTGAGTCTTGAGGTCTAATCTAAGCTGTTCATCCTAGGTGGTGAATAGTAGGAGGGCACCAGTACCTTTAAAACTCCAGGGGATACCATTTATGTAAAACACAGTGAAAACCATATTAGTAGACACGACATATGCCATGTCTCTGGAGTTGTGTGGCACTGGATGATAGTCCTAAAGGCACTTATCAGAAGAGCTGGCTAGGTATTAGGAGCTTAAGACCTGAAACCCTAGTAGAAAGATTATCTGAGTGTGAGATGGGCACTAGTTCACTGCTCTGAAGTTATACCAGAATATTTATCAACATCTTGTGTAGTAGGAAAAAAAGGTGCTATTTTAGAATTCTTCTTATTAAAAACAAAACTGCTCTTTAGTTTGGGAAGACACCTTTAACTAGGAGTATTTGGCTTTAGAAGGTGTGATAAGCCCTATCATCACCAATTTTAGCCAGATATAAGAAGTTTGTTTATTCAAAGAATAAGATTGTTCTGTATGACAGCAAAAGGTTTTGAGGTTTCAACTAGAAGGGAGCGCTAAAGGAAAAATGGGACGGCTCAAAAACATTGTAGAGCAGGTGTTAGAGAGACGAGAGAGGAAAGGAAAAGTTGGTCACTGGAAAATGCCTGGTAGAGGAGGGTGAGTAAGACAATTCAGGACACTCTTGTCTAGTATACCATTATAAATTTACTTCTGGTTCTATGCCATAATACAAATTTCTCCCTGCTGCCATCACCCATCTACATGTCCTCACTGTATACAACAGTTTTGTTTGTTGCTTTTGTGGAAGAAAGGGTATGGGGACAAAGTGTTATGGAAAAAGAGGATAACTCTAAGAGGTGAGTGAGTGGTGACTGAGATGTAATGCCTGCCCCAACCCCCATGGGAATCTACAGAGATCTTGGCAGCATACTGAACTTCACATGATCATGGTACTAGGGGCAGCCAGAAGCAGATGCTTGGGTTTCACCTGTTATGAAGAATCAATCTGGTCTTAGCTGTATCATGGGAAACTTTTGAACCTAAGCTGTAAAGGAGGAGGCAGCGGAGATCAGAGAGATTTCCTAGGGAAAGGGGAAGCTTAGGGGGACAAGAATTAAGGTTCATTCTGGTTGCTTCCTTTCAAGTCCCCTTTGGGCTCCTGCTTTGACACCACCATGGAAGCCTCAAAATCATCTCCTTACCTTGCCGGAGTCTTTCAGCTGCTGTTCCAAGTCAAAGATCAGATTGGCATGGGTACCGTGCTCCTTAATCAGCATTCTCAGATTCTCCAAGGCATTCTGGACCCTGGAGATACAATGTGCTGGTGAGGAAACCCAAAGGAGCAGAAGGAGGTACACTGCAGGGGACGGGACACTCACCGCTGGGCCTTGTTCTTAATCTTCAGGATTGTCTGTTGCTGCAGCATCAGGAAAGTGTCCAGGAAGTCTAGGAAGGTCTTGGGGGTGACGAGTGGCAATGCAGGGCACAGGTGCTCATGGTAGTGGGTGGCCGAAAGGTGGATAAGAGCCATGGCTTTGGCCACACTGGGAATTGAGGCCTGGAGGTCTGGGTACTTCCAGGAGCCTGCAATGGGCATGGCTTTAGCCTCACTCTGTGAGCTTGTAGGAAAACAGGAAAGGAAAGGGATCCTCTCCTAGCTCAGGAAGAAGGGTAGGAAATGTGAAGGGGGCTCTGTAGGCTCTAGAGAGGGAGAGAGAGAGACTGACCTAGGTAATAACCCTCATTAGAGCCTGGTAGAGATGAGTGGTAAGGACAAGTAAAAAGGGCTTACCGTCATCAAGGGGCACACTCTGAGCACCCTCCAGGTGATGCTGGGCCACCTTGGCCAGGGCAGCTTGGTCCCAGGGTTCATAGCGGTCAATGCTGGCAGTGGCCAGTTGAAGGAGCCTCAGGAAAAGGGTGGAGGGCAGCTGCTTGTGGGCCTGTTTATCTCCAATCAGGAAGAACAGGTGAAGGTGGCTGCACACTTGCTGGTGGAACCTGTGGGCCAGGGCTCAGCTAATGTCCTCCCCTTTACCTTTGCTTGCCCCTCCTGGCCCCAGTCCCAGCCAGACCACTTAGCCCCAATCTTCTCAGCCCTCATGGCAGCCCACAGAATTCCTTTTGGCCTTTTGGCCAAGACAGCGTAAGAGCAGAGCAGATTCGCATATGGGGTTCTTGGCCTCACCTCTGCAACACCATTTCCTTCTTGATGTTCTGTTTGACACCAAGGTTCTCCCTGGGGAGGTGTTCTCCAATGCGGTCCAAATCTGCTTCTGTGTACTGGCCAGGGAAACTGCCTGAGGTTGCCAGGGCCAGGAGGCGATGAAGTGTAGTGAGATCCACACCACTGGGTACCAACAGAGCCACTGGCTGGCTTAACATGCCAGCATGCCAGCTGGCATCTCGTAGACATTGGAGAATGGCCTCCTCTGACCCAGATGGTAGATGAAAGAAATGGGCCTGACAAATGCTAGAAGCCAGAGTGATGGCAGTGTGGCGCCCAGTACCCAGAGCCCCCGAGAGCAGCAGGCCATGCTGCCGGGGCCTGGCCAGCACCCGGACCAGGCGGGCCACGTGCTGGGCCATGGAATGACACCGGGCCAGGTGGGGGCTCAACTTCAGTTGAGCAGCTGAGGTGGCCAACTGCTCCTCTAGCTTCTCCCACTGTCGTTCCAGGTACAAGTTGGGGGTCTCAGAGTTAGGCCCCAGTATCAGCTCCTGACTGAAGACCAGGTCTGAGGGCTTTTCCTGGGGATGTAGTAGTAACACTGGTAACAACAAGGGTGAGATCAGGTCCATCTGGGGTTTCTTCTGCCACCAAGTCTTGAATGATCTCCTTACCTGGAGCCTATAGTTGGATGCCCTTGTGCCTTTCTCTTGCCTTATCTTGTGACTTATGCTTTCCTTCATCCCCCTGCTTACTGGTCCTATGGATGGTGTTAGACTTGGATCTCTGGAGTTTGAGACTCTGGCGACCTGAAGGCCATAAGGTTCCTCTTCCTCCTCTGTTTCACTATTGCTGTTGCTGAAGTCCTCCCACTGGGCCAACTCCCCTTCAGATTCTACTTCGGGCACCCTCTCCTCCTCCTCCTCCTCCTCACTCTCCTGATGGTCCTTGCCCAGGTGCTGGGGCCCTGGCCCACAGCAGAAGACACTTTGAGCTACTACTAGGAGCAGCTTGGCACAGTAGGAGCGTTCCCTGGGGCTGTCCAGCCGGTCGCAAAAGGTTCTCTGTGCCTCATGCAACCAAAGACGCACCACATTGCGTGTGGCCATCATAACGGTCAGACAAGTGCCTCGCAGGCCTGACACCCGGCGCAAGTGCTCCTGGTGGTTGGGATAGTCCACAAAACCTCGGGAGCCTGTTCTGTTGGGCAGCAGCTGCAGGCTGCTCAGTAGGTGGCTCACAGAGTGTAGGGAGAAGTGGTAGTGTGGGTGGAGGGGTGAAGGCATGAAGCAATTGCACACAGCCTCCCAGGCCTCTACTGAGGCCCTAACCAGACCTCGTGCCAGAGCACGCTCCCGTTCCACAGAAGGGAAACGCTCAAGCCAAGCCTGAATGATAGGCACATGTCTTTCCAGCAGGGTGGCCTGGGTCATGCTTTCCAGGGCCAGGACTGTGAAGAGTCGAAAGAGGCGTGGACACAGTGGGCGCTCACAGTATCCTGGCACTGTGACAGTGGCAAGGAAGTTGACTGTAGGCTGCAGCGTCTGCAGTTCCAAGGTGCTGTGGGCATACACAGTGCCATCCATGGCCTGGCGCAGAGTCTCCAACACTGGCTGGCAGCTCTTCTCTGGGTCTATGGGACATGAGGAATAATAATGAGGACATGTAAAAGTCCACATGAGAGTATCAACCTGTTCCCTCTATTCCTGCCACACACGGTTCTAAAGGAATTTTGTGAATCTGACGTGTTGGGACTTGGTCACATTTGAGTAAGCTATTCTCCCTCCCCCACATTCTCCCTAAAATTGAGGAATTTCTTCTCTCTTCTCCCTAGATCCTACCTCTGTGACTTATTATTCATTAACCGAAGGTTAATAATGATAATAATGAATAATCATTAACTGAAGGTTAATGAATAATAAGATTTGGAAGCTGAGAAGGATAGAAACCAGATCGATCACAATTAGCAGGAAAGCGCAATCATTTCAGTCAAAGAGAATACAGTTATATCACATGTGCACTTAAAAAAAAATCAACTTTAGGCTGGGAGGTGGTGGCTCACTCCTGTAATCAACACTTTTGGAGGCTGAGATGGAAAGATTTCTTGAGGCCAGGAGTTCAAGACCAGCCTGGGTAACATAGCAAGACCTTGTTTCTACAAAAAATGAAAAATAAAATAGCTGGGCCTGGTGATGTGTGCTGTAGACCTGTCTACTTGGGAGGCTAAGGCTGGAGGATCACTTGAGCACAAGAGCTTGAGTGAGCCCTGATCGCACCATCCAGCCTGAGTGGCAGAGTGAGACTTTGTCTCTAAAAATAATAATAATAATAAATTTTAAAAATAAATTTTATTAAGACATGATTTACATACAACAAAATGTATACATTTTAAGTGTACAGTTCAGTGAATTTTGACTAATGTACACACCTGTGTCATCACCACCCCAATGATATTTAGAACATTTTCATCACCCTAGAAAGTTCCTCATGCTCCTTTAAAGCCAATCAATCCCTCTGCCACCACCATCACAGGCATTGTTATTTGATCGGATTTCCATCACTATAGGTTAGCTTTGTCTGTTCTAGAACCTCATATAAATAGAATCATACGGTATGTACTTGATCATGTCTATCTTCTTTTACTCAGCAGGTTTTTGAGACTCATCCATGTTTTTGCGTGTTTCCTTAGTTTGTTCCATTTTATTCCTGAGTAGTATTTTTCTGAGAGCCCCCAGTTAAACTGGTGTTCTAGTACCAGAGCAGCCAACAACCCTGCCCTAACAGGAAATAAAGGGGAGCTGAGTGTGGGGGTTTACAGTGTGCCTTTCACAGGATACTTCTTTTATCTGATGGACAGCCTAATGCCTAGTTGTCTGACCTGTGACCAGAGAGTCCTTCACACAGAAAACTTATTCTGGTTCTTTAGATAGAAGGACAAATTCAATACACCACAACAATAGGAAACAAGTTCAAAGATTTTTACTTAATCCTGTGCAAGGAGGGCATAATGAGCCGGGAGATCAGTCCTCCATCCTCATGTCACCTGAGGCAGCAATGAAGAGTTAGATTGAGAGAGACAGAGAGAGAAAGAGACAGAGAGAGAGACAGAGAGAGAGGGAATGAGGGAGGAGAGGAGGGATGGAGGGAGGGACTGGCAGTATATGTAAGGGAATAGGGTGTGGGTCATTTTAAGTTTTCAGGCAAATGCCTGAATGGCCTGTTTTTAAAGGAAAGGAGGCAAAGCAGGGAGCTAGTCTGCTGGGTGGGAGAGGCGCTTCTAAACTCTTATCTCTTGCCACCACCTGGAGCCATTTGGGTGGAGATGTGGATTTACCATTATACAGAACAATGCTGCTATGAATGTTCATGTATACTAAGTTTGAGGATATGCGGTTCTCATTTTACTTGGGTGAATACCTAAGAGTGGAATTGCTGGGTCATATGTTAAGTAATATTTAATTTTGTAAGAAACTGGCATATATTTTTTATAGTGGATGTACCATTTTACATTCTCACCATCAAAGTGAGAGAGTTTCAGTTGCTCTACATCTTTGAAAACACTTATTATTGTCAGTCTTTTTAATTATCACATGGTGGTTTAAATTTGCAGTTCACTGATGCCTGATAATATCAAGCATCTTTTTGTATACTGTTGCCCACTCATACATCTTTTGTGAAGTGTAAGTCTTTTGTCCATTTAAAACATTGGGATGATGTTTGTTTTCTTATTGAGTTGTAAGAGTTTTTTATGTATTCTAGGTTCAAGTCCTTTGTCAGATACATGTATCATGCATGTTTTCTCTGTCAATAGCTTATTTTTTTCATTTTCGTAACAGTGTCTTTTGAAGGGCATAGGTTTTCAATTTTGATAAAATTTAGTTTTTGTGCCCAAGAAATCATTGCCCAACCAAGGTCACACAGATTTTTCTCCAATTTTTTTCTAAAAATTTTATAGTTTTAGCTTTAGGTCTGTGATCCACCTATAATTTATTTTTATCTAGATTTTGAGGTAGAATACATGGTTCATTTTTTTCCATGCATATATCCAGATGTTCCAGCACCATTTTTTGAAAAGGCTATCCTTTCCCCCATTGAATTATCTTGGCACATTTATTAAAAATCAACTGGCCACATATGACTATATATCAGATTTTCTGTTCTATTCCATTAGTCCATATGTATATCCTTATACCAATACCACACTCTCTTCATTACAACAACTGTATAGCAAGTTTTAACATCACTAGTGTAGGTGTCCCAACTTTGTTCTTTTTCAAAGTTGCTTGGCTGCTCTAGATCTTTTGCATTGCTATATAAGTTTCAGAATAAGACTGTCAACTTACCAAAAAAAAATCTGTTAAGATTTAGCTTGGCATTGCATTGAATCTATAGATCATTTGGGGGAGAATGAAGACCTTAATGATACTGACTCTTCTGATCCATGAACATCATATATTTCTCCATTTATTTACATTTCCTCTATCTCAGCAATATTTAGTCATTTTCAGTGTACAGATCTTGAATGCTTTTAATTAAATTTATTCCTAAGTATTTTATGCTTTTAAATGACTTTTAAGTGATATTTTAAAATTTCAATTTCCAATGTTTTGTTACTAGGATATAGAAGTACAAATGATTTCAATGGATTGATTCTGTATCCTGTGACCCTGATGAATTAACTTATTTATTGTAGTAGTTTTTTATGGGGTTTAAAAAAATATTCCTTTGGGGTCTCTATGTAGACAATCATATTACATGCCAATACAGACAGTTTTAACTTGTCTTTTCTAATTTTAAAAGCTTTTATTTCTTTTTCTTAATTGCGTCGATGTGGTCTCCAGTACAGTGTTGAATAGAAGCAGTGAGTATGTTCTTGCCTTTTAACTGATTTTAGGGGGACAGTATTCAATATTTAACCATTAAGTATGTATTTAGCTGTAAGTATAATAGATGCTTTTCATCAAATTGAGAAAGTTATCTTCTATTCCTAGTTTCCTGGGAGTTATGGAATAGTGTTGGAATTTTGTCAAGTGATTTTTATCTACTAATATTACTTACTCATTTGCTCCTTTATTCTGTTAATGTGAGCTACACTGATTGATTTTTCAATGTTTAGTCAGCTTTGCCTTCCCAGGATAGACTCCGTTTGGTCTTAAGATATTATTCTTTTTGTATGTTGCTGAATTTTATTTAATAATATTTCAGTGAGGATTTATTTTTGCATTTAGGTTTATGAAAGATAACAGTTTATTTCTTTGCTTGAAATGTCTTCATCATGGCTTAGTATTCTCCATTTTCTGAAAAAGTATATATAAGTTGTACTTTTTTTCTAAATATTTGATATAATTCAACTGTATAACCATCTGGGACTGGAAACATTTATTATGCATTCAAACTTTTCTTAGGTATGAGGCTGTTCATTTTCTATTATTTTTCTTCTTTTGTTCAAGCTTTGACAAGTTATGTTTTTGTAAGGCATGTGATATGGTTTGGCTCTGTGTCCCCAACCAAATTTTGTCTTGAATTGTAATCCCCATATGTTGAGGGAGGGACCTGGTGGGAGGTGAGTGGATCACGGGGCCGGCTTCCCCCATGCTGTTCTCATGATAGTGAGCAATTTCTCATAAGTTCTGATGGTACATCTCTTCACCCCACCCCGCCCCCGCCAACTGCTATGTAAGATGTGCCTTGCCTCCCCTTCGCCTTTTGCCACGACTTTAAGTTTCCTGAGGGCTCCCCATCCATGCGGAACTGTGAGTCAATTAAACCTACTTATATATATATATTTTTTGGGACGAAGTTTTGCTCTTGTCACCCAGGCTGGAGTGCAATGGCGTGATCCTGGCTCGTTGCAACCTCTGCCTCCCAGGTTCAAGCGATTCTCCTGCCTCAGCCTCCCAAGTAGTTGGGATTACAGGTGACCCCCACCACACCCAGCTAATTTTTGTATTTTTAGTAGAGATGGGGTTTCACCATGTTGGCCAGGCTGGTCTCAAACTCCTGACCTCAAGGGATCAACCTGCCTCAGCCTCCCAAAGTGCTGGGATTACAGGCGTGAGCCACCATGCCTGGCCTAACCCTCTTTTCTTTATGAATTACCCAGTCTCAAGTAGTTCTTTATTGCAGTGTGAAAACAGACTAATACAGCATGTATCCATTTCACCTAAGTTGCTAAATTTATTAGCATAAAGTTTTTCATAATTTTCCCTTATTATCCATTTTTTAAAACTTTTTTTTTTAAATGAGGGTCCCACTATGCTGCCCAGGCTGGTCTTGAACTCCTGGCCTTAAGAAATCCTCCTGCCTAAGCCTCCCTCCCTAGTAGCTGGGATTACAGGTGCATGCCACCATGCCTGGCTCCCCTTTTTTTTTTTGGAGACGGAGTCTCGCTCTGTCACCAGGCTGGAGTGCAGTGGTGCAAATCTCAGCTCACCGCAACTTCCACCTCCCTGGTTCAAGCAATTCTCCTGCCTCAGCCTCCCGAGTAGCTGTGATTACAGGTACATGCCACCATGCCCAGCTAATTTTTGCATTTTTAGTAGAGACGGGGTTTCACCATGTTGGCCAGGATGGTCTCCATCTCCTGACCTCGTGATCTGCCCTCCTTGGCCTCCCAAAGTGCCGGGATTACAGGCGTGAGCCACAGTGCCCGGCCCTGGCTCCCTTTTTATCCTTTTAAATATCTTTAATAAAACCTCTTTCATTCCTGATATTCAAAATTTATGTTTTCCTTTTCATTTCTTGATTTGTGTTAATAGGCGATTGTCAATTTTATCTTTTTCAAAGAAACAAAATATGGCTTTGTTGATATTCTCCATTGTTTGTATGTTTTTCTATTTCACTGATTTCTGCTCTGTTCTTTATTATTGATTTCCTTTTAATTGCTTTGGGTATAACTTGCTCTTCTTTTTCTAGAGTCTTAAGCTGAAAATTTAGGTCATTGATTCCAAGCTTTTCTCTCTAAGATAGATATTTAAAGCTATAACCTTTAGTTGCATCTCACAAATTTTGATATGTTTTGTTTTCATTATTATTTAGTTCAAAACATTCTCTAATTTCTCTTGTAATTTCTTTTTTGGTACATTATTTAGAAGTGTGTTAATTTTAAAGAATTTGGAAATTCTCTAGGCATCTTATCAATATTTGTATTGTTATGGTCAGATAAAATATTATTTAAAATGTTAATCCTTTGAAATTTGTTGAGACTTATTTTGTAACCCAGCATATGGTCTATCTTGGTGAATGTTTCATGTGCATTTGAAAAGAAGGTGCATTTTGCAGTTGGTGAGTATAATGTTTTGTAAATGTCAGTGTGTTGCTAGTGTTATTCAGATCTTTAATGTCCCTACTTTCTTGCTCCTTGTCTTATCAGTTATTGTGAGAGGCATATTAATTTCTTAATATGATTTCAGATTTACTATGTCTCTTTTGTTTCTATTGGCTTTTTTTCCCTATACTTAAATGTCTATTTTAGGTGTGGACACATTTAAGACTTTTGTCTTTCTGATGAGTTGAATCTTTCAATTATGAGATGTCCTTTTCTATCTCTGGTAATATCCTTTGTCTTAAAGTGCTTTGGTATTAATATTGCCACATCAACTTCCTTATGCAAACTATTTCTGTAGTAAATATTTTGCATTAAAAACTTCTTTTAATCTATCTGTGTTTTTATATTTAAAGTGCATCTTTTGGACAGCGTACAGCTATATAGATCTCAGGGTCAGTTTCTATTCTATTGCTTGCTTCTTCTTGACAGCAGGTCACATTATTTTCTGGGGGTTTTTGTTGGCATGTCTATTTATTTTTTATTTTATACTGGATGTTCTGGTGGTTGTCACTCAAGGACACCTTTTACATTCTGCCAGCAGTAATATTCTTCACTCTACAATGTTGCTGAAGTCTCTTCTCAGCTGAAATCTCTTCATATATCTGACTGTACCACTCTTTACTCCTTCTATTGTCTCTAATTTTGTGCAAATTCATTGCAAAGACCAAATAATATAGCTGGAAGGAACTACAGGTTTTGGAACCAAATAGACTTGAATTTTAATCTTGGTTCTGACACTTCATAGCTAGGGTATCTTGGGCAAGTTCTAAAATCTCTGTCTCTGTTTCTTCATCTTTAAAATAATTGCAAAAATTCCCCATCTTACTTGGCTTTTATGAGCACTGAAGATGACATAGACATATCATAGAGCACATAGTAGATATTCAATAAATTGTACTGGCTATTATTAAGTACGAATACATCTGGTTCAAGTTTTCTACATCTCATAAGAGACTTCGCTGTTTAACTGGATAGCCTATCCAGTGCTTCAGCCCATTGACTTCCTTGACTCCAACAACCTCTACCTAAAATTCACTTCCCAATCCCATGGCCATATTTAGAAACTCTCATCATCTAGAGGCATACCACTTTAGAAACTTTACACTTCAATATCCCAAATTTTTATCAAGATTTTTCTCCTTTCCTTTGTTATCTTGTCTTCTACAAACTTTTATTGAGCACTTACTTCCTGTTGGGTCTACCAAAATGAATGAGACAAATTTCTGTTCTCTGTTCTCATAAATCTCCAAGTGTGGTGAAAGGGACAGATAGGCAAGCATACAATAATAAAATCATGGTTATCACAGATTATTGTACAGAGCACAGGATGGATATCTAACCGAGCCTATGGATCAGGCTTCCTGGAGAAGCTACTGCCTTAGGTAATTTAGAAATAATAAGTAGAATTTAGCCACATAGAGAAGGCAGAGAGGACAGCAATCCCAGGGTCTAGAGGAAGCCTGACTTGTTAAGTCCAATTAGAGAGAGTGTAAGAGGACACAGAAGAAAGCCTCATCACAGAAAGCTTTGTAAGAGCATTTGTCAGATTTCCAAGTAAAGATCATCTGAACCATGGAAATAAGTGGAAAGATTCAAGAAATATGAAGGAGGTAGGATTGAAAAGACATGGTGACTGGATATTGGTGAAGGAGAATGAGATGTCAACAAGATTTCTGGCTTACATGACTGGCTGGATGGTGAAACTAAGAGGACAGACAGGAGCAGATTTTGGCCGCGGGGAGATGATGAGCTCAGGGTTGGGTCTGAGGTACCAACAGGACAACAAGGTGGAGACGTACAGTAGACAGCTGGATAGACAGATCTGGTGCTTAGAAAAGAAGTGAGATTGGACACAGAGATTTAGCAAAGCAGAGATGAGGCCATGAGAGTGGATGGGATTGTTCAGGGAGCATATGTAGAATGAGAAGATATTAAGAACAGAACACTAAAGTTAGATCTACAGACATATATTTGAGAGTCAATGAATATTGCTAGGGATTTTATAGTCTCAAGAGATGACAGTAGCTCCTTCCTTCCCTCTTCGCAGCTCCTCACCAGAAGTGGCTAGGTGCAGGTCCTCCAGCAAGAAGAGGAGGGAGGGTTTAGAATCCTGGTGATGCCCAGGCTGTGGGCTGGCTTGTGTTTGGCCCTGGATTCCTCTGCTCAGCAGGAGACGGAGGTGGGAGGAACTGAAGGCAGGGTGGATGGGGCTGTATATGTAAGGGTGATGTGGCTCTACCAGCACCTCCACAAAGGCTGACTTCCCTGTTGCTGCCTCTCCAGCCAGCAACACTGGCTGTCCCCCTGACAGAAGCAGGTCCACCACATACAAGAGCCGTTCAGTCTGCAAGACAGAAGTGGGACTTACTGCAGCACCTCCAGTATAAGACAGTAATCTAGCTGAAAATAAAAGTCTAAGGGACTTGTCCTAGAGCTGTACTTGGAAAATATTTCATGTATTCTTGTGATTGTGAAAATATATCAAAGAAAGGGAGCAAGTGGGCCTCAGCTGATCTTTGAACATGGATTACCCCTAAAATAAGTCCTGAAGTTCTAACCCCAGCTCTTGCCTTACTGTCCTCACACCTGGATAGAAGGGTGAAAGGTGCCCAAAGTTCCTTTGATGTGGCTGCTCAGGTATTGGCCAGTGAAGGGGACCAGTGTTCCATCTTCAGGGCTTACATGTAGATCAAACACCAAGGCTGAGGGTGGTGGCTCAGGGTAGTTGGAGAGGCGACTAATAGAATCCCTTATGAAGGTATCAAAGATGGGCCAGAACCTGCTCAGATGGACACACAGGCAAAAGCGTCAGACAGTTACAACACTTCCATTTATGACACACTCACACACTCCACCATACCCTAACAGTGATGTCATGTGGGTTTTTACTTCCATGGGCCAGTCCATCTCAGCCCTCTGCATCTCCCATCCCCCATCCTGGTAGGTACCTGGAGGGAAGGTGGGCTCCAAAGCCCCAGATCAAGGCAAAAAGAAAACTGCTGACAGCCAGCAAGTGTTCCCTGCACTTATCTGGCACATCGTCACTGTCAACCTGGGACCGGTTTAGAAAGCTGCTTTTTGAAGACCTGAAGCTTTGGGCCACAGGATCACTATAGCTGAGGTCCTCTGTGAAAGTTGCCATGGCCACGAGAGGAGCCCCAGTAGAAAAAGGTGGAAGGTGAAAGAAAGAAAAAAGGTTGACAGTATTACTTTTCACTCCTGGCCCAGATCCACCAAAGAACACACGCCCCAGGCTCCAGCTATATACCCCAGCTACCCTTAAGGCCCCATCTCTCTCAAACCAGCCCGTCCATCTTCCCACCTGGGCCAGGGGCCTTCTCCTCCTTTAGGCGAAGGTGGAGGTCAAGCAGACTATGCAAGATGCGTGCCATGCTGGTAACTTCTGCCACACCTGCACAAACAGCCTGCTGCCCGTGTACCTGCAGCAGAGAGCTGACACCTTGGCAGGTGAGGAATCGCAATGTTGCAGGCACCAGAACCTCAGCCATGTGGTTGAGCTCAGCGACTGTCCGGTGCTGCAGGCGGTACTCATAAGGAAGGGATGCCATCAGGGCACTAAGTATACACTGCCAAGTCTGCTCTCCACCACACCAGACTAGGGCACAACAGCCTACCACTGTGGGGGATATGCCTGTTGTGTCAGCCACCTCCATCAAGAGAAAGGTGCCTGGGGGTCGTGCTATCTGCTGTCCACTGGGGAGACTAAGCTGGGGAAGCTCACTCAGGAGGCAAGTGATGGAGTCCAGCCAAGCACCATTGGAGGCTCCATCACATATTATCCAGTGCTGGATCCCGATTGATTCCTCTGTCTGCCTCTTTTGGCCCATGTTGTTACACTGACCGGCTGCACGAAGTACCTTGGGAAAGATGCCATGATGCCAGCAGGAGCCCTCTAGCCATCCCAGGAACTCCTGGGGGCTGAGGCCACTGGGGTACAGGTGGGTAATTTCCACAGGCTGGCAGCCTTGGGTTGAGGTGTCCTCCATGGCTGCCAGCCGATTCTGGATCTTAAATAAGCTGTGCCAACAAGTGGTCTTGCCGCTGCCCGCAGGGCCCAGGAGCAGAATGCCTGAGGCCCGGCTCAGGGCCTGGCTCAACTGTTCCAAGGACCCCAAAATGTCAGGGCTGGGATCCAGACCTACCTGTTGCAGTTCCTCCACCACCAATGGCTTCATCAGCTTGTAAGTCATAGGTTCTGCCAGCACTTGGCTGGCGCTAGGGAAAAGCGCACACAACAGCCCTCGGAGGTTGTGCAGGTGGAGCCCATTGAGAATGCTAAACAGTGGTGAGCGCAGTAGGGCAGCCTCCTCAATGGCAGCTAGGCTGCGAGGCTTCTGGCACTTCGGTTCCTCCTTGGTCACATTTAGTGTCCGTATTGTGTCTTCCAGTATCTGCTTGAGCAGTGGCAGGCGGCAGGGCAGGGGCCCAGACACCAGCTCACGCTCTAGAGAGAAGAATTTGGATAGGCGGGTAGCCATCTGGAAGGCATCCCTCATCCCTGCACCCAGCAGAGTCAGCTCTGCCACTTGCCGCAGATCAGGCAATGCCAATGCCACAGGCCGCAGCAGCAGGTGCAGGTTGGCAGGCACAGCAGAGCTCAGGGCACGCAGTACCAGGAGACAGCCATAGCCAAGGCGCACAGACACGTGATGTTTTTCAAAGAAGCTACTGCCAAGGAGCTGGGGCTGGGTGGGGTCTATGGTGCTTGTGTTTCGGGAAGCCTCCTGGTACAGTGGGGCATACAAGTGGTGCAGTTCACCCAGGCGCTGGCCCAGGGCAGAGAGCAAGCCAGGGGGCAGCTGATGAACTTTCTCCAACAGCAGCCAGGCACCACCCTGCAGGGCACCATTCAGATAGTTGCTCAGGCATTGAGCCTCTATCTGAGGTGAGCAGGGTAGCATCACCAGCTGGCGGCCCAGGGCCTGTGCCAGGCTGTTCACTATAGCTCTCTTGCCCACACCATTAGGACCCAGTACGGTCCCACAGGCCACCTCCTCTAGGGCCAATAATAGTACCAGGGCTGGCCGTTCAGGCAGTAGGCTGGGTAGAGGCCCTAGTCTAGGTCCCAGATACTCGTAATTGTACAGGAAGGACCTGCCTAGCACATCTATCCAGCATGCCGCTGGTGACAGAGAGGGTTCAGAAGATGCAATAGTCTTAAGACTCTGTAGGGGGCTTTTGGGGATTATGTGAGGTGAACCCAAGTGATACTTGAGTTGGCGGACCCAGTGAAAGTCTGTGAGATCACTGACCTGGTGCTGTTCCAGCAGCTGTGCTATATCCCGGTGAGTCACTGCCATGACCAGCAGGGCACTGAGAAGGCTGGTCTGGCGGACAGAAGGCAGGGACTGCCCACCTTGGGAAGCCCTCTGGGCCCGCATAAAATTCACCAGTACCTCAAGCTTGCGCATATGCATGGAGACCATGGCCAGGGTACCCCACTCAAGCAGAGCCTCCTCCATCTCGGCCCGCCATACCACCTCCTCTGCCACCAGCACACACTGCCATGGGAAGGCCTGGACTAAGTCGATCCAGTGCTGGACATACAGTTGCAGGTACAACTTGTTTTGCTTGGGCAGTTGCTTGAGGGCCTCACCTAGAGATGGGCCTCGAGCAAGGCGAGCAGCCACACAGCCCTGCAGCATGTGCACCAGTGCCAAGCGCAGACACTTCTCCAGAGAGGCCAGCCACTTAGGGAGATCTGGATGCAGAGGAAGGGGACCCTGCAGCTTCACCTCCTCCCCACCTGCCCCTAGCACTGCAAGTGCCTCCACCTGAGTCTGTGTGTTTGGGCTTGACTCCCAGTCATCTGTGTTTTTCTCACCAGTTGGGCAAGACCTGAAGCTCACAGCATGCACATGAGGAAAGCAGCGTCGTACCCATAGCTGGGCTTCGCATGATTCCAGTCGAGCAGCCAGCAGGGCTACCAGCTCACTGTCACTAAGGAAGAAGAGGCGGGGGAAGTGAGCACACACCCCATAGAGCACGCTCTCCAGACTCATGATGATGCCCTCCAGCTCCACCGATCCTGCTTGCAGCAGTTGTTGCAGCTGCTGGCCTTGGAAGTAAGGGCTCCTCTCGGCACTGGGCACTACAAGTGACAGAACCATGGGGTCAGCTACAGAGATGCGCATCAGGGTTCGATACTGGTCATCCATGACCTTGAAACGAGAGTTCTGTGGTGAGGGAGAGGATAAAAGTGAGGGCCAATATGAAGTGGCAGCTCCCCTTTCCCACGCTGAGCCCTGCTATTCAGGAACCCTTCTTGCCCTCTCTGCCTCAACCCCCTTCCCTACCAGGTCAGCATTAGGAAACTGGATCTTCATCTCATGCAGAACTTTATTCAGAAAAATCCACTTCTGCTGGAAAGTCAGCCACACCTCCAGCAGGGCACCTGTGTAAGCAGCCAGAGGAATGCTGGTGGGAAACACTAGGGTTCTACCTTCTGCAGGGGAGTCCACCCTGCTCCTGACCTCTCAGGTACCCCACCAGCCCAAGCAAAATACTCTGCCCAGCAGGACTCAGGGAACTTGCTTGAGGGAGAAAAAACTTTCACTGTGAATAAAAACCTGATCTCTTCATCCCAAGAAACAGCCCTGAAGGAGGTCCTCACTGTGTTCTTCATATCTTCTCCCACCCAACCTCCACCTCTCACCCCCATCCCTCTGGGACATCCTGCCTCAGGTCTCACCCATCAGCCTGGCTAGAGGCCTGCACTTACCCAGGCCATGCATGATGGCCACCCACTCCAAAGCTATTTTGTTTAAATCTCCTGACTTTTCGATGGCCAAGATCTTGGACAACACCTGAAGACTTTCCTGGATGGAATCCTGCAGGTTGCTGTAATCTAAGACAGAAAAAGCTGAACTGGCAGTCAGATGAGGCAAGGGCCGGGGCTGGGGGAGAGAAGAGGAGACCAGGGGAACCTTCCAGGAGAGGCAGTTACAGAGACCCTGATGCCCTTTCTGTCTTTTTCTTTCCCTTTTTTTTTTTTTTTTTTTTTTTTTTTGAGACAGAGTCTCGCTTTGTTGCCCAGGCTAGAGTGCAATGGCACGATCTCAGCTCACTGTACTATGCTTCCTGGGTTCAAGCAATTCACCTGCCTCAGCCTCCTGAGTAGCTGGGATTACAGGTGTGTGCCACCATGTCCGGCTAATTTTTTGTATGTTTAGTAGAGACGGGGTTTCACCATGTTCATCAGGCTGGTCTCGAACTCCCAACCTCAGGTGATCCACCCACCTCAGCCTCCCAAAGTGCTAGGATTACAGGTGTAAGCCACCATGCCCAGCTGCCCTTTCTGCCTTTAAGGATTCCATCAGCCAATATGTAGAGCCAGTAAAGCACTGGGGTCTCAAAATGGTGAGAGAAGAAGCTCCTCCTTTCCCAAGGCACTGTGGGCAGACTCCAGGCCAGCTAATTTCCCTGACTAGCTGCTATGAGTATCCACGTAACTCCATGGAAGTGCTTTGTAAGAACTAGAGCCTCTAGCCCGGGAAGAGGGCTGAATGGCTCCAGGACCCTACGTAATATTTCTATAGCAAGAATGCCCATTCTGTCTTAAAACGGGTCTTGGTAGAGAAGCTGAGAACAAACTTTTCTCTCATAGTCTTAGTGCTTGGCTCCCTGGTGCTGCTTAAAGAGTTATCCCTTCATGCCACAAGTGCTTGGTAAGACTAGGGCTGGAAATGAGGTAGGGACACTAATTGGGGTAAAAATGAGAAGAATCAAGAAAGGAGGTTTATTCAGACACATGTAGGACTCTCCAAACATCCCTGGTGGGAAGAAAACTCATTATCCTGCTCTCAGAGTCACACAACTTCTACTCCACTCTCTAGAGAAAACAGCACTGGACTAATGCTTTCAGCCCCTCTGTCTATCTTCTTCCCTTACTCTTCCCCATGTGAGGAGGCAAAGAGGCCCATCTTTTATGCTCTATGGGATATGAGGCAGGCCACAGTCCTCTACACAGCTACCTGTGTAACTGTACTTCAGCTTTTCTCTGCATATCCACACAGACCTCAAGTTCTCAATTAATTGGGGGAAGATTATGACGAGGTAGCACGAAGTCTCACTTGACCTAGATCCAAGCTGTGTCTGCCAACATGATACATAAAAAGCACAAACTTCCTTGGGGGTGATGGTTCTGATAGTATACTTTCATTTTCATATATATCCTTGTCCTCATTTGGTTAAGAATCTAAAGGGGAGATTAATAATTTGTAGGTGTGCCCAATCCTGTAACAACCTGTCTTCTTGAGGTAAGAATTAAATATATAACAAGTCCATCATTTGGGGTTTATTTGGGTGAACGAAGTCACCAGCTTCATGGTGTGTGGCCACTACAAAGATGTGGTCCTTGGTTAACATGCCCGGAGTTAACAGGAAAAGAAAGCCTGGTACAGAGAAAGGAGAGAACCCATAGGGAGAAACCTCAACCACACAAGTGCTTGGTGCAAATGCTAGCTTAGAGAGAGAAGGGAAAACTGAAAAGGAGCAAAGGTGGAGGAAGGGCTGTGAGCTCAGGAAAGACTGGTAGGACCCAGGCTGGTATCTGAAATTATGCCCACAGGCATCCCAAGGCCCACATTATCCAGAGCCTTTACTTTGTATTACGAATTTTTATTTATTACTTTTAGTAGCAGAGAAATCTAAGGATGAGGCAGAAAAGTGGTAGAGATCAAGTAGGAGCAGACTGGCAAAGTGTGGAACCAGGGTCAGAGATGGGCAAATGGATTAGCATAAAATGTGCTCAGGACAAAAGTGGGAAGACAATCTCCTTTCAATCTTGGTGCAAATGTTAACTGCAGACATCCAGCCTTTGTGTCAGTCCACACCAAAACTTAAGAGTCCTTAATAAGGGCGATGTGAACAAGGGGGCTGGGTGCCATTTATCAATGTGCTGCAAATGGCTGGAAAAGGCACCCCTCACCAAATACTGGATATAAAGAGGTGATAAGGATAAAGAATTTGGGTAATAAGGAACATCTATATTAGAATGGAAAGGACCTACATTCTCCTCTATGCAGAAGTTGAACCAGTTACACATCTTGCCTAGCTGACTTCTGCCTAGCTTGAGTGCACCCACTTTCCTTTCCCCATTGCCACTGTCCTCATCTAGACCACTATTATTTTTCACTTGGGTTATACCAGTCATCCCTTAACTGATCTTTCAATTTCCATTCCTTGCCTCCCTTCAATCCATTCTCCACATTGAAACCAGAATGATATTGTTAAACTAAAATCTAATTATGTTACTACCCACAAAAAACATGCAGTGACCCTCTATTGTTTTCATGTTATTGAGTAAATTATTAATGTGGCCCACAAGACTTTGCATGATCTGATCCTCTCCAGTTCCATCTGCTCCATCCCCTCCTCCACTATTCTTTGGGATCCAGCCACAGAGCGATAGAAGCTCTTTTATTCATGCTCCCCATTCTTACCATCAAATGTACGGACTAAAGCCCTAACTGAACTGAAACTCGCAGATTTCAAGCTATTCTTTACAAGACCCAAACATTTTTGCTTCCACTAGTTAAAGTGTGTGCGCACTAAGAATAAGAGTGTGTTTGCAAATCTATTTATGTGAGTTATGTTGTGATTTTAAGTAAAGAGTTGAATCTAATATTGTAACAACCACTGACACATTGGTGGGGGGAAAGTTGCTGTTTCTATGGAAACCACAGAAAGCTTCAGTAAAGGCAAACTGATTAAACATATGCTATTAGGTATAGGCAAGTCAATTTTTATAAATTGGGAACTTATAATAAAAACCTGGAAAAGTCACATAGAGACAGTGTCTTCTATGTAACTCCCATACTGTCTTAATCTCCTTGGAAGTCCTCTCCCCACCTCCCTCTCTCCACACAGTGCCCAGCTTCTGCAGCTAAGGCCCTTCCCTTCATAAGGACTTTAAAAGTGTCTTCATGTTGCTGCCCAACTTTGCAGAAAGTGAAAGCAGAAATAGTAGACAATACATTAATGCAAGAAAGGCAGTGAGGAACTATCAAATCAAACAAAAGCTCTTGTCATTAGGTTAAAACGTTAGTAAATAAATGTACATGTATGTATTTTAAGCTAAAATAAAAATCTTAAACTATGTATGCATCATTAGTTTTTTGGATTCACCAACTGGGTTCTAGTTGCGTTGAATAAGAAAATTCTCCTCTATTGGCAATGCCCTAGCTATATCATCTTGGATGCTTATGTAAATGCTGTTCCCTTTGTCTGGTCTGCCCTTCTCACCTGGCAAGTTTGGCAAACTCTTACTCCTTCAAAAAGTCAGTATAAGGCCTCTGCCTAAAGAAGACTTCTCTAATTCTCTCTCTGGTTCTTTGAGCTGGTCCTCTCTCTGAGATTCTACTGCCCTCAGTAAGGTGCTCCATTGTGTTTATCCCTATAGTATTGTCTGTCTCTCCTCACTGGACTCAGAAATTTCTGGGGGACAGGGATACTGTCTGTAAGTCTCAAGGTCTCCTGTGTTTAGCACAGAGGAGGCAGGTTTGATGAGGGAGAGAATAAAGAAATGAATTAATGAATAAGGTATAAAATCAGACAGCAGGGTGCAATCTAGAGGACAGAGCATTGAAAGGTGTAGATAACTGACTATGAGGAATTTCTGAGGGTACCCAGAAAGGGGAGGACCTTTGCTGAAGGACCCAGGCATTGAGTAGAGATGGGTGAGGGGAAGGGGATCCCAAGGAGATTAAGACAGTAGGGGGGCTACATGGAAGACACTGTCTCAGAACAGACTAATGTCTTAGGCTGTCTAGTAAGGATGGGGCCCTGGCTAGAGAATCAGATCTGGCAGGCCTTGATGGATATGGTGGATGAAAATGGCCCCCAGCAGGGGGCTTTCACTAGGTCACAAGGTCTGGGTCTCACCTGAGAGGATGAAGGTGCCACTATCTTTGTCCACTACCTCCCATTGGGGGCTGCGGAGCACCTGCCTCTTGGAGCGCTCTGAGGCTGGGGGCTCGTAGGGTACATGCAGGATGAAGTTGAGCAGGCGCAGCTGGCGCGCTTCCCAGTACCGCTGCAACCGCCGTATAGTCTCTTGGGCATGAATTCGTTCATTTTCATTCTGCCAGACCTGGAACAGCTGGGTCTCAGGAACCAGGACTGGGTAACTGCTTCGGGGACAGGCTTGGAGCCGAGACTTGGGGATTGGATCTGAGGCAGAACTCAAGGGCCAGGGCTCAGGAAAGTGGAGGTCTCAGAGATGAAGCGAGAGTGGGACCATCAGGCTTCAAAGATAGGCCATCGGCAGCATCTAACTACCTTGCCCCAGGGCCACTGCTTTGGAACCCCCACCCACTTTTGCAAGGCTCCAACTGAGCAAATACCTCAGTCAGCTCGCACCCTCTGGGGACAAGACAGGTGTTGGGGGGCACCTGCCATTCTGTGTGCCCACAACTTCGGGGCTGCCACCCACTTCCTTCCCCCATCAGGGACATACTCTCAGTCACTGGGAGTCTGGAATCACACAAGAGATCCCCATCTGGAGACTTAAAGAAACTGTTCCTGCCCTTCAGGCAGGTTAGCAGGCTCAACCCCACATTAAATCACATGCCAAACACCCACCACCCTTGACTGGCTTTATTACAGGTCCTGGCTTTGGACCACCTCCCTCGCCCCTGTACTGAGGGCCCCACCTGGTTGATTCGATCTGCAAACTCCAGCAGTGGATAAGTAAGCAGCTGGCCCAGCGTTAGGAGTTCTATAGTTTGGAGACTGCCCAGCCCAAGGGCTGGAGGTAGAGAAAACAAGTCAGAGCAACACCCAGTATGTGGCAGAGTCCAACCCATATCCCATATCCCAGAGCCCAGCCCAGCCCAGCCCAGCTCAGACCCCAGATAGCAGATCTCAGAGCACAACACAGAGCCAACAGCTTAGAACTCAAGGTCTAGAGCACAACTCAGAGCCCAGAGCTAAGGCCCCAGCCCAAGCCCAGCCACCATCAGCAGAGAGGAGGTAGTAAGGGAAGTTAAAAATTTTTGTCCCAGTTAAGGAAAAGAAATTGAAATATGTGGGAAAGGTAGGGAGAAACTTGGGGATGAAAGGTGTTTCCAGCAGGAGCAGCAGGAAACTGAGTTGCTGCATCGCTCTAACCTCACATATTTCCCTTTCCCCCTCCTCTGACATTAACCAAACATACCACGCAGGAGACACTGGCAGTTGAGGCTCTGTGGGTGGAGGCTGCCCAGCTTAGTGAGCAGGGGCAGGTAGCTGCGAAACTCCCCCAGGATGCGCATGCAGTGCTGCAGCACGGGGCTGTGCAGCTCCAGGGTTGTGCTCATCCGTGCTGCCTCTGTCAGCCAGCCCTCTGTCTTCTCCTGGGCCATAGCTGGGCTGAACTGCAGGGAGAAGGGCTCACTGTCAGCTTGAGACTCTTCCCCTCCCCCACCACTGTAGTCCTCCACTCCCAGTCAAGAGCTCCAAGGAAGGGTGTCAGCACCTTGGCAAAAGCCATGCACTTCCACTCGCTGATGTTTTCGGAGATGACTCGGTACAGGTGCCATATGCGCTGCTGCTGCACAATAGGACGTGTCCCACAGATTGGCAAGGGCACAGGAGTCTCATCCTCTGTGGGGGAGGGCTGACTTGAGACCTGGGCTACTTGCAGTGTTGGGAGGGGGGTGGTGGAATGATCAGTCAAGAGCCCATAATGACAGAAGGTAGGGTCCAGAAAGTGATGGTTGGGGGTGGGGGAGGTGGAGTTCCAAATTGTTTGGCTCAACAATGGAGGTGGGGTTAATCCAAGGAACAGTTACTCCAGGGAAAGACCATCTGGGAAAATGTGATGGCAGTGAAAGGGAAGAGTTCCTCTTTAATTAGTCTCCATCTCATTCACTCCATTCTAGTGACACTGGACGCTTTACTATGGCTGAGATGCACCAGATATGCACCCTCCTGCTAAGGGCCTTTGACTAGCAGTCTATTCTTTCTGGAACACTCTTCCTTCAGAGAATCACATGGCTCATGCCCTCACCAGCTTCAAGTCCTTGTTCAAACAAACAGCATCTTCTTTTTTTTTTGAGACAGAGTCTTGCACTGTTACCTGGGCTGGTGTGCAGTGGCGTGATCTCGGCTCACTGCAACCTCTGCCTCCCGGGTTCAAGTGATTCTCCTGCCTCAGCCTCCCAAGTAGCTGGGAATACAGGCGCACACCACCATGTCAGGCTAATTTTTGTATTTTTAGTAGAGACAGGGTTTCACTATGTTGGCCAGGCTTGTCTCGAACTCCTGACCTCGTGATCCGCCCGCCTCGGCCTCCCAAAGTGCTGGGATTATAGGCATGAGCCATTGCGCCTAGCCAGACAGCACCTTCTTAATGAGGCCTATGCAGGCTATCTGGTTAAAAATTCCTAGCTACCCTTCCCGGCATTTTCAACCCCTCTTACTCTGTTCTATTTTTTTTTTTTCTCTATCACTTATCACTTTCTTATATACTACAGAATTTGGTTATCATCATTGTTTATTGTCTTTCTCTCCCAACTAGAAGTTTGGGTCCATTAAGAAAAGCATTTTATCATTTGTTCACTGATGTACCTCAAGCCTAGTGTACACAGCAGTCTCTCAACAAATATGTGTTGAATGAATGAATGAATGAATGAGCGAATGAACTGTCAGCCCAAAAGAAAGTTCAGCAAGATGAATATAAAAAAGATCTGGCCCACATAGAGGACCTGTCATGTTTACCTCCGGCCATTATCCTCCACCCCTTCATCTCACAGGGTACTACATTAGTTCTTAATCAGTTACTTATAGTCAGTTGTGAGATAAGTGTCAATAGGAATTTATAATTAACAATAATTATAATATCGAGGTTTGCAATTTACTTAAAAGACAACAGATATCTCATTAACTTGAACTCCAGTTTACTTTCTTGAGTGGGACAAAAAGTGATAGAGTCACACCCAAATGCTGGGCCTCATGCATCTTACACATGTGCACATCATCCATTTTGGAGATCTCAGAGTATTAAAAAGCTGGAATCACTAGGCTATCAAAGCTCTGATCTGACAAAAAGTAAAATGACAGTAAATCTAAACTCTTCCAGTCTTTGTCTAAACTCAAAGATATGGCTAGAGTCCCATACAATCTTTGACAGCAGTTGTTTCAACATCAAATATTAGACAAATAAACAACTTCATCTGTAAGAAAGAGCAGAGATATCATCTCCAAACACATGAAAAGATAAAGACAAACTGGGGATTAAGAGCAAATGTCCTTTGACAGACATTTTGTGATATCTACTTGATAATTTCCATGCATTTTAAAACTTTTTATCTGAAAATGAGTTCCAATCTTCAAAGTTGTAGGAAAAAGTAGTAAAAAAAAATTGTGTACCTTCTATCTTCCATAGGTATAGATATATATCTATACTGTTTATCTTTGCCTTTTGTTGACATTTTACCCATTTGCTTTATCATTTGCATTCACATGCTCTGTGCATGGGCATGTGTATGCACATATACACACACACAATTTTTTTTTCTGAACTATTTAAGGGCAAGTTACATAAATACTCAAGTATGCATTTCCTAAGAGTAGGGATATTCTTTTATATAACCACAGTGCAATTCCAAATTTCATATATTATATTGATACAATATTTTAATCTACTGTCCATATTTCAGTTTTGTCAGTTGACCTAATAATGTCCTAGATTGCATTTTTTGCCTCAATTATAGCATCTGGTCCAGGGTCAAGCACTGCATTTGTCATGTCTCTTAGTTTCTTTTAATCTGGAACATTTCCATAGCCTTTCTTTCTTTTGTAACAGACATCTTTGAAGTATACAGTCCCCTTTTGCCATTTTTTTTGTTCATAGAAAGTTCCTCATGTTGTGTTTTTATGGTTTTTAAAAATGATACTCATTCTCAGCTGGACTACTACATAAGTGATATTGTATCCTTCCTTCTCCAGTATCACATCTGAAGGCAGATCATGTCCCTATGTCCTTCATTGGTGATGTTAATTTTTAATCACCTGGTCAAATTATTGTCTGATTTCTCCACTAATTGTTGTTTCTTTTTCTTTCTTTCTTTTTTTTTACAACAAATAAGTGATCTCTGGGAGAAACTCTCAAAGACAGTGCAAATATTCTGCTCCTCATCAAATTTGCCCTAGATTTGGCATCTGTTGATCCTTATCTGATCTGGTAATTACCATGATGGTTGCAAAATAATAATTTTCCCACTCCAGCCTTCCTTCCACATTTATGCCAGTCAGCTCCTGGCATTTTACTGTAAGCATGAGTCCTCATTTCTCTCTCATTATCTATTTATTATTACTACGCATAATAAATGCCTTTACTTCAATAGCTTAGAATTTATTATTGTACTTACTTTGGTGATCAAATTGTTCCAGATTTAGCCAGTTGGTATCCCTTCTGAATCCTTGTGATATGCTCCCATCACTTTTTTAAACACTTTAATACTTTCTTACTTTCTGGTATAAAATGACACTTTAGGTTCATCTTGTACCTACCCTGCCACAGCCCTGGAATCATCCATTTCTCTAAGGAGCTCTGGTTCCTTTTAATGGGGAATGGTGTTTGTTAGAAACTAAGACCTGAGCACAATGTGGCTTCTTGCTACTGGGGTTTCTTTGCTTCATGTCCTCTTCAGCAGATAGAGATAGCAAATGTGTGCACATGTATATACACATAAACACACAGTTACATGCGTATACATGTGTACATAAGCATGCATACACATGCAAAATGTGTGTTTTAAAATGCAATAGAAATACAAAGTGATACCATAGGAAATGGAAGCTTATAAAACAAGCTCACAACATTTTTCCAGAACTCAGAGAAAAAGAATAAAGGAATGACTGATGATAAAGAAGATAAAAGCAATGAGTGAGAGAGATTCAGTAAATCCAACATACATATAAGAATTCTGGAAGGAAGGCCAGGCGCAGTGGCTTACACCTGTAATCCCAGTGCTTTGGGAGGCTGTGGCAGAAGGACTGCCTGAGTCCAGGAGTTCAAGACCAGCCTGAGCAACAAAGTGAGTCCTCATCTCTACAAAAAATACAAAAATTAGCCAGGCATGGTGGCACACACCTGTAGTCCCAGCTACTCAGGAGGCTGAGATGGGAGGATTGCTTGAGCCTGGGAGGCTGAGGCTGCAGTGAGCTGTGATCATGACACTGCACTCTAGCCTGAGATCCTGTCTCCATTGTTTGGTAATGGCTCTTATATTTGCTCTGGTCTCCTTCCAGAGCCCACAGAGTTCTTTAAGAACAGAAGGGAACCAGCTTACCTGCACCACTGTATGAAAGAATTGAGACCAATAGTTCTGTCCTGGCCTCCTCCTGTGTATTAGTGAGGCCCTCAGTAGCCTCCTCTCTATACCACACTGGCTGGAGGAAGTGATCTGCTAGAGCATCAAGACCTACTCTTGTTCGGGGCCTGCTGCCTGGTGTAGGACTGTGTTGAACAGGGCTACAAAAAGGCTACGTTCTATAAGGAGAACTTACATTTCTCCCACACATGCTTTTAGCCCCTGACCCCATCACATTCTGATGGAACATTCACTTGTTTGCCTTCCTTACCAGACTGTGAGCCCCCATACCCCCACCCTAAGCACAACACCTGCCATGGTCAATATATGATGTTTTTGTCCTGAAATTTTCATTTATAAAAGACACCAGTGAAGGTGTGTGATTCCCAAGGCTTGCTTGGGGTCATACAGGACACAGAACCCTGAGTTCCAACTCTTACTTCAGTTGAAGGGTCTATCACAGAGTGATAATGGAGGGTGCAGGGATCCTCAGTACCAGTGAAGATGGCATAGGCGTGGTGCAGTTCACTGAGGTCGCTGACTGTGTTCTGGAACTGACGCTCTAGGGAGACGAGCTGGTGCTCAGTACTCCTCTGATCTTGTGTGGGGTCCATAAAGGGACCGGAGAGGGCCTTCGCAAGCAGGCCTTCCAGCTCTGCCAATGCTGCTGCCATCAGCTGCTGCAGCTTGGGCATAATGGCATGTCGCTTGCTGAGCAGGAACTCTGAAGCCTGGCTTTTCTCAAACTGAAATGCCTCCCACATATCCAGAAGCTGTGGGGCAAGCAGAGGGCAGTGGAGTAGATGTGGTTGTGGGGGAGGAGGGCAGGGAGGGATGGGTGACTCCCCGAATTGCCTTCTCACCGAGATGTCCAGTGCTTCATTCTCAGCACTAAAGAGGCTAAAGTGGTTGCGGATGAGTTCGTGGAGTGCCCGTACGTATTCCATTCGCTCCTCCAGCTCGACGTACTGTTCATTGGCTTCATTCAACTGCAGGAATTACAGCATGAGACCGGCAGCCCCACAACCCCATGTACCTCTTTGGTCCCATCCCCAAGGGGAACTCCCACCTTTTGGAGTGAAGTCTCCAGACCCAGTTGCAGCCTTGTAATCAACTGGAATCAGGGGCAATCTCTCCTGAGGGATCTCTCCAGAGGGATCAAATCTCTCTCTGACCCAGATCTCTCTGGTGAAGGGTCCACTTCTCACCCACCACCCCATTACCTTGATGACAAGGCAACAATTTTCTATCTGACTGTCACAGAGAGCACAACTCTCTCATCACACCAGGGCCTCCCTGTGACATGAGGAACCTGAGGGCCACATGGACAGGGTAAGAATTAGCAAGGGTAGATCTCTTAGGCGAGCACAGTTTAAGAGCATCAAGCTCTGCTGGGGGCTCAGCAGAGACCTGAAGAGAGTGTGCTGAGCTTTTGAGCAGGATGGGCCCTGAATAAACTGGGAAGGATGGATGGGGAGAGCCCACCTTCTGGGTGCACTGTGCAATGGCATGAATATCTGAGTTGATGGTTCGGAAGATATGCATGAAATCTGTGAGCTCTGTCATGAGTTGTTGACTGAGGTTCCAGCACTCATTTTGCACGTGTGCAAGAATGTCCTTCCTTATGCTGTTCAGCTTGGATTCTGGAGACAGGAGAGTAAGGTGTGAGGGGACGCATAAAAAAGAAGGGGTGCTGGGGACAGTGCTGTGGTCCAGAGTGGGAGTAGGCTGAATGGCAGGTCAGACCATGAATTATCTCATTTAATGCTTGTTGAATCCCTGCTCAATGTCCAGTCAGCTGCTATGCACTGGGGACTGTGCTCTATACTGGTAGACGAGAGCAAATGAATGAGACAGAAAGTTTCCCCACCCTGAAAAGCTCACAATATGAGGCAGAGACAGACATACAAATGAGCAATCACAAATCAGTGTGATAAATCCACTGTGAGTGCCTGGAGCCTTCAGCCAGTATAGCTAAGAGGTGGGGGTGCCGGGGGGTATCCTGAGAAGGCTGGGCAAGGCCCCTTCAGAGAAGGGAACACTGGAGTTGGATGTGTTGAGTATTAATTCTCCAAAAAGATGAAACAGTGTGTGCAACAGTATGGAAATGACATGTTTGTGAATAGCAGAGTATCCTAGCAGACATAAAAGTATTCTGGTTTTGGAGTCTTACTGCCCTTGCTCTAGAAGAAGGGGACCAAGAAGGTAGTATGATCTGCCTTTTGTTTTTAAGGATTAAAGTAAAGAAAGTCTCAGGTGGATAAGGGGCTAGAAAGTAATCCTGGAAGCTGCCCTTGGCAGTATGAACAACTTTATTATCTCAGAGGGCAGGGATAACACCCATATGATACCTCATAAAATCTAAGATCCCGTTGTAAGAAGCACCATTATTTTATATACCACTAACAAAGAAAAAAAACTGATGCCATCTAAACTCTAACACATCTTCAATCATGAGACACCTTTAAAGTTCAGAGATGTTAAAATATGCACAGAATAGGAAAAATACAATATAGAAATATGGTACACCAAATAGAGTATAGAGTGCTTTCTACATACCAGACACTATTTCAAGTACTTTAATTATATTTTATCCTCACAAATTCCCTTTGAAGTAAATACTATTATTTTACAGATAAGCAAACTGAAGCTCAGAGAGGTTATGTCACTTGATCAACATCACACAGTGGCAGAGCAAGGATTCAGACTCAGGCAGCATGGCTCCACTTCATTATATTTTAAATATAAACATGTTTATGTTATAAATATAAATGTAAACATAAAAATATATGTTTATAAAAAGTATTTAAAAATATTTTTTATGTTATGTGCAAAGTAAACTGACCGATCCTCTATTAGCATCTCTGCAACTAGTAAGTAAAATAGTGAGTTTGGGGGACAGATAATTGAGACATACTGGGTATGTCACTTTCAGAGACTTGGAGGAAGTAACCAAGATGACTGGGTACTAAGACCTGATAATAAGAAAACCTGCTGAGAGGAAGCCTATTGAGGGACAACCTATATCAAACAGAACATGAAGATCTAAACTCATCCTTTTTCACACTGTCCCTTTGGAACATAACAGTAACTAGGCCATTGCAATGCTGCCACATTTGTTTGCTTGTTTGTTTGTTTGTTTGTTTATGGTGCTGCTTTTGGACCAGTAGCAACAGGCAGATGAAGGCAGATGGGAGCTCAACAGTGACACCGTATGGTATAAAGGAGCAATGCATTGATAAAATACCAGGACTCCTTGGGATTAGAAGCTGGAGATGGATAAAAACAGATTTAAGAGATACTTAGGGGGCAGAAGAATGACAAGGATTTGGAGACAGGTTGGATGTAGTAAGGTCAAGGAGAGGGAGGAGTAAAGGGTGACCCCAAGTTTCTGGTGAAGCTAATTCGTCAGAGTGTATAATTACGCCATTTGTTGTTCAAGGGAGTTCAGGAAGAAGAGAAACGACAGAGTTAAGTCAGAGGGTTAGATAAAATTAGATCAGCAAGAAGGATGAGAGTAGATACAAGGGGATAAGGTGAAATGAAAAAAATATTAAGCACCTACTGCATGCCACACTCAATGCTAAGAGTATTGCAAATAATATCTTAGTCATCCTTACTATAACCCTGTGAGTGACTGTGTTATCATGCCCAGCTTACAAATAAAGAAACTAAAACACAGTAATCTGAAGTTACAAAGCAAGTGAAAAACAGACAGGGTTCTAAATCCAGTGCTCATTTCTCTCCACCTGCTCCTCTTAAAGAGACTAGTTGGTCCTGGATTGAGGATCAGGAAGCTAACAAACTAGAACAACAATAAGCTTTCTCAGCAGCAGTGAAGTAAAGCCTGACCAAAACACGGCCAGAGAGAAGACAAAACAATCAAACGTCCTCCCGGTTCCTGCCTTGCCCGCCTGAACCCCCTGTACAAGAGGAGGGAGTTTTAGTGGCCCACTGGATACCTAATGATACATGTGCTTTCATCTGTTGAGAGCCAAGACAGGGAAGGCGAAGCAAGCAGGGCATACAAGCAAACTCTTTCCAGGCCCCAGTGGCTTCTAACCTTCATAAAGAAAGCAGGCCTGGGAAGCCACGGGTCCAACAGGATCTAGTCTTCACAGGAAGTAGATACTATTGGCTATTGCCATCCTTGAGGCTAGGTGAGGAAAGAGAACAACCTCCATATTTCCTAAAAGAACAAATCACTGGCTTCCAAATCTACCCCGCTGTGAGCCTCTCTGTGGCGAACTCCTAGGCTGAGGCACTAGCTAGTACACAATAGCATGAGATATCCTTCCCATGGGAAGGAAGAAAGAAAAGAGGGTAAAAGACTAGGTCATAAGCCAGATTTCTCAGAGACCCAGGGATAGCAACAATTGGGCGTTCAATTAGCAGGGGTAGAAGTGGCAAGAGGAGGGAACCTGAGATGGGTTGAGGAGAAAATAGGTAGTAGAATGGTCTTGAGCCCCACTTTCCACATAGAACTTTGGGAAAGACCACCTTTTAGGGTGTCCCTTGCTAACATGAAACAGTCACAGCAGAGTAGAAATCATACTGTTATGTGTTGTAGTAAAAAGAGGGGCGGATATAATGCTTACCAGTTTCCCACAACTCCCAAATGGCAGGGGATATAGATGATAGCAGAGAATTGATAGCCAGTGGCCTAGATGAAGTTCCTGTGTTGAGGGGCTAGGGACCCTGAAGCAAAAGCCATGGGGGTAGCCAGCCTAAGACAGAGACTGGATGAAGGATTCACTAAAACCCCAAGGATCAGCTATGCCAGCAAATGTTAAGACAAGGACAGGTCAGCAAAGACAGACACTCCAGGTCCCTATTAGTCCAAGAAAACACATCGCAGCTCTACCAGCCCAGGACACAGCAGCACCAGAAGCAGCAATGTCAGGAGGGCAGAGACCAGGCAAGGATGTATCACACCTCAGAAGCCAGCCCACCGGCCTTCCCCAGTACAGGTGGCACCTTGGGAAGGAAAAGGGAGGAAAAGACATTTGAAAGTAAAAACAACCCAGAACTACAGTATAAATTTTCAATTGCCCAGATATCCCAAATAGACTGAATCAGACCAAAAGTGACTGCTTTAAATGAAAGGAGCTTTCTTTAATTGGAAAGGTTACATTCTTTCACTACCAGTAGAAGTTAGGACTACAGAGTAAGACAAGCTCAGTTAGAGAGTAGCTTTTTACATATGCAAATCGTAGTATAAATTTCACTCAGCTACATGCAGAGAGAAAGCACCCTAGATTCCCAAGAATCTCTGTAAAGACACTGAGCTTAGTAGCCCAAGCACAGGAACATGATTCCTAAGGAATACAGGGTATGAGCAGAGCCAAAACAGAGAGGCCGGCCTTTGCAGTGAGCATAGCTTTGATGGCAAAGGAAAGGGCCTGGGACCTCGGGCTTTGGAAGGCTTCATAGGTCCAATAAGAGGCCTGCACCGAAGGTCTCCGGAGGACATTCCAGGACCAAGGCAGGCCATGTGAATAGACATACAGAAAAGGGAAGGAGGAGAGGGAAGAGAAGCAGTACTCACCCATCTCTGCCTGTACATCATGGCAGCTAAGTAGCAGCAACCCGCCTTTTGTGAGCAACTCGATAGGCATACTGGAGACACGGGCCTGCCAAACATTCAGGCGGCTCACCAGCGTCACGTAGTTCTTGATGGGACCACCTCTCATGTCTTCCAGCTTCTGAGGCCCCCAGGATTGCAGGAATTCATAAATGCCTGTTATCCAATGATGTTCCCTGCAGAATTCCTGCACCTTGCACAGCACGCCCTAAGGGCAGACAAGGTGTTTAGGGCAGAGGCATGCGGCTATAATGGGAATTGGTGGGCAGCGCCCTATCCCTTAAACCACTGTTCTCACCTCCAGCAGCACCTGTTGTATATTCAGTGCCTGCTGGATCTTAGGGTTGTTGTCCAGGTCTTCCTCCAGCTGCTTATAATTGTGGGGGAAGTATTGGCCCCGCAGCCGACATCCACGGACCTCCAAGATACCAGCAATTGGGTGAGACTTCCAGGGCCACACCAATCCCACATTCGGGCCACAGAAGATGCTCACAGCATCGCTGGGCTGGCCCTGGAACTTGGGCATCAGAAATTCGTCTTTTGAGTCCTCCTCTTCATCTTCTTCTAGTGGAGCACAGGCCATAATTGTCCGTGAGTACCCTCCAGAGCCCACAAACAATCTTCCTTTCTCCTTGCCCTCAGTGTGTGTACACACACACACACACACACACACACACACACCCATTCGCTGCTCATGAGTGAGTTAACACATACATCTATATCACAAACGTAAAATACTAGACCCATGGAGGGGATTTATTAGTTAGGGTTCATGTGCAAATAACATAATTTACTCTAGCTAGTCTAAGCAGGGAGGGACTTATTACAGAATATTAAATGGGTTGCAGAATAATAGGAGAGCTAAAATACAAAACCACTCAAGGTTGAGCATCTAGGGCTGTGTTCTGCCTGGCAAAATGGGATATCACTGTCACACCATCAACTACAGAACACACTGCCTCTGCTATGATCCACAGAACGGATGGCATACGCCCTGACTCTTTCCCCCTCTTAATTCAATTCTGAATCAAAGTCTTTTGTAGATCTAACTGGTGGATCCTAAATTGTATATGACACCTAGCTGCAGGCGAGTCTGGGAAGTGTAGTTTGTAGTCTCTGGCATCTGCAGAACAGAGGAGTTGCTGGGAATGAATATTGAACATGCCAGTCCTCAGTTATCTGTCTTAGAGAATATTCTTGAACCTAGCCACTCATTAACTCTTTAGGAACTGGTTAATTGACAAGTTTAGTATTTGTGTTAAAACTTCGCACAAAATAAAGGAAAGAATTAAAATGTTCAGAATAAGAGCCATACTATCCACACCCAAACCCTGTAGTACTCCTAGCTGATCTCTTCTCTTCTCCAACTGTACTCACTCTCTAGGAAATCTCATCCAGCTTTATGGCTGTAAGTACCATATATTTGCTCCCAGATTTATCTGTAGCCCAGATCTCTCACTTAACTCCAATCCCATTTAAAGAACTGCCTAATTCACTTCTCTATCTGGATGTCTAACATGCACCTCAAATTTAACAGAGCCAAAATGAACTCTAATTCCTCCCCGCCAAAACTGCAGTCTTCCAACTTCAGTAAATGGAAACTCTGTTCTTCCAGTTTCTCCAGTCAAAATCTTTATAGTCACCTTTGACTCTTTTTCACATACAACACATCCCATTTAAAAATCCTGTTGTCGTTACTTTAAAAATATATCCAGAATCCACCAATTCTCACCACATTGACCACCACCTGCCCTCCTCCCCCAGCCCAAGTCACCATCATCTCTTACTGCATTATTGCAAAAGCCTTCTAACTTTTCTACCTGCATTGGCCCTTGCCTCCTATACTTTACAGTCTCTGCTCCATATAAGAAAAAGAATCATCCTTTAAAAAAAATGCCAGAAGGGATTCTGAGAAGATGATGGCAATGGCAGCATCATTTTGAAATCTCCCCCAAATGCCCACGTAAAAATGACAGAACAATTAGATAATAAAACCAAAAACACAAGGATAGCATTTTTTAACAAATGAGGGCAAGGGATCCTCACAGATCCTAAAATACAAGTAGGTGGGGTCAAACCATCTGCAACCTCAAAACACACATGGCATCACCATTTGTGATGAATGATGCAGAGGGAAACAATGAAGCAACAGATGGACCTAAGAATAAGAAAACCCCCAAACAGTCATCAAGCATTTACTGGGAGGCAGAGGGCCCATTTCAGAACAGCAGGTAAAACTGGAAGGGGGTCTTACCCCCTCCAAGAACAGGTGAGGTAAGGTCTATAGAAGCTTAAGTAATCTATGCCCTGTGTACTCTTGAAACCAAACAGTCAGGGCTCCCTTTTGGGACAGAGCTCGTCATGGAGAAAATGCTGGGAGTAGAATAAGGATTGAGCAGCAATAGAGAAAAAGGAAAAGTCTAGATGAAGGTAGGGGAGGGAAACCAGAAAACCTCAGAAAGTAAGCCATCTTTTTTTAATACAGAAAAACAATAGAAAGTGAAACTTAGAGGTTAGAGAACTATTTTGAACCAAGTCTTCTTTTGAAAGTTAAGAAAAGCTAAAATTTCCAGTTTTCTATGAGCAGTAGAAAAGTATCAGCATCAAACCCCATACCAAGCTTTTATAAGAAAAAAACAAAGCGAGGCATAGAATAAATCCCCAGAGACAATGAAAGCATGTCAAAAACCAGAGCAAAACTATAGCCTATTTCAAAACAAGCTAAAAGACAATAGAAAAATGATAGAAGTCATGAGAGGACACATATCAGAATTAGAAAAACTCAGAAATTATGTGACAGAACTATGGAAAGAATTATAAATGAAAGAAAAAACAATTTCATAATGGAAATTTAACTAAAATGGGACATAAGAGCAAACAAACTCGACAGATAATTTCTCAAGAAAAATAGAAGGCAAAATAAGGGTAATTATACAACTAAAAAGGAAATAAACAATTTTAAAGATTTCAAGAGAAAGGGAAAAATATTGGGGATGGGTGATAAGGATCTAATGTATCAGTAACAAGATTCCCCCAAGAAAAAAACAAAGCAAGGGAAGAGAACAAATATTAAAAACCGTAATTCAGAAAAATTGTTCTGAAATTTAAAAAAAGATATAAAGCCACATTTTGAAAGAACATACCTGACAATCCTTCCCCAGAATGTTCAATACCAACACATATTCTAACAAAAATAACTAGATTTCAATAAAAAAGAAAAAAAATCTAGGCAAAAAGAACAAGTGATTTTGTAAAGCAAATAAAATTAGACTATCGAAGGCTTTTTGATAGCAACTCATAATGTCCTAAGAAAACATAGTAACATATTTAAGATACACAAAGGAAAAAAGTATAAACCAACAACTTTATATCCAGCAACACTAACTTTCAAAAGGTACAAATTGTTATCAACATAGAAGAACTTCAGAATTTTGTCCCTACAAGCCCTTCCTGAGGAATTTAGTAAAAAGTGACCTTCAGACAAACAAAATTACTAGAAAGACATCAACACAAGGGCTGCTAGTGGGCTTAAAGATATTGTTACTTACAGAACTAAGATTAAGTGAGGGATAGAAGGGAAAGAGTATAGTATGAAATGACGATGTAGAGAATGCTGGTGATTATCTTGCTTGCCAGGTGGACAGAGCCTACCTGAAGAATGGAACTCTGAAGGTACATTGGTTGATTACTCAATAGCTATTCCCTTCTCCCTTCCTCTATTGTTGTAGAACCATCTCCCATGAGACACTGAGAACGTCAGCCATTTGATTTCCTAGCCTATCTTACAGCTAGAGGTAGACAGATGACGCAGATTTTGATGGTGAGATGTAAAAGTGAGTCTGATGGGGAGTTTCCGGAAAAGATTCCTTTTCCTGGCAAAAAGTGAGAGTCAGACACAGAGCTCTCTTGTTAACCTTGCCTCTCCTTTTCTGCCTGATTTTGCTTGAGAATGGGATGCTTGACATTGCAGCTTGTCTTGCAACTATGAGGCAACAAGCCTGAGAATGAAAAAACAAAAAAAATGAAAACCACTTTATTGTGGCCTCCTCCGCCACACATAACTCTCTTACAGAATCTGCTCTTAAATATAGCTAAAAGCAGGAAAGAGTGATGGAAAGATACAAAGAACCTGGTACTTGATGACCACTTTTGAGCCACAGAACAAACTCTGGAAGCACCTACTTCAAGACTTCTTGTTTTGTTTTGTTTTATTTTGTTTAGGCCACTGCAGCTGAATCTAGCTGCATCATGAATTTTTTAGTTATAGGTGCGTACGTAGTTTTGAGTTAAGATTACTTAATCCAAAATCAACCCCCATACTCAGGCCCATATAATAGACGTTTATAGCCAAACACAAGCATAGCTGAAGACTGCAACCTCCCCCACCATACACAGCCTTCTAAGAGGATCTACCCTTGCCTATAGCTAAAAGCCAGTTATTTTGCACCATGACACATCCCCTTGCCATAGCTTATGAATAAAGCATGCAATCTACAGGAGAAGCTGAATCAATCATACTCCTTGTCTTGAAGTTTGAACTAAATCAGTCTCACGGACAGGAAAACTCAAATATCATATAAAGTCAAGGATGGAGTCGGTGTCATAAAAAGTTTAAGTTATTTGAAAGAAGTAGTTATAAGGGAACAGAAAGTCCAAAGGAAGGAGAGATAACTGGACTCAGGAATCAGGGCAGAGGAACTGGAAAGATACACAGAGAGAAGAGATGAAAAAAGGGATAAGCAGAAATTTGAGAGACAGGGGTTCTCTTCCTGATATTCTACTTTCAAATTCTGTGAAGATGGGTGCTGTTACTTCTTCTCTACCTTTGAAGTTAGTAATTGTCTGTTTTGTGAGCTCCAAAATATAAGACAAGCTTGAAGAGCAGTGATTCTAGGTGCCAAGACCTATGAGAGTGCTCAGGCAATATGGTGCTATACAAAGTCAATTGTGATTCCAAGCAATGGAAAGAAAAGCTAGTCTATTTTTAATGGAATTTGGTAAAAGAACATACCAACAAAACAAAACAAAAATCACTAACTTCATAGCCAAGGTAAGAATGAAATAAACTTTGCTTATAATGAGAAAATTTTTTTTAAATTTTAGATTTGGTATCTCTGTCACCCAGGCTGGAATGCAGTGGTGTGATCATGCCTCACTGCAGCCTCAAACTCCTGAGATCAAGCAATCCTTCCACCTCAGCCTCCTGAGTAGCTGAGACTACAGGTGCACACTACCATGCCTGGCTGATTTGTAAATTTTTTTGTAGAGACAGGGTCTCACTATGTTGCTCACACTGGCCTCAAACTCCTGGCCTCAAGTAACTCTCCCACTTTGGCCTCCCAAAGTGCTGGGATTACAGGTGTGAGCCACTGTGCCTGGCCATAAGAAGAAATTTGAAATCAACTAAATCAAAGGAATGTAATTTACCTGCCATTTCTAAGGGATTTGGGGCTTCAATTGAAAATTTATATGTATTGATATAATACATATGAGTCAACATGGAGTTGAATTTTAAAATATCAATCCAACTTGAAAGGCTTCAATGATACAGATCTTTACTATAGGTTTCCTTGAATGAGTGACTCAGACATTCCACACAGAGCAAAGCTTCTTGTTAAACATATTTATATGACTCCTCATACCTCCAAGGTTGCTTTCTCACAGAGCGGCAAGGAAAAAAAAATCTTTCCTTCTCTCTCATCTATAAATCTACTCACAGTCACACTGCTTCCCTCTATACTTCCTCTTCCTAGTCCTACTGCTCATACCTCATACTCCAAAGAGACCTTCCCTGTGCAGTCCCCTTGCAAAAATCACAGTTTTCATATTTTTGCATTGTATCTCCAAGCTAATTTCAGGCATCCCAACCAAAACGTACATCAAGAGATTATATAATTAAAATTAGGCAATCCTTTGTCTCTTTTCAGTGTAACAGATTTATCTTACCACAAATATCAAAAAGTTATTCCAATCTTGGTAGGATATTGCCATACTAAAGTTTAAGGTTTTTGAATCTGACACCTGACAGATGAGAAAAGTGATTAGCTGATCGTGCTTTCTGAGTTTTGAACTGCAGAAAACTTCCGATAAAATTGTAAGGACATCAAATAGTAACAGTAATACTCTCTTGTTTAGTTGTAAAATGTTCTCTGGAAAATATTGGAGAACGCCGTTTAAGACTGGAGAATATGTTGCAACTATTTTATTAATAATATCCTGAGTATTCTTTTAGTGATTAGAATCTAGTCAATGTATACATTTCTATTGAAAAGGGGTTAATTTTCATACTTTTGTGTGTAAGTGGGGCTATTGAAATTATTTTGTAATTTAGTTAAAAGGCCATACAAATTTTGCCTCATTTAAGTAACAGTTTTCTCAGTTGGATGTATGTTTCTTAAAGACTACTATTAGTGTTTTAACTGCTACTTATTTACCTGTATTCAAAATTTATTCCATTTTTTAAACTTTTATTTTAGATTCCGGGGTACATGTGCAGGTTTGTTATATAGGTAAACTCCTATCACAGGAGTTTTTTGTACAGATTATTTCATCACGGTACTAATCCTAGTACCCAATAGTTGTTTTTTTCTGTTCCTCTCCTTCCTCTCACCCTCCACCCTTAAGTAGGCTCCAGTGTCTGTTGTTCCCCTCTTTGTGTCCATGAGTTCTCATCATTTAGCTCCCACTTATAAGTGAGAAAAACAGTCACAACAAAAGCAAAAATTGACAAATGGGATCCAGTTAAACGTAAGAGCTTCTGCACAGCAAAAGAAACTATCAACAGAGTAAACAGACAACCTACAGAAGGGGAGAAAATATTTGCAAACTATGCATCTGGCAAAGGTCTGATATCTAGCATCTATAAGGAACTTAAACAAACTTACAAGAAAAAAAAAACAGCCCCATTAAAAAGTGGGCAAAGGACACGAACAGACACTTTTCAAAAGAAGACATACATGCGGCCAACAAGCATATGAACAAAAGCTCAATATCATGGATCATTAGAGAAATGCAAATCAAAACTTTTTAATTTTTTTAAAGAATTTAAGGACAACAGAACTTCAGTTCTGGCTAGGCACAGTGGCTCATGCCTGTAATCCCAGCACTTTGCAAGGCCAAGATAGGAGGATTGCTTGATGATAGGAGTTCACGACCAGCCTCGGCAACATAGCAAGACCCCATCTCTACAAAAAATTTAAAAATTAGCCAGGCATGGTGGTATGTTCCTGCAGTTCCAGCTACTTGGGAGGCTGAGGCGAAAAGATCACTTGAGCCCAGGAGGTTGAGGCTGCACTACCACACTTCAGCCTGGATGACAGAGTGAGACCCTGTCTTGAAAACAAACAAACAACAAAAAGAACTTTGGTTTTGATTACTCAATTATATGAATCTGATTTTCCATTCAGATCCTTTTTTTCTTCAAATTTTGTAGAAAAGTTTAAAGAATGGTACTATGAATACCCTTATCCATCTACTTAGATTCAACAATTATTAACATTTTGTCACATTGCATTATTTGTTTTTCCTTCTATCTTTTCATTCCCCTAAACATTTTGAAGGTAAGATACAAGCATTATGACATTTCACCCCTAAACATACCAATCCGTGTGCTTTTTTAAAAGTAGAAGGGACAACCTAAGACATGGTAGGTGAATATTTTCAGCTTCACTAGAATTTAGAATAAAAATGCAAGAGGTTGTTTTTTGCTCCTTTTAACCATTCAAAAAATACTACAGCATATTTATAACATGAATTAGTACCACATATAATGAGAAAATGCTGTGAAATGTCTGATTTATCTACATATTTAATACTAATAATAGTAAGAAGGCACATCTGTAGCATGTATTTCTATGTGCTGAGCACCATACTAGACATATTATCTCTTTTAATCTTTAAAATAATTCTTCAGGTTAGGTATGTTTGTTATTCCCACTTTGCAGACTAGTAAACTAATGAGTCTGACTCCAGAGCCTTTCTTCTTTCCACAGCACCATGTAAAACAAATATCAATAGTCTCTATCAATTAACCTAAATTTATTTGGAGAAAACAATGTGCCCCAACTGGTGTATAATTTGTAAAAGACACAGGTTCCTTTCAGTGAACCTTTTTGCTCCTTGTCACCTATTCCCTAAAATTAACGTTATGTCTTTAAATCTTCTTAATGAACAGATAGAAGTTGAATGAGGAAATTAAAAAGTATGGACGAGTCAGATGTGACTGATTGCATTTAATGATTTTATTTGTGACAGCATTAGTATCCTAAATAAGGGAAATGTGAAGATGTGTTTCCACGCTGATGGTTAATAAGTGTGAAGACTGATAACCAATAATAATTGGTAACCATAAAATATTTCAATACAATGAATTAATCCATATGAAATGAAAAAGAGCTATATGACATAAAGCAAGTGTTGAGCAAGCAGAGCTCTTCAAACAAGTACAAATTTACTTAGCAATAAAATTCAGTAGTAAATGAAATGCAATTATGGCACTGGAGAAAAACCTCACAGAGTTTGGGATGAATCAGGTTTGGAAGGACAATGTACTCACACTCTTTCATACACCCTCTCATTGCACGCACATACACATAACCACGTGAATTTGTGAGCAAAAACATTCCCTGACCTTTCTACCCACAACACATATGTGCAGTACCCAGGTTAGAGCTGCTCCATCCACACCCAGTGCCTGACTCTATAGCCTGGACCTCCTGCCTTCTTCCCATGCCATTAGTACTTGTGCCCTTTCCCTCCTTCAGCCTTCCTACCCCCTGCCTAGGTCTCCCTAAATACCTTCAGAATACAGGGAATCCGAGGAGGTCTTCAGGTCTGCAGACTGCACTACCTTCATGCCAGGATATGGAGAAGGGGCAGAAATGGGAAAGCAATGAGGGATTCAAACCAGGTTGTGAGCTTCTGATTACTCAGAGGATAGGAACTGGGAATTCCCACAGCCAGCTCTCTGCCCAATTCAGAATACCTGCAAGGCAGAGGTCTTGACAGACTGTAGGCCTCCAGTTAGAGTCTGGATCATATTTTCAACACAGGGCACATGAGACAGTTGACCATGATCATCAAAGACCAGCTGTGATGAGAGAAAGGGTTTCTGCCTTGGGGCCTGTAAAAAAAAGGGTCAGGAAAGGTCGAGGGGCTAGATGTCAGTATACATTCCTCAGCATCTGGCCCTGGACTGCCTGCCACCTCCACACATGCCACCCACCACCTCACTTGAAGGATGTTGGCCACAAAAGAGGTTATCTGCTCTTCCAAGACAGAAATGAGGCTCTGACAAATCATGTAGTCAACCAGGCGGGCAAACTTTCCCAGCTGCAGCCACCAGGCCTCTGCTTGCTTCAGCTTCTGCTCCAGTTGCTTGTGCTGTACCCTCTGAAGGTATATGGAGCCTTGGCCTGTCCTGATCCTGTCACAGTTTTGTACTCGCTCCTGTAGGCACTGTTGCATGTGGTATGTGTCCTCGTGAACCTGTGAGCATAGAGTGGAAACTCACCAGATAGGGGGATGGAGAGCAAACCAGCCACCCACTAGTCTGTGCAAACTCTCAGGTCTTGGAGTCTGGGACCTAGAACCTAGATATACATATGGAGGGCTCCTTTTTAGTAGAGTTTACCCTACCCCACCCCCTCAAATTTTATTTGACCAGAGAAGATGTGAAATAGAGAACATATATTGAGAGGTCACAGTGTGCTAATGTGGTAGGCCAGGCCTGTCTACTGAAAACCCCCAGGGTGGAACTCAGAAAATTTGTGTATATGTAAATATAGAGGTTCACAATGCACAGAAGAGACAAAAAGAAAAAGATGGGATAAATAAGGCTAAACAATAATTTCAGGATATGGACTCTGGATAATAATTAGGCTAGGTGATGTGGCCTGCTGAGTAGAATGATATTGGTTTATGTTATAATAGAAGCTGTTTCTGGGCACTGATATAGACTTTCTATTAGAGGAGAGGGAATGTGGAATAAAAGCCTGGGAGCCTTTTTGTGAGTTCTTTCAGATCTGGGAGGTTCCTCAGCCTATAAAGGCTGCTGACAATTGCCAATGCTCTGGGCTTTTACTGTTGAGGAACAGAGAAGAGGTACCAGAAAGCTATGCTTGGCCAGATGGATCCTTTGTCTTCCCTGCTTTCCTGTTCCTTTTGATGCTCCCTAGAGCTTGTGATTAGAACTGATTGGTTCTGTGAATTGTACTTCTGGTATCCATGAGCTCAAGCCCCAGTCTTCTCAGACCCAAGCATAAGACAGTTAAGTCCTAAGCACGGGACATCATATACAAACATGCCCTATGCATAAGATGATTTTGTATATGAGACTAAGTGAGATGTTTTCTTCCATGTTCTAACAATACTCCCTAATACCCAGTGCTTCCCACTTCATAACCCTTAGTCCAATGCACCATCATTTTGTTATTTATATAACTCATCCACTACACTGTAAGCTCCTTTAGGAGGCGATCTCTGTTACACCTTATTTCATTTTTCTATTGCTTGACACAGTGCCTGGCATGGGGTAGTTCCACAGTAAATGTTTGTAAAAAGAATGTATAATCTCACATTGAAAGAGCCTACTGAGTGCCATTAGGATAAAACCATACCAACGACAACAATAATAATTGCTAATACCATAGAACGTAATCAGTATACATTTTTAAAGCACCAATACTAGGGGTGATAACAGCCAAATTATGTGAAAAAAATGTTTAGGATGGGCACAGTGGCTCATGCTTGTAATCCCAGCACTTTGGAAGACCAAGGAGGGTGGATCACTTAAGTCCAGAAGTTTGAGACCAGCCTGGGCAACATGGTGAAACCCGATCTCTGCAAAAAATACAAAAAATTAGCCAGGCGTGGCGGTATCAACTGCTGTAGTCCCAGCTACTCGGGAGGCTGAGGTGGGAGGATCACCTGAGCCCGGGAAGTTGAGGCTGCAGTGATCCCTGATCATGCCACTGCATGGGCAACAGAGTGAGATTCTGTCTCAAAAGTAATGATAACAATAAAAAACTTGGAATTCTATACCTAGCCAGAATATCATTAAAGTTTGAGGATAAATAAAAACATTTTTAGATATACAAAGACTCAGAAAATTTTCCATCCACAGATTCTCCCTTAAAACAATTAGGAATAGTATTAATATATTCCATGCAGAGGAAAATGAATCCAAGAGGATAAAGTATTCTACAAAAGATTTGATGGGCAAAGAAATTTGTGAGACATATTGTTAATTTTAAGTAGTGCTATGGCCTGTGTGTTTGTGTCCCTCCAAAATTCATATTTTGAAATCTGAACCCATAAGGTGACGGTATTATGAGGTGGAGTCTTTGGGGAGGTGATTAGATCATGAGGTCTCCAGTCTCAGGAATAGGATTAGTGCCCTTAAAAAAAAAAAAAAAAAAAAAAAAAAAAAAAAAAGAAGTCCTAGATCATACAGTATTTGTCTTTCCTTGTCTGGCTTATTTCACTTAGCATAATGTCCCCAGGTTCATACGTGTTGTCACTAATGGCATTATTTCCTTCTTTTTGTGACTGAATAATATTTCATTGTATATATGTATTAATATCACAATTTCTTTAATCATTCATCCATTGATGGACACATCGATGTTTCTATATCTTGGCTATTGTGAATAATCCTGCAATAAAAATGGGGGTATAGATATCTCTTTGAGATACTGATTTCATTTCCTTTGGGTATATACACAGAAGTGGGATTGCTGGATCATATGACAGTTCTATTCAAAGGGTTCAAACTTTTAGTTATAAGATGAACAAGTTCTGGGAATCTAATGTACAGCCTGTGTGGTGATGGATGTGTTAATTAATTTGACTGTGGTAATCATTACACAATGTATACATCTATCAAGTCATCACATTGTACACCTTGAATATATTCCATTTTTATTTGTCAATTTTATTTTTAAAAGGCCCCAGAGAGCTGGCTAGTCCCTTCTGTGGTGAGAAGGTGCCACCTATGAGGACTGAGCCCTTGCCAGAGTCTGAATCTGTCATCACCTTGATGTTGGACTTCCTAGCTTCCAAGAATAAATGTTTGTTGTTTGTAAGCCACCCAGATTATGGTATTTTGTTATAGAGGCCTGAGTGGACTAAGACAAAGGAGTAGGTTATAAAACAAGAATGTTCATAACAATCTTGAAGAAGATTCCAGGAGATACCAATATAAGAGTAATGGGAAGAATAGAGGGAGGAAGAGAGAAGGGAAAGGAAAGTATGATAATGCTAAGGTTCTTATTCTGCTTGGGAGAACGATATGGTTAAAAATTCATACTTGTCATTCATTCACTCAACAAAAATTACTGAGCACCTACTAAATGGCATACCCTACAGTAAGCACTAGAGATATATTAGTGAATGAGTGCTCAAGTCATTGCCCCTCCAGGAGGAGGGAGAGAGACAGCAAACATAATAAATACATAATTTATGGTGTACATAAAAAGGTGGTTAGTACTGGTGGGGCGAGGTGGCTAACACTTGTAATCCCAGCACTTTGGGAGGCTGAGGTGGGCGGATCACGTGAGGTCAGGGGTTTGAGACCAGCCTGGCCAATGAGGCGAAACCCTATGTCTACTAAAAATACAAAAATTAGCCAGGCGTGGTGGTGGGCACCTGTAATCCTAGCTACTCGGGAGGCTGAGGTAGGAGAATCACTTGAACCCTGGAGGCAGAGGTTGCAGTGAGCCAACCAAGATTGCGCCACTACACTCCAGCCTAGGCGACAAGAATGAAACTCCATCTCAAAAAAAAAAAAAAAAAGTGATTAGAGTACTATGACAAAACAAAAGAGAGTGAAAACATGTATTTTAAAATGAGTTTAAAATATGATTTTAAAATACATGTTGCAAAAACTGAAAGAACAGCAAGCAGAAATGAACAAATCTATAGTTGTAGGTAGGAAGGGATATTTAACATATACCTCTCAGAAACTGAAAGACAATGGAGGTTAAAAAATTATTGTGTCTTGGCTGGGTGTGGTGGCTCATGCCTATAATCCCAGCACTTTGGGAGGGCGAGGTGGGAGGATCACTTGAGCTTGGAGTTCGAGACCAGCCTGGACAACATGGTAAAACCCTGCCTCTATAAAAGAAATACAAACATTAGCCAGGTACGGTGGCCCATGTCTGTAGTCCCAGTTACTCAAGAGGCTGAGGTGAGAGGATGGCTTGAGCCCAAGGGGGTGGAGGTTGCAGTAAGCCAAAATCATGCCACTGCACTCCAGCCTGGGTGACAGAGTGAGTCCCTGACTCAAAAAAAAAAAAAAAAAAAAAAATGTGTCTATAGAATATTTGAATAAAACAGTGAATGAGCTTGGCCTAATACATATTCTTTTAGGTTGAGTTCCCCAGAAGCAGACCCTGAGACAGGGATTGGGAGAAATGTGATTTATTGAAGGAATGATCTTCAGGGAAACAAGAGCCTCTACAGGAGTAAAAAAAAAAGCAGAAAAGAGAAGGGGAAAGTACCCAGCAAGATCTCAGCTAAATTCTATTTTTGGTCTCATCTGGAGTGGGGAAGGAGGCTTGGAATGTTCCAATCGTATTACAGAGTTGTCATGCCTTGAAGCAAGTAAGGAAAACACAAAGGCTGAGGAACTGTTCCATATAAGAGAGACTAAACAGAAGTGAGCACTAAATTCAATACATAATTCTGGTTTGGATCCTGAAGAACGAAAAAATATAGTAATAAAGGACATTATTAGAACAATTGCCAAATTTTGAATAAAGATTGGAGATTAGATAACAGAGTTGTATCAGAGTGAAATTTCCTAATCTTTGATCATTGTACTATAGTTATAAAATGAAATGTCCTCATTCACAGAAAAAACATACTGACATATACAGGAGTTGCTATGATTTGAATGATTTGAATGTGTCTCCCAAAAGTTAATGTGTTGGAAACTTAATTGCCATAGTAACAGTTTTAAGAGATGGGGTCTTTAAGAGGGCTCAACCCACATGAAGGGATCAATGAGCTAAGAGGGCTTAACTCACATGAAGGGATCAATGTTCTGATCATGGGAGTGGGTTAGTTATCATGGGAATGGATTCCTGATAAAAAGGATGAGTTTTGCCTGATTTCCTCTCTCCTCTCTCTGTCTCATATTCATGTCTCATCAGTATGTGATACCCTCCACCATGGGATGAGACTCTCGCCAGATGCTCTTGGACTTCCCAGCCTCCAGAACCATGAACCAAATAAACTTTTATTCTTTATAAATTACCCAGTCTTTGGTATTCTATTATAGCAACAGAAAACAAACTAAGACAGGGGTAAGGGGGCTGATGCCTTCAATTGACTCTCAAATTATTTAGAAAATAATGTATACATGTTTATAAAAAAAGAGCATAAATGATAAAGGAAATGGGAAAAATAACAATCTATATAAAGGGTATGTGAGAGTTTATCTTACTATCTTTACAATTCTAATAAGTTTGAAATTATATCAAAATACAAAATCACAGAAGGAAGGAAGGAAGAGAGGGAGGGAGGGAGGAAGAGAGGGAGGGAGAGAAAAAGGGAGGAAGGGAGGAAAGAAGGGAGGGAAGGAGGGAGAAAGGAAAGGAAAGGAAAGGAAAGGAGGGAGAGGAGAGAGAGAGGGAGGGAAAAGAAAAAAAATAAGTGTTGGTGAGAATGAAAGGCAACTGAGGCCAGGTGCAGTGGCTCACACCTGTAATCCTAGCACTTTGGGAAGCCAAGGCAGATGAATCACTTGAGATCAGGAGTTCAAGACCAGCCTGGCCAAGATGGTGAAACCCTGTCTCCACTAAAAATATAAAAATTAGCTGGGTGTTGTGGCTCACACCTGTAATCCCAGTTACTTGGGAGGCTGATGCAGGAGAATCACTTGAACACAGGAGGTGGAGGTTGCAGTGAGCTGAGATCACACCACTGCACTCCAGCCTGGGAGACACAGCCAGACTCACACCTGTAATCCCAGTACTTCGGGAGGCTGAGGCAGGTGGATCATGAGGTCAGGAGATTGAGACCATCCTGGCTAACATGATGAAACCCCGTCTCTACTAAAAATACAAAAAAAAATTAGTCGGGCGTGGTGGCAGGTGCCTGTAGTCCCAGCTACTTGGGAGGCTGAGGCAGGAGAATGGTGTGAACCCGGGAGGCAGAGCTTGCAGTGAGCCAAGATTGCACCATTGCATTCCAGCCTGGGCGACAGAATGAGACTCCGTCTCAAAAAAAAAAAAGAATGAAAGGCAGCTGGAAATCAGCATCACTGATGGAAACGTAAACTGGTACAACCACTCTGGAAAACTGTTTGGCAGTATAAAACATACATATATTCTATTCTAGCAGTTCCACTCCTGGCATATATATCCCAAAAAAATAAATGCTTATGTCCACCAAAAGACATGTACAAGAATGTTCACAGCAGTGTTATTCATAATAGTAAAAAACTGGAACCAACCCAAATGTCCACAATAGAAGAATGAATATATAAATTGTGGTCATTCATACAGTGAAATACTACGTAGCTATACAAAAAGAGTAAACCACTGCTACCTAGAACATTACGGATAAATCTCACAAACATAATGTTGAGTGAAAAAAGTCAGGCAAAGAGGAGCACACACTGTCCAATTCTAGTTACATGAAATTCAAAATGAGACAAAATTAACCTGTGGTGACACAGGTCAGAGTACTGGTTACCTCTGCGGGGGTATCAATGAAAGAGGCACCAGGGAGCTTGCTGGGGTGCTGGAAATGTTCTCTATCGTGATCCAGGTATACAAATATATAGCAATACAAATACAAATGCAAAAAATTCAACAACTTTACAGTTAAAATTTGTCTACTGTATATGAATTATACCTTAATATACAAAATTGACTACTGAATTTCAAAAAGTTATAACTATTTTTATAACATTAAAGGTGGGATTGAGGAACTGAGAGGTAGAGAAAGGCTGTGGAGCAGCTCACCCCCATCTCCTGCCTCATTCAGCTTGGTACAATGGCAGGTCCAGCATTTATTGTCTGGAAGCTAAAGGCCACTGCCTCCTTTTCACTCCTGCACCTTGGCTTTAGGATCTTGACATTGCTAATGCCTTTGGCCCCTTTCCTCTAAACCTCCTAAAGAGAGACTATGAATTTCCTTTTTTAGCCACTCTTCTAAAACATCCAAAGAAGATATCACTGAAGAGTCCAATCAGTGCAAAGTCGTAAAAATGCAGAGGCTCTTTGTGTAAAGACGTTCAATAATATCCCTAGGTTCCTGGGATACATCAGTGAACAAAACAAAGATCTCTACCCTTGTGGAGGTTACAACCTATCATGAGACATTAGTAAAAATAGTAAGTAACTTATATAGTATTTTTAAAGGTGAGAAGGAAGACAGAAAAAGGAAAACAGAGTAGGATAAAGAGGACAGGTAATTCTTAGAAGGGGAAGGAATTTGACTATTTAAAATTTTATGAAAATGTTTTATTACGGGTATTTTTAAATATTTAAGATTTCAACCAGAGCAATCAACAGAAGTTATTGGTTCCTCCTAGGAACAGAAATTCCTTGCAGTCGGCCAGGCGCGGTGGTTCACACCTGTAATCCCAGCACTTTGGGAGGCCGAGGTGGGCGGATCACAAGGTCAGGAGATCAAGACCATCCTGGCTAACACAGTGAAACCCCATCTCTACTAAAAATACAAAAAAAATTAGCCGGGCATGGTGGTGGGTGCCTGTAGTCCCAGCTACTTGGGAGGCTGAGGCAGGAGAATGGCGTGAACCCGGAAGGCAGAGCTTGCAGTGAGCCGAGATCCCGCCACTGCACTCCAGCCTGGGTGACAGAGCGAGACTCCGTCTCAAAAAAAAAAAAAAAAAAAAAAAAAAAGAAAGAAAAAGAAAAGAAATTCCTTGCAGTTGAGGCCATTTTTGAGACTTCAGAGTTCTGTCCTTTGTGATTAACCTCCTCTGATGGAGTTTAGAGCAACATGTAGAACCCAAAACCTGGCTCAAGCCAGGCAAGGTATGCCTCCTTCACATTAATTAGTTATTTTCACAAAATCTGAGTGGGCCTCCTCTCTCAGAACCGGACTATCTACACATGGTAATTAGCCACAGTCCTGTGTGAATATCCAGCCCCACCTGACAACAAACCATGATAATAGACCATGGGCAAGAGGTCAGTACACAGGAGGGCCTCCCAGAACTCTAGGCAGGGGTTGTGCATCACAGATGCAACATATGCATAATTAAGAAGGACTCCATCATTGCATCCTTCCACTAACTACAGTGGCCTTCCAAAGGTTCAAGATAGGTTCAAAAATAAGCTCAGCAGCATAAAAGACCAGGATTCCTGTTCTCAAATTCCCTAATTCCCAAAGGTCAGCATAAACAACAGACAAAATAGACATTGATACATTCCTTCTCCTCCCTGCTCCTAGGTCAAGATCAACCCTTAGGGAAAGGTCTAGTTCAAGCCTCTGCACACCTGTTATTGATTCATCCATCCTAGAGCAGAAACTGCTGTTGCTGGGCAGGAAAATGGCTCTGATTCAACTGTAGAGTCCAGGTCATACAGTGGATTCCAGGAGAAACTTAACTAAGAGGAGGCTGAAACTCTGGGGAGCTCAACTTGGGGAAGAGGTCCACAATAAACTAAGAGCCTCTTACCAGTCGAAGAATGGATGTGCAGAGGTTTAGGCAACGATGGAGCAGCCGTAGAGCCTTATGCTTCTCCTCGGCTAGAGCCGTCTGCAGGTCCAGCAGCTCATAGCACCGATCCAGTTCCTGGGGTAGCCAGGACACAGAGTGTAGCTCCTGCAGAAGCCTAGAATCAAGGACTAAGCTGGTCAGAGCTGGCATCCCAATCCTTCCTTGGATACCTTTGACCTCTTCTCAGCCTAGCTTACCTCAGACTGCACAAATATTTATAGAGATTGTAATATTACCAACAGTGACCAATAGTGACAGCTCCCTCTCGAGAGTTCTCTGAAAGAGTATAAGCCCATAAAGCTGCTTTCTCAGCTATACAAGCTGAGAAAAGGCTTGGGGTATGTGCAAGTGCTTATACCTAGTGATCTCTCTGCTAGAAGAGAGGGTCAAATAGATACCAAGGTCTGACTTAGAAGGAGAGACAGCAGAGGCTTCTTCCTTGGAATAGAGAAAGCTAAAGGTCCTAAAAGTCTAGGTGGACAGGTAAGTTTTAGGATCAAATGTGATGAAACTGGAACTTCTCTGTGGGCTGCCCATCCCTGAGGAAGCCCAATCCTGTTATCCATACCTCCCAAGCCCCAGAGAACTCCACAACTGTAAACATCCTTGAAAAGGATAAAGACTCCTAATAATCAGACAGGATGGTCACAATGGGCATCATTTATTCAGTGTCTACTGAGAGGTACTGAATGTGGCACTTTGTATTCACAGTGTCGTTTAATTCTCATTACAGAATTAAATCTAGAAATCTTTATCCGAGTTTGAAGATCAGGAAACTGAGGCTCAAATACTAAAGTCCCTTGCTAGTACTCAAGGTCTAAATAAGATTTGTCCCGTCTCCCAAGCCCTTATGCTCTTAATTACACCATGATGATTAGGCCAGACTGGAGGATGAAACTCCCTAGAGCAGAAGTTACAAACTGGGTTAAATTCAGATGGAAAAGTTTTTCAAAATGAGTCACTAAGAGTTGGCTAGCATACAGTGTTTTAATAAAAATTTGAAGGTCTGGTGTGGTGGCTCACGCCTGTAATCCCAGCACTTTGGGAGGTCGAGGTGGGTGGATCACCTGAGGTCAGGAGTTCAAGACCAGCCTGGCCAACATGGCGAAACCTTATCTCTACTAAAAATAAAAAAAATTAGCCGGGTGTGGTGGTGCATGCCTGTAATCCCAGCTACTCAGGAGGCTGAGGCAGGAGAATTGCTTGAACCCAGGAGGAGGAGGTTGCAGTGAGCCGAAATCGCGCCATTGTACTCCAGCCTGGGCGACAAGAGTGAAACTCCATTTAAAAAAAAAAAAATTCTTTTGAGTTAAAATTTGGTTGAAATTTGAGTTAAAAGTGAGAAATTTCATAACAAAATGTGGATTTCTAGGAAATCCTGAAATGTAAGGTAGCTGATCACACTGGACCTATATTCCCAAACAGCAACAATTAGTAATTAGTTGGAACTGAGTAGTGACTATCCTCTTTAGATGCAGTCTCCAGATTGCAGTTCCCATGCTCCCTAATGTCTTCCACCTAAACCACTGCATTCCTTCAATACTTCCTGCTTAGGCCCTTTAGGCAACTGAATTTGCAACTCCTGTCACAGAATATACCTAAGAGTAGCTGAGGAGTCATGTAGGGAAAGCAAGGAAATACTGAAAATAGGAATAACCAACCTTTTCCAAAAAAAAGAAAAATAGAATCCAAGTAATATCTTGGAAAGAACACAGAGTTTGGATTCAAACAACTGAATTAGACCCCCAGATCTGACATTACACATAATTACGTGAGTGCAAGTGGTTTAAGATATATAATTACCTGGAGAATATTGCATATATTCTCCATAGAGAATATATTCTATTCATGAAATAGAATATAATCTAGTTCAGAATATATGTTCAAAGAAAAAACTGGTTATTTAACAGTATGTAAGGTATGATCACATTTTGTGTATGTGATAGAAAAAAGACTAGAAAGATATGCAACAAAATGTTCATAGTGGTTGGTAGGATTAAAGGTTTTTTCTTAGTGCTTTTTTGTATCTTTCAGATTTTCTACAACAAACATACTATTACCTTTAGTAAAACTAATTTTTAAAAACTCAATGAAGTTGTGTTTTTAATACCTCACCTGCTAATATGGAGTAGCCCAGCTCCAAAGTGGGGCACAGCCAAGAGCAGATGATTCTCTAGGAATTTCTGGAGTCGATGCAGCCCCTGTAATCTCACATTCTTCTTCCAACTAGAAATTAGAGGTCAGTGATAATATACTGTTGCTGTCATCCATTTCCCCCCAAATCACATATCCGTCATTACCTACCAGGTAAAGGACTTGCGTAAGAGGCAATACTTAAAGAATGGAATGAACTGGAGCTGCTGCCAGAGAACACAGTGATGGTGCCAGGTACCCAGTGTCATCGTCTCGCTACCTTCCACAGGATGTACATGCAAGATCCCAAAGGGAGAGAAGATGTAGTGCTCGGGATTCACCTTGTCGGGTGGCACCACCATCAGGCTGTAAGGCCTTTAAAAAAAGAGCTCTGATCAGTGAAGGCCCTGGGAACGTGGTCAGACTTTAAGAGACCAAAGGAGGATACAGGAGATGAAAAAGGGGAACAGGAAGGCAGGCAGAAGAAAGGAGAAAAAGGGGCAAAGAGAGCAGAATGATTTTTAAACTAGAAAGATGAAACAAATATTATTAAGAAGAAACCGAAGCCAAAGGTAGATGGGAAGAAAGAAAAAGGCACCTAGCCAGCTCCAAGAAGTTCATATCTTCAAATGCAGATATCTTACATCCCATCAGATCTAAGACACTGTCCACCGTAAGCTGCAGCATTATCTTATGAAATGCTAAGATAAAAATGCTTCTAATAAGATATTCCATCAATTTGTAAGATGCATCACAATTTTAGAGATGATGAAATGTGAAAAATCCTCATTCTAGACATGATAAAATACACATATACTTGGGTACTGAAAGACATGCAGAGACAATCAGAATGTTATTTGATGGAAAAACTGAGATTGGAGAAAAGCAGAGGAAGACTAGAAAATTCGAAACAGGCAAATAAAGAGGAAAATTGCAACCTAATGTACTAGACAAGTACCTTCAGAGCCATCTTAAAATCTTAGTTGGTCTTGGGTTCTCTTACTTCAGCAAAATGCACCTATATCCCACATTAAATGCAATATATATAGATTGATATAATAGGTGTATCTAGTTACAGTAGGCCAGTTAGCATAATGCTATGTTTAGATACATTTAATAAAGCATTTATTAATTTTTATTTTTCAGTTTTCTTTATATAACTCAGAGCTAGCAATATTTTTAAGCATTACATATATTTTTAGCAATTTAAAAGCTGTATCCTAAGTCCTATAATGTCTAAGAGATAAAATAGCTCTCCTCTATCTCTCATCTCTCTCAACTTTCTAGAAAACATTGTTAAGCAAGTGACTTAAGAACTTTTAGATAGATACCAGAATGGACACACTAAGTCAAGTCATACAAAAACCTTGTTTTGTTTTTGACAAAGTTACTAAAGTTTCTTAAGTATAGTACTCATATCCCCAAATTACAGATAGGAAAACTGAAACAAAGAGAAGTTAAAGCTTTGCCCAAGACAGTTAAGGGAAGAATACAGGATTTAAAACCAAAGTTACCTGACTCATGCCCCCTCCTTTAATCAGTGGGCCATTTAGCTTCCCACAGTGTAGCTGCCTATGTTAACTGAGCCCTGGCTCTTCCCAAGAGATATTTCCTTTTCCTATGACCTACTTAATGGAGGCTGCTGTTTCTGTGTAGGGCCAGGAGTTATACAGTACTCTTCTCATTCCCAATGGCCACTACTCCTTTGGAGTATAAAATATACTCCAAATATATATGTAATGCTTAAAAATATTGCTAGCTCTGAGTTATATAAAGAAAACTGAAAAATAAAAATAAATGCTTTATTAAATGTATCTAAACATAGCATTATGCTAACTGGCCTACTGTAACTAGATACACCTATTATATCAATCCATATGTATTGCATTTAATGTGGGATATAGGTGCATTTTGCTGAATATCCTTTGGAGGATATTCACTCATTCTACAAATGCTTATTAAGGCAAGCAGTGTGTAAGCCACTGAGGATACAGCAGTGTTCAAGAAAAATCCAGTCCCTGACTTTATGGAACTTAGTTAAACCGTTTATCAAGTTGTCCCTCTGTTCAAGTATTGTGGTCAGAGATGGGGACATAAAGATGACTTCTACATAGTCCTTGTCCTCAAAGGGCTCAGAATCAACTGGAGTATGACATGATACTAGAGAGTAGATGGGGGAAATCAGTATCTTCCTGAGTCCCAGAACCAAAGATTCAGCTGTTTCCAAAACATCTCAAACTCCATCTTGCTTGCACCTGAAACTCAGCAAGTTCTGTACTAAACTCAATATCTACCCCCACCAAATCTGTCCCTAATCTGGGCAATTAGTTCACTCATTCATTCAACGAATATTACTGAGTATCTACTCTATGCCAGACTGTTCTAAGCCCTGAGGATACATCATTAAACACAACAAACCCAAACCCCTCCCTGATGGAGCTCTCATTCTACTAGAGAAGATGATAAACGTAATTAACAACAGGAAGGGGGAAAAAGAACAGGCAAAGGGAGATTGGCGGTGCCAGGGGAGAAGGAAGTGCAATTTTAAATGGGGTGGTAAGGGTGGGGGAGTGACAGCTGAGCAAAGACTCAAAGAATAAAGGAGGTGAAGGAATAAATTCTCTCCTAAATGTAAATCAAACACTGGAGAAAATGCAATTAAAATTTTGATAAATTCAAACACATTAAAAAAATCTGTTACATGGCAAATAAATAAATATAATGAAACAGCAAGTGAAAGAGTTCTATTGATGGTGCACTAGAAATTTGGACCAACATTCCCACTTGATAACAACTAGAAAAACTAGGCCAACTATCTGGATAATATATGAAACTGGATAATATATGAAATATAATATCTGTATAACACATCAGAGAACCCAAAAATGTAATCCCCCAGCCTTTGGGTCGAGACCCCAAATGGCTACAACACAGGAGTAAAGTGGAACCAGAAATATACCTCCTTTTTGGTATGGGACCTGAACTGCAACTTTTGCTCATTTAGTTCCCTGAGTCTGTTGAAAGCTTGGCTCCTCTTTTCAGTATCTCAGGAATGCATAGTAAAATTGACATTTAACTACCTTTATATTGAGAGGAATTGAGAGGTCCCTCTGTTTGGGGAAAAGCAGCACCAAATGCTGAACTCACTGCAATGGGTTTCCTTCTTTGGCAGATCCTGGCCCTGTAATCATCCATTGCCTTTTTAGTTCTCTTGTCAATAGTTTCTTATCTCTTTATGTGCCTAACTGTCTTTGATCGAGATGCTTCTCTAATTATAAAAGATGCTGATAGTTTAAAGCCCTAAGCTTGTCATTTGCTTTCTGTAAGCTCCCAACTATGGTTTGTAGGCATTCCATCCCACATTGTTACCATTACTATCATTACAGCCATGACAGTCAAGTGTAGCAGCCACTAGGTGTCAGTATCACATTCAACCACAAGTGATAATTTAATTAATTGTGATGCCACTGTGTGTCATGGATTACTAGTATCCTATTTCCCATTAGCAAGGAATTCAGTACTGTTTTAGGCCAAGGACATTACCAAACCAAAGAAGATCCTATATTAGAGGCTAGTTTCCTGGGACCACTCATAATACCAAGTACCGTGTTAGTCAGGGTCCAGTCAGTAAAACAGAAACCATACTAGGCATTTCAACAAAGTGAATTTAATAAAGAGAATGTGTTTTTAAAAAGATGTCGAGGCCAGGCGCGGTGACTCACGCCTGTAATCCCAGCACTTTGGGAGGCTGAGGTGGGTGGATCACTTGAAGCCAGGAGTTCGAGATCAGCTTGGCCAATGTGGCAAAACCCCGTCTCTAATAAAAATACAAAAATTAGCCAGTCATATTAGCAAGTGCCTGTAATCAAAGCTACTTGGGAGGCTGTGGCAGGAGAATCGCTTGAACCTGGGAGGCGGAGATGCGGAGATTAAAGTGAGCCAAGATCGCCATGGCACTCCAGCCTAGGCAACAGAGTGAGACTCCATCTTAAAAAAAAATAATAAAAATAAAAATAAAAAACCAGCTCCAGAACTAGAGGAACAAATGGAAGAGGTTCAGGTTATTAGAAGCTATGAGGTTGGAGGAGGGGCCTTGCAGAGTTGAGACTCAGAACTCTGAATGGGGCCGGGTGCAATGGCTCACGTCTGTAATCCCAGCACTTTGGGAGGCTGAGAAGGGAGGATAGCTTGAGCCCAGGAGTTCGAGACCAGCTTGAGCAACAAAGTGAGATCCCATATCTACAAAAAATTTAAAAACTAGCCAGTCATGGTTGTAGGCACCTGTGGTCCCAGTCACATGGGAGGCTGAGGTGGGAGGATCACTTGAGCCCAGAAGGTGGAGGCTACAGCAAGCTCTGTTCAAGCCACTGCACTCCAGCTGGGGCAACAGAGCAAGACTGTCTAAAAAAAGAACAACAACAAAAAGAACTCTGAAGGAAAGGGGCTACCAGCTGGTGTTGGTATCTCTCAGGGTTATGAAGAGGCTGATTCAGACAGTGCTGGCTGGGCCAGGCACGTTGGCTCATGCCTGTAATCCCAGCACTTTGGGAAGCTGAGGCGGGTGGATCACTTGAGGTCAGGAGTTCAAGACCAGCCTGACCAACATGATGAAACCCTGTCTCTACTAAAAATACAAAATTAGCCAGGTGTGGTGACACATGCCTGTAATCCCAGCTACTTCAGAGGCTGAGGCAAGAGAATCGCTTGAACCAGGGAGGTGGAGGTTGCTGTGAGCCGAGATCATGCCATTACACTCCAGCCTGGACAACAAGAGTGAAACTCTGTCTCAAAAAAGACAAAAAGAAAGTGCTGCTGCCAGGGTGAAAGACCATTGCTGAGGCAATGATGGCAGAAAGAGCAAGCAAACGAAGCAGCAAGTCCCTTCCCCTCTTATCTTGCTGTCCAGTCTCCCAGCACTCTCCATTAATCAAACCTAATAGAAGGCCAGCTGAAAAAAGAGAAAAAGTTTGCAGAATCTCAGCCCCAGTATCACAAAGCAGAGAGGGAGGAGGAGAATTAGAATCAAGAGGCAATCAATTAATAACCAGCAGGATGCTCTCAGTGAACATTTATTAAATGAATTGATCAGTAAATGAATGAATGATATTGATCATTAGTGCTACCTAAGTTCAAGAGATCAGTGTGCACAGGAAATAAGGTTATTTGGGAGGCTGTATTAGATACTGCTTAAGAGCATGAACTTTTGGATTAAGATAGTCCTAGGTTTAAATCCTAGTTACACCATTTATTATGTAGCTTTGGATAAATTACTTAACCTCTCTTATGTATCAGTCCACTCATCTCATATATAGAAATAATAATAGCACCTACCTGGTAGATGAGGATTAAGTAACACATGTCATGAGTTTATTAGCACAATGCCTAATATATTGAAGAGTTTGGTTAAAGGCAATTATTACAATTATTTCTGGGAGGAGATGGACTTGAATAGGGCTTTTTAAAATAGGCGAGGATTTGAGCCAGGCATGGTGGCTCATGCCTGTAATTCTGGCAATTTGGCAGGCTGAGGCTTGAACCCAGGAGTTTGAGACCAGCCTGGCAACACAGTGAGACCTCATTCTACAAAAAATAAATTTTAGAAAACTGGCCGAGTGTGGTGATTCATGCCTGTAATCCCAGCTACTCAGGAGGCTGAAGTGAGAGGATTGCTTGAGCCAGAGAGATTGAGACTGCAGTGAGCCATGATTGTGCCACTGCACTCCAGCCTGGGTGACAGAGTGAGCCCTTGCTTCAAAATAATAAGAAGAAATTTTTAAAAGTAGGTGTGATTTGGATCTAATGAGAGGAAGTGAATAAATGTCTCTTGAGTCATGGGGAAGGAGGAGACCTGTTTTTATAGCCCCATAGATAAACTAGAGCCAGGAGGTAGAAGTTAAAAGAATGCAGATTTTGATTCAGTCTAAGGAACAAGATACCTGGAAAAAAATTTTCCTGACACTGTAAAGATTTAAACAAACACATGTTTCTTCCATTGGAGTTGGAATAGATCACCATAAAATTTACTTCTAAGGCTGTGAACAAATGTTTCTATCATTCTAGGATAGAATAAAAAAGAAAGAGCAAAATGTGAGAAAAGGATGTGTAAGACAAAAGGCTGTGTAAGCAACAGGGAGTGAAGGGGAGGTAGAGAGTGGAAAGGAGGAGGAGGCTGAGGAGAAGGGAAGAGAGAGGGACACTAGAGTCAGAGGAGGAGTATGTGGAGAAAGGACAGGGAGAAGGGTGCGCACGTGGAGAAAGAGGAGGGGGAAGATAGCATAGAAGGAAACCAGGCAGGGGGAGGAGAAGGGGCCTGGACATAGGCTATCACCTAAAGTACCGGCTGGGAGCCACATTGAGATAGAGGAAGTGGATCTTCTTCAGGTATCTCTCCATCTTCAGAGCAGTCATCACCTGGCTATCCAGGAAGGAAGTCTCAGGTGAAAAGCCGGTGCTGCTCTTTTGGAAGGCCTTTTCCCTGGGAACTTCATAGTCAAGCTGAGACCTGTGTGACAGAAAATCAGGAGAGAAAAGGCAGAGTAAAAAGGTCAAGTACCTTAGAGGGAGGCCTTGCCACTGTTGGCTAGTGAAAGGAGGACTAGATCAGGTGCCTGAGGAGACCTGACGTGGCATTGTCGAGCCTGACTACCATCTATACTCAAAGATACCACATACTGGGCAAATATAGCGTATCATAGAACACAGTTAGGCAACAATATTGACACAAACATGTGTGTGAGCAACCTCTCCCTTTCTGATAAACAAATAATCATTCTGGATTGATTGGAATTACCATGAAGTCAGTATTACATAATACTGTGTACAAATAATGGGAAGACTTTATTTTCCCAACTCATTGCTCTGTAAGCCCACAGTACTGGATTTCCCCTCCCAGCTCAACCTTCTTGGCCTTTCAGATTTAATATCCTATCTTTGATTCCATTATACCTGCTTTCCAACCCTGAATGATCTCCATGCCTGTTACATTTTCTGCTCTTCCCCTACCATCACCCAACCTCTAGCTTCATATTCTTTCCTTTCCTGCCAAGATCCAATGGTGGCCCCCTCAAGCCTGCACCAATACACTCATCCTCTTACTCTTCTGCATTCTGGTCAACAAAATTGGTATGGAAATTAGTTACCAATAACTCAAAAGTGAATGACTAATAATTTTTAGTTGGGGAGACCTGAGAGCACACACACAAAAAAAACTCTGGAATGATTTAACTTAGACTTAGCCAGTCAGAATATACCAGTATCATTAACTGACCCAAACTTAGATCAACACAAGTTTCCCCAGGGATAACAGTGCAATCCTATTCTAGAATTCATATCAACAATATGGTTTATAACCTTTATACATATGTCCTTGATGAACTGTTGTGTTGGATCAGGACATCTTAAATGGTATAATTGCTCTTATAGGTTCATTTTCTCAGCAAAGTCCTATATTATATAGTATATTCAGAAGATCGCAAAACCAAGGACATTTGCTCCTCTACGGGTTCCTGGTGTCCAATCAGCTGTGGGCTCATTCTGCCTGATGTCTTCACACAAGTCCTCAGACAGCTACCTCTTTCAGGCCTCTCAAACTGCTATCCCTAACCCCATGCAAGCCCTGCTGAGCTCCCAGTTCCATCCCATTCTCTGTCTCCTTCTCTGCCTGGAGAAAGCTGAAGTTTTCAGCCATTAGCCAATTCCCTCAACTTCAGTTGCCTTCCCCCACACACTTATCTGTCCCCCGATTTCAGAGGAAGAGGTATCCTTTCTTCTCTGTAAGATTAATTCCTCCATCAGTGCTCTGGACCCCTTATTCTCTATGATATATTTTTAATCTACTCTTCTTCTTACCTTAGTCTATTTATTCATTTAGTCTACGAATATTTATTGAGCACCTACTTCTCAAGCACTGTGTTAAGGGATATAAACATCTCTCTATCAAAAAAAAAAAAAAAATCCCTACCCAGACACCAAAATTCTTTCAAGCTGCTGCCCTGCTATTTGTCTTTTCCCTTCAAGCTAAGCTTCACAAAAAAAATCGTAAAATGCGATTTCCACTTCATCTTCCATTCACTCCTCAATGCACCACAATCTAGCTTCCTCCCCACAAAACTTAACCTCTTCCTTGTTACTACATCCAATGAACATTTTCATTCTTCTTACTTGTCTCATTTAACATGTAATACTACTGACTGCTCCCTCCTCCTTGAAACTCTGTTTGATGTTTTTGTTAATCTAATCTAGACTTGAACACTCCCCCCACATGCTTTCCCCCTAACTACACTCCCTCTCTCTCTCTCTCCCACCTGCAGAGAAGCAGCCAGGCAAAAGACAGTATTCTTTTGTTTTATAGCACTTATTACAATTTGTAATTATATTTTACTTGTTATCAACTTAACTATATCTCCCTAACTAAACTGTAATACCTCAAGTGAAGGGATTGAGTCTGTCTCATTCACTTCTGTATCCCTAGCATCTTGCAGATCCTAATAAATGTAGCTATCCAACACTTATTGAATGAATGAATGCCTGGCAAACCACTCCGGGAGAACGTAATGCAAATTAAGCCATATTAGCTAGACCTCAGAGGTTTACTGCCAGGTTCAAAGGGAGGGCAAAGAACTTGATCCCTTCCCAACATCTCAGCCCATGCCAATTCAGTCAAGTTCTCCCAGGAAAGGAAACTTGTACTCAAGGCACAGGGCAGCTCTTTGAAAAAGGAAAAGATTCCAATAGGGCCACCATAAATTTATGGCATTGGCCACCTCCCATTAGGGCCCCAGGAGCCTGCCTATCTATCTAACATTAGGCTTTAATGGAAAGACTTGACCCAGCCATAAACTTACAGCAAAAACTGAGGAAGCCAACCTTAATTAAAGGTAAAACTAGCCTTCTTCCCGAACAGTAAATGTGCCACAGACAGCTGCAAAGCATTGTCTAGAAAATGAGGCCAGAGGACAAGGAGAATTCCAAAACTAAAGTTAAAAAACTCTCTTGGGCACGGTGGCTTATGCCTGTAATCCCAGCATTTTGGGAGGCCGAGGTGAGCAGATCACTTGAGACCAGGAGTTGGAAACCTAGCCTGGTCAACATGGCGAAACACTGTCTCTACTGAAAATACAAAAATCAGCTGAGCGTGGTGGCATGAGCCTGTAATCCCAGCTACTCGGGAGGCTGAGGCAAAAGAATCGCTTGAACCTGTGAGGCAGAGGTTGCAGTGAGCCAAGGTCAGGCCACTGCACTCTAGCCTGGGCGACAGAGTGAGACTCTGTTTCAGAAAAAAAAAAAAAAATCGAAAGTTAGAGAACGCTGAGAAGAGAAGGTCTCTGTAAGCATTCTGAAATCCTGTAGAGAGCTCTGATAGCCAGATATTTTAAAAAAGAAAACAATAGGGCCGGGCGCAGTGACTCACGCCTGTAATCCCAGCACTTTGGGAGGCAGAGGTGGGCGGATCATGAGGTCAGGAATTCGAGACCAGCCTGGCCAACATAGTGAAACTCCGTCTCTACTAAAAATATAAAAATTAGCTGAGTATGGTGGCACGTGCCTGTAGTCCCAGCTACTCAGGAGGCTGAGGCAGGAGAATCACTTGAACCCGGGAGGCGGAGGTTGCGGTGAACCGAGACCATGCCGTTGCACTCCAGCCTGGGCGACAGAGTGAGACTCTATCTCAAAAAAGGAAAGAAAGAAAGAAAGAAACAAAAGAAAAATATATCACTCAAGGGGCCAGAGTGCCCACACTGGCAGGGCAAGAAGAAGACTCTGGAAGGGTCAAAATGAAATTCTATCCAGTAGTGCTGCCAACTCCACTCTGCCTTGGAGCCGGTTTAAGTCACATAGACATGTGGGAAGGACACTCGGACACACATTCCCCAGGGGTACCTTGAGGGAAAGACCCAACATCCAGGAATCAACTCACAGTAGGCCCAGGCAATGTTCAGTGATTATGAATGAATTATAGAAAAATAATTAAGGAGACTTCTGACATCATCTAAGAAAAAAACCTGGAAACTGAAAAGTCAAGCTGTTATTCTAAAGCTTTGGCTGCCTCATAGCTGACTTCTGATTTTCATTAATTTCTGTATTTCTCTATGGGGATTAAGACTAACACCACTGGGTTTATTTTGCAGAGAAAAAGGAAGAGGAAAGTAGCCTCACACTAGCTTTGTGTGGAGTTGGGCTAATCCCTGTGATAAACAGAGAGCTGGATCTAAACTTCCAAGTGACCCCAGAGGCACCCATAAAACAGCAACTTTTTCTCCTCTGCTCAAGCCCTAGACTGAGTCCCTCACTTACCTGGTCTCTTTTCTTCCAACAGGCTCCACCTCTGCATTGTCAGTGTCACTGCTTTCATACCGTACAGGGATGTCCGCTGCCAGTGCCAAGGGAAGGAGACTAAGTCCATCCAGCCACACAGCCTCTTCTAGGGCCACCTGAGCACCAACAATGCCCAGGCAGCGCTGTAGCTCAGGCAGTGTCAATGGTCGCAGCCAGGTGGCCAGCTCCTCCTTTACTTGCTGCCTGCTCCACTGGGCCTGCACAAAAGGGCAAGCTGGGCATGGGGGCCTGTGATGGAGCCTCCGCTTCTGGGGACAGCAGTCAGCATGGGAAGCACTGTCTAACAAAGAGCTGTCTGGAGGAAAGGCCTGGACAATGGCACCTAGCAGGTCCAGATGGAGGTGGGTTTGGACCCAGGGTGCCCAGCAGTACAGCTGCTCCAGGAAGGGCAGCAAATCAAGGTGGCCAACTAGCAACTCACGATATGGAGGCAGTAGACCCAGTACTGCATGAAGATAGCGCCAAGCTGCAGGGCTACTGTCCTGCAACACAGCTGAGAACAGAGTTCGGAGCTCAGCTAGCAGGAGTTCCAGCACTGTGGGCTGCTCTGACTCAGTCACTGGCTTCACGAACTGCCTCTGTTTCTGCTGGCAGGCCAAGGGCTGTTCTTTGCTGTCCAAGACACATATGGAGTGCCAAGACTTAAGGGAATCAGATGATGTCTCATCAGAAGACAAACCTACCCTCCTCTCCTCCGGGACCATGAGGAGCTGGGCATTCAACTGCTGTCGAAGTGACCTTGCCCATAGCTCAGGCTCCAACTGCCAGTTCCAGGATGCCAGATGCGGGGCCTCACCTGCATGGGCCAGCCCAGCAGAGGGGCCAGAGAAGGGACCTCAGGCTCTGGGCAGGGGATGGTCAGAGTCAATGGGGTTAGGAGGAAGAAAGGACCTGGGACAGGGAAATAGATGGAGCTACAGAGCAGAGCCAGACCAGCAGAGAGCCTTTCCTGAGACCCTCAGGCCCTCCCTACTGCTTCCCCAAAGACTCTGGTAAGGAGCAGGCCTAAGACAGACGTGAGAGCCCTCCTTGCAGAAGAGTTCCTTCTTACCTCCCAGTACCCTGTCCCCCTCACCTGGCCTAGGGGGGTTAGGAGGCAAGGCAAGGGAAGAGAGCCCGATCTGCTGATGAGGTTTCATTGAAGAGTGCCTGCTGGAGCAGTGAATGAACTTAGACTTGAGTTCCAGTCTGAGGCTCACCCTAATCATAGCCACCCATACACGGAGAGACTCGCACACAGACGTGCAATCACCTGAAGAGGCAAACTGACACACCGACAGAGCTCACTCTGAACCTCGGTCACAGCAAGGAATCTGCACTCGAGCTGGCGATCGCCTGAAAAACGGGTTAACAGGTCGTCACTCGAAGGCAGCAGAGCCCCAGTCCCATGACGTCTTCGCCCACAGCCTAAGGAGGTCGTGAAGACAGAAAGCCGAGGAGCAGGCACAGCAAATGATGGTCAGGATGCAGGTAGGGGAAGACGTTAACAGGCAAAGGAGGGGGCTGGGAGAGCGGGGAAGAGGAGGCGGACTCTGTGGGAGGGGGTCCTAGGGAACAAAGAGAAATGGATCCGGAGCCGAGGACTCACCCGCAGCTCCACCCGCACCCAGCTGTTAGAACCGTTACAAGATTCCAGAAGGACCGAGTCTTTGCCAGGAGCATCCGGGGGAGCCAGAAAGAGGAGGGGCCAGGGTCCGATATGGGCGGGGCCGAGAGGGCAGAGCCCAAGCCTGGAGGGGCAGAACTAGGTTCAACCTGTGGGCTAAGGCTTGCCTGGGACAGGGACCTGTAGAGGACCAGGCGGGGTCTGAACTGCACGTGCAGTACGGTTGACTCGGGAGACTAGCAATCCAGAGGGTGTCGTAAGCAGGTGTTTATATCCATTCGCTGAGTATCTAAACTAGTGCCAGGTCTTTGGTATGTCTTTGGTACTCCCCCATCCCCACCCCCAACGTATCCATCTACCCTATCCCACCTCCCCAAAAGAAGCCCGAATAAAACAAAATCCTTGATCTCAAGGAGCTCAACATCTATTTGGCACGGGGGGAGGGGGATTTTTTGGGGAAGGGCTTATGGAGGGGCTAATTTTTAAAAATTAAGTTGAATGAGGCCGGGCGCGGTGGCTCATGCCTGTAATCCCAGCATTTTGAGAGGCCGAGGCGGGTGGATCACGAGGTCAGGAGATCGAGACCATCCTGGCTAACACGGTGAAACCCTGTCTCTACTAAAAATACAAAAAAATTAGCCGAGCGTGGCGGTGGGCGCCTGTAGTCCCAGCTACTGGGGAGGCTGAGGCAGGAGAATGGCGTGAACCCAGGAGGCGGAGCTTGCAGTGAGCAGAGATCGCGCCACTGCACTCCAGCCTGGGCGACAGAGGGAGACTCTATCTCAAAAAAAAAAAAAAAAAAAAAAAAGTTGATGATTAAAATAAAAAAAGAAATTCAGCCCACCTCTCCTCTGAAATCAGATTAGTATATCCAACTGCCTACTTAATGTCTCCACCTGGAGAGCTTATAGGTATCTCAAACTTAAAATGTCCAAAAGCAGGCTCCTAACCACCCTTTCCCCACCAAAGAAATGCTGCTCCTTTCACTGTCTTTCCCACCTCAGTCAATGGCAAATCCATTCTTTCTGGTTTCTCACACCAAAACCTTGGAGTCAGCTTTGAGACCTCTTCCAAACCCCTTCTTTCTCTTTCCCTCTTCTTTTTCCCTTTCTCTTTCTCTCTCTCCCCCTCCCTCCATAAGTAATCCTTCAGGAAATTCTGCTGGTTGTGCCTTCAGAATATATCCAGAATCCAACTATTTCCCACCATCTTAAGTACTACAACCTTGGTCTAAGCTGCTATCATTTCTCACCTGGGTTTTTCCACAGCCTTTGAACTGTTCTCCTTGCCTCAGATCCTTCTCATGCTTCTCACCATTGCCCCTACAATCCATTCTTTTTAGAGCAGCCAGTGATCCTTTTCAAATATAGGCAGATCCTATAACTCCTCTGCTCATAGCTCACTAATGCCCCCTCATCTAATTCCTTCAGCTGAAGGCCAAAGTCCTATCATGGCCTACAAATTGCTGATAACTGCCTGCTACCTCTGTAGGCTTCTCTCTTCACATTCACACTCTACTACTGCTGTGCCTGAATCACACCAGCCATACCCCCACCTCACAGACTACATACAAGCTGTGCTGTCTGCTTGTGTATCAGTTAGGAGATACACAAGTTATGACTGTTATTTATTTATTTTTTTGTAGAGACAGGGTCTCACTATGTTGCCCAGGCTGGTCTCGAGCCTCTGGCCTCTAGCAATCCTCCCACCTCACCCCTAAAGTGCTGGGATTACAGGCGCGAGCTATTATGCCCGGCTGTGATGGTTAATTTTATTTGTCAATTTGACGGAGCTAAGGGATGCTCAGATAGCTGGTAAAGCATTATTTCTGGGTGTGTCTTTGAGGGTATTCCTGGAAGAGATTAGTATTTGAATAGGTAGACTAAGTAAAGATCATCCTCACCAATGTGGATGGGCATTGTACAATCTGTTGCCTAAACAGAATTTAAACAGGCAGCTGGTGGACTTGCTGTTTTAGCTGAGACATTCATCTTCTGTCCATGGACATCAGTGCTCCTGGTTCTCAGGCCTTCAAACTTGGATTGAATTCCACCACCAGATTTCCTGGTTCTCTAGTTTGTAGACAGCAGATTGTGGGACTTCTCAGCCTATCAGTTCTGTTTCTCTGGAGAACCCCCACTAACGCGCAAGTTTTCTGGAGCTGCATAACAAGTTATTACAAACTAAGCAGCTTAAAAACAACACCTATGTAGTACCTCACAGTTCTGTAGATCAGATGTCCAGCATGACTTTACTGGATTCTTTGCTCAGGGTATCATAAGCCTGAAGTCAACATGTTGACGGGGCTACTCATCTGGTGGCTCTAGGGGGTGGGGGGTGTGGGGGGATCCACTTCCAAGCTATTATTGTTGTTGGCAAGATTCAGTTTCTTGCAGTTCTAAGACTGATGTCCCTGTTTTCTTCATGGCCATTAGCCAGGAGCCACTCTCAGGTCCTAGAGGCCACCTGTCTTCCTTGACATGTGGTTCCTCCATTTTCAAGCCAACAACAGTGCCTCTAACCCTTCTCATGCTTCACACTTTTCTGATGTCCCCTTCTGCAACCATAAAGAAAACACTCTGCTTTTAAAGGGCTCATGTGACTCATGTGACTAGATCAGGCCCACCCAGACAATCGCTCTTACAGTCAACTATGCCATATATTATAACCTTCTCACATAAGTAAAATTTGTCACATTCACAGTCCCATGGAATATGCAGCGTATACTAGGGAGATATATACTAGAGAGCAGGAAATCTCAGAGACAGTGGTCCCCAACCTTTTTGGCACCATGGACCAGTGTAGTGGAAGACAATTTTTCCACGGACCAGGGGAGGGGTTAACGGTTTCAGGATGATTCAAATGCATTACATTTATTGTGAGCTTTACTTATTTTACTATCACATTGTAATATATAATAATTATACAACTCACCATAATGTAGAATCAGTGGGAGCCCTGAGCTTGTTTTCCTGCAACTAGACAATCCGATCTGGGGGTGATGGGAGACAGTGACAGATCATCAGACATTAGATTCTCATAAGGAGCATGCCACCTAGCATGTGCTATTCACAATAGGGTTCATGCTCCTATGAGAATCTAATGCCACCAATGATCTGACAAGAGGCAGAGCTCAGGTAGTAATGTGAGCGATGGAGAGTGGCTGTAAATACAGATGAAGCTTCACCTGCTCACCCACCACTCACCTCCTGCTGTGTAGCCTGGTTCCTAACAGGCCATGACTGGTACCAGTCTGTGGCCCGGGGGTTGGGGACCCCTGATCTAAAACTTCTACCTACCACACAAATGCTGTAATAAAAAGACCCAAAATATCATGGCTTAAACATGATAGTTTATTTTTTTCTCTCACATAACCATCCAAATATAAGTACTCTGAGGCTACCACGGTAGCCTTCAGTTGTTCTGCCTTCTCCAAGGAAGTAGTCCTCATCTTTAAGGTCCAAAATAATTTACCACCATGTGTGCCACGTCCCATCCCAACTAGTGAGATGGAGGGAAAAGGAAAGGAGAAGGCATACCCTTTCTTTTAAGGGCACAGCCTGGCAACTGCACACATCAATCACATGACCAAGCCTAGCTGTAAGGAAAGCTACAAAATCTAATCTTCATTTTCAGTGGTCATATGCCAACAGAAAATTTAGAGGTTCTTTACATAAAGAAAGGAGACAATGGATACTAGAGGACCACTAGTGGTTTACACAACTAGTTGAACAGTAGAAGAGTGAACACTTCTTCAAGATGCTCTCAAGGCTTACTCTCTCAATTCTCTGCTCAAATGTCACCTTATTAGTGAGTTCTTCCCTAACTGCCCAACAGAAAATAGCAACTCTCTCCCCAACATCCTTATCCTCTTTACTTGCATTACTTCTCTCCACAGCACTTATTACCACTTCATATAAATACTTATTTATTTCCTATTTCCCCTGACTAGAAATATAAGCTCCATGGTAGCAGAGATTCTGATTGCTGCCTACTCTATCCCCAGCTCCTATACTAGGCACCATGAGTACATGATCAGAAAATATTCATGGAAAAAAATACATAAATGTATAACAATCTTCATTTGTGAGTAAGAAGATGGGCTCTGGAATCAGACTGCCTGGATTGAAATCCTAACTTCATCACTTACTAGTCATGGGATATTTTACCTCAGTTTCACTTTTTGAAAATGAAGATAATAATGTCTACCTTATAGTATTGTGAGGATTAAGTGAATTAATGCACACAAAATGCTTTAGAATAGAGCCTGGTAAGTAGTAGACATTTGATATAATTGTTAAGTGTTTAGTTGTTATTAATTTTGACATAACGATGAACAAGACAAAGGATTCAGTGAGGGCATGAATAAAGAGCATGGACAACTCTTTCATAAAAGGGCAAGGAACGGTACCTGAGTCACAATAGTCCTTAAAGTTTAAGGCCTTGAAACAAGAAAAAGGTGGGTGCGGTGGCTCATTCCTGTAATCCCAAAACTTTGGGAGACTGAGGTGGAAGGATCACTTGAGCCCACGAGGTTAAGGCTGCAGTGAGCCGTGTTCATACCACCACACTCCAGCCTGGGCAACAGAGCAAAACCCTGTCTCAAAAAACAAAAACAACAAAAAAACACAATCAAAGCTCTTCAGACAAAGACAGAAAGGAATTCTGTTCAGCAAGCTCTGCTGAACCCTCAACACTGCCTAAAACTCTGTTTCTTTTGTCAGTTCACTCTTCCATTCCGGGCAATCAGTATTTCAAACCTCTTGTACTCTCTCATCTTCCATTTCCTTCTGCTTTATTCTCAGATGATGACTTTACCTTCTATTTGAAAAAAAAATGAGATGCTGTATTATCAATCAGCATTCTCCAGAGAAGCAGAATCAATAAGATATATATATTCATATAAAGACATATATTTTAAGAAATTGGCTAACACATGTGTGGGAGCTGGTAAATCCAAAATCTGTAGGGCAGGCTGGCATGATGGAAACTCATGCAGAAGTTAATGATGCAGTCTTATTTTTTCCTCTTTTTTAAATTTTTATTTTTTTAGAGACAAAACCTCACTCTGTTGCCCAGGCTGGAGTACAGATCATAGCTCACTGCAACCTTGAACTCCTGAACTCAAGCAATCTTTCCATCTTGGCCTCCCAAAGCATTCGGATTACAGGTGTGAACCACTGCACCTGGCCCGATGCTGCAGTCTTGAGGCAGAATTTCTTCTTCTCTGAGAAACCTCAGTTTTACTCTGAAGGCTTTCAACAGACCCACATTATCAAGAGTAATCTCCTTTATTTAAAGTCAACTAAGTGTACATGTTACCCATACCTATAAAAATGCCTTCACAGTAACACCCAAATTAGGGTTTGATTAAATAACTGGGTACTATAGCCTAGCCAAGTTGACACACAAAACTAACCATCACATGCTATTTAAAAGGAATTCTCTCAATCTCCAAATGCTAAATTTTAAAATCATTTAGATCTGCTCTTATCCATTCCTCCCTCCTTACTGTTACCAATTAGAGATGCTCTTTCTCTCTCTAAAGGCAAGTTCTATACCTTTGCCCTGGGACTATTCTTTCTTGCCTCCTTTCACTCAACAAATATTTATTGAGTATCAACTGCATCAGGCACTGTTTTCAGTGTTTGGTTATATCAGTGTACAAAACAGAAACAGTGACAGAAATTCCTGAGTTATGGACCTTACATTCGAGTGGGAGGGACAGATAATAAAGAATAAAATGACACTTTGGGAGGCTGAGGCGGGCGGATCACGAGGTCAGGAGATCGAGACCATCCTGGCTAACACAGTGAAACCCCGTCTCTACTAAAAATACAAAAAACTAGCCGGCAGTGGTAGTGGGCGCCTGTAGTCCCAGCTACTTGGGAGGCTGAGGCAGGAGAATCGCTTGAACCTGGGAGGTGGAGGTTGTAGTGAGCCGAGATCATGCCACTGCACTCCAGTCTGGGCAACAGAGCGAGACTTCATCTCAAAAAAAAAAAAAAAAGAATAAAATGAATAAACTACATAGCATGTGAGAAGTGATACGTGTTATGGAAAAAAACAAAGCAAAGAGAATCAGGAATGTCTAAGGGAGCATGGGTTACCATTTTAAACACGATAATCAGAGTAAGCCTGAATAAAAAGGTGACATCTGACATCTGAGCAAGGACTTGAAGGAAAGGAGGACAGACCTTCTCCCTATCTTTTGTCTGGTTTATTTTATTATTTTGAGACAGGGTCTTGCTCTGTCACCCAGGCTGGAGGGCAGTGAGGTGATCATGGCTCACTGCAGTCTTGATCTCCCGAGATCAAGCAATCCTCACACCTCAGCCTCCCAAGTAGCTGGGACTACAGGCATGTGCCACCACGCCCAGCATATTTTGGTTTTCGTTTTTTTTTTTTTGTAGATATGGGGTCTCACTATGTTCCCCAGGCTGGTCTCGAACTCCTGGGCTCAAGCAATCCTCCCGCCTTGGCCTCCCAAAGCGCTGGGATTATAGGTGTGAGTCACCATGCCAGGCCTGTCTGGTTAATTTTAATTCATCCTTTGGGTCTCAGCTTCAAAATCACTTCCAGTGAAGCTCTCCTTCATCCCTCAAACAGAAAAAGTTTGCACTTCTGTATGTTTCCATTACAAGATGCATTTCTTCTTTATAACATTCATCACAGTTGTGATTACTGGTCCTATATTAACCTTCACGTAACTACGTTAAGTTTCAAGAGAACACGGATTGAACGTTCTCGTTCAGCTCTGTATCTGCAGGGCTTAAGCTAAAATTGGTAAAAGCAGTCACTCAAATATCTGTGGAATATGTGAATATATAGATGAATGTGGGGCATACCCAGAAAAGGAAAAACAGAATCTCTATTACATGTAACTAAGCTAATTCCTAACTAATCAAAAGGGGTCTAGACTCAAGACAAAAAGCTATTAGGAAGCACTCTGTTGAGCCCCTGTGTCTCCGTGCTGGAGCTGCAGGGACTCCTTTTTTAAAAATTAAATTAAAAAAATTTTTTAAGTGTAACAACAACAAAAGCTGTTAGGAGACTGCTGCTGTAATCTGTGTAAGAGCTGATAAAATTTTAAGGGGCCGGGCGCAGTGGCTCACACCTGCAATCCCAGCACTTTGGGAAGCTGAGGCGGTTGGATAACCTGAGGTCAGGAGTTTGAGACCAGCCCGACCAACAAGGTGAAACCCCATCTCTACTAAAAATACAAAAATTAGCTAGGTGTGGTGATGGGCACCTGTAATCCCAGCTGCTTGGGAGGCATCAGGCAGGAGACTCGCCGAGGAGAGGTGGAGGTTGCAGTGAGCAGAGATTGCATCATTGCACACCAGCCTGGGCAGAGCGAGACTCCATCTTAAAAAAAAAAAATAAAGCTGATAAAAGTTTGGTTAAGGTAATAACAATGAAGATGGAGAGAAGGAAAATGGTTTAAGAGATATTTAAGCAGAACTATAGGACTTAGAAATTAGGTGGAAACTAGAATGGCAGAGTGATTTGCTCCAGACGGGGCCTTTTAGATGTTGACTGATCTGTGACTATTAAGGGTAGAAGATAACACCTACTGAGATTTTGGGTGAAAAACATCTTTAAATCATTGGAAAAACGTCAAAGGTTAGATGTGCAGGTTCACTTCTGTCTCTTCTGATAAAAAAGCCTTTCTCTTAGTTAATAGCAAATTGAGCTGGGAGGAGATTCAAAGATGCTCATTCAACAAATATTTGTTGAGCACACATTATATGCCAAGCACTGTGATAAGGATACAATGGTGAGCAATACAGACATGGACTCTGACTTTATGAGGTATATAATGAAACACCATTAAAAGCACTACACACCGGCTGCTTGCTTTGCTCCATGCCTCCCTGATGAAGCCCCCATCATAGCTGCCGCCAAGCCTGCCACCACCACCTCTGAGCAGAAGATGGCTGTGCCACCCAAGTATGCCAATCTTGGCAAATCTGCCAGGAATGTCTTCAACAAGGGCTACGGATATGGCCTAATAAACCTTTTGAAAACAAAATCTGAGAATGCATTGGAATTTGAAAGCTTAGGCTCAGCCAACACTGAAATCACCAAAGTGACAGGCAGTCATGGAGACCAAGTACAGATGGACTGAGTACGGCCTGATGTTTATGAAGTGAAACACACAACACACCAGGACTGAGATTACTGTGGAAGATCATCTTGCAAGTGGACTGAAGCTGACCCTCAATTCACCCTTGTCACCTAATACTGGGGGAAAAATGCTAAAATCAACACCAGGTACAAGCAGGAGCACATCAACTTGGGCTGTAACCTGGATTTTGACATCACTGGACCTTCCATCTGGGGCGCTCTGGTGCTGGGTTACAAGGGTTGACTGGCTGGCTACCAGATAAATTTTGAGACTGCAAAATCCTGAGTGACCCAGAGCAACTCTGCAGTTGGTTACAAGTCTGATGAATTCCAACTTCACACTAACGTAAATAATGGGACAGTTTGGTGGCTCCATTTACCAGAAGGTGAGTAAGAAGTTGGAGACCACTGTCAATTTCACCTGGACAGCAGGAAACAGTAACACTAATACGGTTTGTCTGTGTCCCCACCCAAATCTAATCTTGAATTGTAGCTCCCATAATTCCCACGTGTGTGGGACTGACCTGGTGGGAGATAATTGAATCATGGGGGCAGTTTCCCCATACTGTTCTCATGGTAGTGAATGTCTCACGGGATCTGATGGTTTTATAAGGGGAAACTCCTTTCACTTGGCTTTCATTTTCTCTCCCGCCTGCCACCATGTAAGATGTGGCTTTCGCCTTCCCCCACAATGGTGAGGCCTCTCCAGCCACGTGGAACTGTGTGAGCCCATTAAACCTTTTCCTTTATAAATTACCCAGTCCCAAGGTGTATCTTTACTAGCAGTGTGAAAACAGACTAATACAAACACTCACTTTGGAATACCCAAGTATCTGATCAACCCTGACACCTGCTTCTTGGCTAAGTGAACAACTCTAGCCTAACAGGTTTAGAATACACTGAGACCCTAAAGCCAGGTATCAAAATGACACTGTCAGCTCTCCTGGATGGCAAGAATAACAATGCCAGTGGTTACACGCTAGGTCTGGAACTGAAATTTTGAGCATAAATACTGTACAATTGTTTACTTTTACATTATTTTGCAGCACAGCTACCTTCAGAATTTAGTGTATCTTCTACTGTATGTCTGGGATGCAAGCATTGCTAAATGTTAGACTTACAGGCTAAATATGTTAATTTCCAGGCTAAAGATAATTCAGCTTTAAAGTGTTACTCTTTCAGAGGTAGAGAAGAAACCCAATTCCAAAAAAGGTCCTTTCAGCTATAGACTTGGAGGAGGAACTTGGTGGCCCCTCTAGAGAAGCCAGGTTTCTTTTTTATCTAGAAATGACTGCACATGGAAGCTGATAATATGTAGGCATTTTGTAAATTCATATTGAGTAAATGAATGAAATTATGACTTCCTGAGAATTGAACCTTGGTTTCCTAACCCTAATTAATGAGAGGCTTGTTGCTTGATGGTGTGTGCAAACTCACTTGAAAGGGACTCTTTTAGACAGATCTTCATGACCTGTTTCCACCCCAGTTAATCATCACCTATTTTACACCAAAAGGTCTGCAGGGTGTGGTAACTGTTTCTTTTCTGCCATTCTGGGGTGGAGAGGGTGGATATGATGAAGCCAATAATTCAGGACTTAATTCCTTCTCATGCTGTGGTTTTGTGCCCCCCCCACCAGAATATGAAATAGCTTCCAGGAGTTCTGGATATAAGCTTGGAAGAATCACATGGTGACAACACTCAGAATCTAAATTGGACTTCCGTTGTATTCTCACCACTCAATTTATTTTTTAGCAGTTTAATGGGTGTATTTTAGAGCCTTCCATTTTGTGTGAATTTAGATCCTCCCCTTCAAATGCTGTAATTAACATCATTCAAAGTAAAACTTGAAAAATATATTGAAAAAAGTGCGATACACCAAAAGCATGAGGAATTATGGGAGCTGGAGTCTGGGGAAGAGTTCTTTGAGGAAATAGTAACTAGGATCTCAAGAATGAGAAGTAGATAAAGGGGGAAAGCATTGTAAGCCAGGAAACAGCACATACAAAGGCCTTGAGATGAAACAGTACATGACAATTTAGAGAAAGTGAAAGAAGGCCAGTGTGGCCAGAGCACAGAGGGAAAGAGTGAAGTGTGATTTGAATAAATTCAGCAAATAGTATTGACAGTCCATTGTTTGATAGTTACTGATAAGATAAAGCTGGAAGTAGTCACAGGCTGGATCATGCAGGGCCTTGTAGGTCATATTTAGAATTTCAGTTTTTATCCTAAGAATGGGAAGCTCTTGCAAAGTTTAAGCATTAGTTTGCATTTTATGGCTTATGAGTGAACAACAGATTGAAGGGATACAAGAGTGGGTATAGGAAGCAGCAGCAACTGCAGTAATCCTGGTGGGAGATTATGGTGAAGGTGGAGAGAGAGGCAGTGAGAATCAAGGGATATTTAGAAATGTAAACTGATAAGATCTGGCAATTGAGTGATAGAAAAAGGCAAATGCCTTCTAGCTTCTCCAACTGGATGAGTACCAGGCATAGGATAGTTTATTAGGAAACATGTTGAGTTTGGGATGTTTTTGAGATACTTAAGTGGAGATGTCAAATAGCTTGGAGGAGATCTGGAAGTCATCAGTAACTAAAGTTCAGAGTGGGGATGAAACTGTCCTAGGAAAATTAGAGTGAGAAGAACAGAACCGAGAGAAACTTTCAGATTTAAAGGCTGGGAGGAGGATGAGCCTGCAAAGGAGGCTAAGCAGCTGTGGTCAAAGATCAAAGAGGTAGTAGTAAAACCATGAAAGTAGAATCAGACGCCAATGGAAGAGTATCAATGATAAGAAACTAGAAAATTATACCAAATGCTACTGAGAAGTGAGGTAGTGAGGACTGGGAAATAACCACCGGATTGAAGGATAGGAAGGTGATCACCAAGGTGACCTTGGCAAGAACCATTTCAACAGAATGATGGTTGCAGAAGTCAAAATGGACTCGGTTGAGGAATGAAAATGGGAAATGACTTGTAAAATGGAGAGGCCCAAACTATCCAACTGTTTTGAGAAGTTTAACTGTAAAGTAGAAAAGATAGAAGTGTAACTGGAGGGGAAATGAGGTATGAAGTGGTTTATTAACAGGAGAATCTTTAGCATGTTTAAACACTGATGAGAATAATTCAGTAAAGTGGAAGTCAAAGATCCTCCAAGATGGAAGGACTAAGATTCCGAGCACAGAATAGGCACTGGCTTTAGACAGATGTATGCTTGCCTTGTTTAGACAAAAGAGAAAGAATGATGCATATGTGTGGGTAAATAAGTTGTAGGATGTTGAGAGAATGACCGATAGCTTCTACTTTTGTCTATGATGTAAGAAATAGTTACTTGCATAAAGTGAAGATAATGGTGCGGGGGAGTGATAAGAGATTTAAGAATGTTGGTTTGAAATAGTCATTGCAGGGAAAAGTTAAAATGACTAGAAAAATCTAGTAGGACTATGGGGCTGAGACTACATTTGAAGCTGATAACCATGGATTCATAGTGATATAAATCTGCTCCACAGTTGTTTCCTGGGGTGGCATTTAGCTGTCCAAATGCAGGTACAGACAAGTATCACTTTATTTAAGGGTTCAAAAAGAGATGAAAGGCAAGGAAATTCAGCCTATTGCACGAAAACCACTAGTTTAAGCTATACAGGAATCTAAAGAAGGAAGGGACTAATGGAAAGCAGAAGCATTGGCTGCAGTGAAATCAGAGAATGATAGAGGGAATAGTTCAATAAACCAAGTGGAAGGAATATGGTCAATAAATAAGATGCAAGTATTTTGAAGATGGAGCAATTTGAGGTGATGATAATGGCCAAGATATGACAAACGGAGTGAGTGGCCAAGACAGAGTGGAAATCATCAGAGATTGGGCCAAATAACTAGGAGACAAAACACCAAATGAATTGTCTATGTAAATGTTAAAATATCAAGGAGTGGACAGGAAGACCAAGGGCTAGCTATTTAAAGTAGCAGGAGAGTAGTAGTAAATGAGAGTGGTAGACAAGTAATCAGAGGGTTGTATGGATGAACAGCCTCAAAAGAATGAGGCTTTGCAAAGGAGTGGGCAGTTCTGAAGCCACAATGGCAGGAACAACAAAGTATCTCCAACGTTTACATTTATGATAACATGATAAAGCTTGTCAACATTTATTCTTTAGTGTTGTGCTTGGAACATCACATTGCTCCGATTATGCCAATGGCTATCACTTTATGGTAAAACCTGAGGAAGACCAGATTATGGAAGGTAAAGTGGTAGGAATAAGGTTTTTCTCCTGAACACTGAACATATTTATAAACAGGAAAGAACCAGGACAAGAGATTGAAATTTTAAGAAAGGGATTAAGAGATGGGTCAGACTGAGGGACATTTGTTTTTTCATGCCTAGAGGCAGGTTAAGTACAGATAGAAGCTCTCAAAGTTCAAAGAGCAAAGGCTTTAGAATCAGACAGATCTATGCTCCTAGCTCTTCTTTAGCAATTACTATTGTGTGACATGGAAGGACGGGAAGCACAGATAATTCACAATGGAAGTTTATTGCAAGGATACACACAAATGTTGATGTGGAAGGGTCCTCCCACCAGCAGCACAGTATCACAGGTCCCATCCTCCTATCTTCTGGAAGTTAAGAAGTTCAAACCTGTTTTACTTGCATTTATATTTCCCAAGGACAGAGTGCCACCCTGTGGGTAAGGTCCTAGTCAGCAACTTTTACCTTCCTAACAAACTTTTCTGTTCAAGAGATAGCAGCTAAAGGGGGCAAAAAACATGATTGGAACCACTTTTCTCAATAAGAAACTTTGTATAGGCCGGCCGTGGTGGCTCACACCTGTAATCCCAGCACTTTTGGAGGCCGAGGCGGGCGGATCACAAGGTCAGGAGTTCAAGACCAGCCTGACCAATACAGTGAAACCCCGTCTCTACTTAAAATACAAAAACAAAATTAGCTGGGCGTGGTGGCGCATGCCTGTAATCCCAGCTACTCGAGAGGCTGAGGCAGGAGAACTGCTTGAACCCGGGTGGCGGAGGTTGCAGTGAGCCTAGATCGCTCCACTGCACTCCAGCCTGGGTGACAGAGCGAGACTCTGTCTCAAAAAAAAAAAAAAGAAGCTGTGTATAAATGTTTGCACGAAATCTGCAGAATGTGCCTTCTGGCACATTCTGGATTCTTGCTTCCTCATCTGTTAAGTGAGGTTAATACCTCTTACTTATAGTTGTTGTAAAGATTAATATAAAGCATGACATCTACCAAAATCAGAACCTACACAAAGTGTGTGCTCAATAAATACTATCTTAAGAGGCAGCCTGCTGTGTAAAATGAACATGGACTTTAAAGTCAGATCTGCACTTTAATACCGGGTCTGCTACTTGAGAATTTCAATTTTCTGCTCTGTAGATAGGATAGAACATCTGCTTTGTAGGTAGTTGTAAGAAGTTTTAAAATTATTACTGTGGAAACCAATGTCTAAGAGCTTCAATTTCTCTAAAAAAGGAAACAGGGTCACCTGATGAGGGTGGGGTATGGGATTAAGGACAGCAGTAGAGGTGTAAAATAACTGCCATGGTAATTAGAGAAGGAAATGGACCAGGAACCCATAAAGGTGTGTGTTGGTGTGACTGCGTGTTGGTGTGAGGACTTGGCTGAGGTTGGAGGCCTTGAATATTTAGTGGCATTCATTACACAACTGTTTTTCTCTAGCAGTTTGAATGAAGGAATGGAAAAGACAGAATAAGTGGAATGATACAAAAAGATGGCCAATGGTGGCAAGAAAATGGGGTGATGGAATGATATGCTATCCAGGCTGCTGAATACAGAAGTAAATTACACAAAGTTGGGGGGCGGGGGAGGCAATAATGAGAAAAGAATGGAGAGGCTGGAATTAGAAATCACAGAATGTACTCAATGGGACCAATGTGGGGCAGATGATAGAAAGCTGGATTTAGGAGTTTCTAGACGAGCAGTGAAACATTAACGTAGCATTAAAGAAGTCCCGAAGATTTAGTTTTATCCCTTTTTATCATAACCATTGCCATCTACTTCTCCCTTCAGTTTCTCTTCCTCGGATTTGGCTGCATTGCAGAATATGGTCCCCAGCTCTCTCCCTTCCTGATTGCCCGTGAAGACAACCACACAGACCTTTGTTCAAAGGTTTTACTGCTCATCCTGAGAAGACTGTACATACTAAGAAAGTAACAACCTGGGGAAATGGCTGAAGTTCCAAAAGACTCCAGACTTCTTACAGGTTTCATCTCTCTTCTGTGGCCACTAACTTCCCAAGGAGGCAGTGCCCAAAAGCCCTGTGGTTTTTTGATCCGTTGTACTTCGATAGCTCCTCCTTTCCCTAGATCCAGCAGAACTCTAGACATGTAAGACATAGTTCACAAAACAACAGTTATGAACCAACAAATACTTGGCTCACGGTTATGAGCCACTGAAGTCAGTCAGACTTAAGGACAACTAGACAGAGCTCCCATTTTCTGTCATCTGGGCAGGAACCAATCTCCTGTTGTATAAAATGACCTTCTGGTACTTTCTGGAATCTTGCTTCCTCATCTGTTAAGTGAGGCTAATACCGCTTACTCATAGTTTTGTTGTGAAGATGAACTAAGAGCATGACATATTACCCGTTTTAAAATTGTACACACAGACCCTGCTTTAACCAGATGCCTGCAAATGCTCAGGTTTTCCTTCTACATATAGAAAACAATTTCTCAGCTGCCAGGGCTGAAGCCAGCAGATATGCACTAAACGACAGAACAACGGATTGTGCCAATAAAGTAGGCAAAGCTTCCTTGCCCAGAATATAAATCAAACTGAGTAAAAACTGGGTATATTGGCTCCAGGAAAAGGAGCAAGGACACCCAGCTTTCAGGCAACCTCGAATTCTCTCTGTTTAGGATTCACCAACCCCAAGGTCCACCGGGTCCTTCAATCTGAGGGTCCATCCAAGGCCTTCCTTCCTGGGGTTGGGTATGGCTAGCTGCCTGATGGAGAGACCCCAGGCTGTTCAGCAGCAACGCCTGGCACAGCCGAGGCAGCCTCGTAGTCTGCGATGCGGCGCTGTACCAGGGCAGGCATGAGCTGCACGTAAGCGGCCATGAGGCGGTGGTTGGAATGGATCAGCTTCCCAGCACAGCTGTGCAGACAGGCCTCCTAGAAGGAAGATAGGGTTTAAGTGGAGGATAAAGGTGCCCTGTCGGGTCCGCCTCCTTTCTTCCCCATGCCCAGCCTAGGGGTGAGGGTCGTGGGAAGGCCAGGGCCAGAGGTACGGGAAGTGGGGTGAGGAGGGAAGCAGTCTACCGCTAAACTCTTCTTGCAGCGTAACCTCCCTACACAGTTCCCCACCTCCTCAGCGTCCAGAGCTCGGTGGTGCAAGCTGGGCACACAGCGCTGGAAGCAGAGTTCTGTCATCCGATTGTAGACCAACAGGAAGTCACGCAGCTGAGAGAAAAGGGGGACCACAAACTCAGCGATAAGGGCCCCACACTTCTAGTCAAGGTCGCGCCGCCCAAAGTTTCCCAGGCCCGCGCGCCATAGCCCGAAGTTTCCAGCCCTCAAATCCCTGGCCCTGTGGGGTTCCCGCGATGTGTGCAGGAATGCGAGCTGAACGTCTGGCCTCGAAACGACTTAGTTCTCACTTACGTTTCGCAGTTGCTGTTGCTGCTGCTGCTGCCGCTCCATCACGCCACCGGCGCATGCCGTACGCCACTTCCGTTTCAGCTTCTCGGTGCCGCCCCGGAAGTAACCTCTCGCTGATCTCGAGAGCTAGCTCGAGTATCGCCCTGCCCTGGCTGCGACGTCAGCTCCGCCCTTATAATCTGCGACGTGGCCGGCTTCTTCTGCCCGGAGAGGACGTCATTTCCGCCGAGTCCCTGACCTGCTGCTAGGATCGCGACGGGAACTGGAGCCCGAGGTCCCCGCGCGGCCCGGGCCTGGCGCCCTGAGGGGAAGAGCGGCCCGGCCCGAGGTGAGAGGAACATGCTTGGGCGACGGGAAGTTGAACGCACAAACCTGTCCAGAGGGCAAGATGCCCCGAGCCCCGGGGAAGGATGAGGACACACCTGATGTCCAGGTGTATGGGGGTGGGGGCGGGGACTCACACACCTGGGAGACATAACTGACTGTGGAAGGGTCACCGATATCCTGGGAGAGAGAGGCTTTTACCAGAGACTGGGAACATACACCCACTGATCTAACTAAGGCCTGGTGGGGAGGGCCCGAGGAAGACGAGGTGTATGAGACGGAGGAGGGGAGACCCCCTGAAGGAAGGGGGAAGAAACGCTAAAGGAATGTGAAAGGCCAAGCAATGGAGAACAAACCTGAATAGGGGGGTGAAGACCTGAGCCCTGGAAAGGGTTCATCTCCTCAGCATAAACACGCCTGCATGGAGATAAGTTCTAAGAGAGCAGACTTTCCCTCTTCACTGTTGTATTTTCATTGTCACAAATAGTGCCTGACACATAGTAGGCACTCACTAAATGTCTGCTGAATGAGTGTAGAAATAATCACCAGAGTCCTGGTGAGGTTGGGGGCTTGTGAGAAGACACCGTGCTTTGGTGTGCCTGTTTCAAATGTGCGTTTTGGAGGGGAGAAATACATATATCTGAAGAAAGGAATGATGGCCAAACGCTGGGACACTCAAACCCTGGGACAGCCTTTAAAGAAATGACAGAGGAGGCCTCCTTCTTCTAGAGTGCTGGCCAGTGTCCAGAACTTCTGTGTTGGGCTTTGCAGGGTGCTGGGGTGGAGAGTTTTACTCCAATACCTTTCCTAGCCATGACGGACGGGATCCTAGGGAAGGCAGCCACAATGGAGATCCCTATCCACGGGAACGGCGAAGCCAGGCAGCTTCCTGAAGATGATGGGCTGGAGCAGGTGCTTCTGTTTGATTCTTCTAATTGTTTCAATTTAGGAATCCAATTTATAAATCCTAGGTTCTCACCCTCCATTCCAGTAGCCTTCCCCTGACTTATCTGACTCCCTTCATTCTTTTTACGTATCATTTTGATTCTGTGCAGACTTCCCTTGTGTACTATCTTTATGATGCTTGAATCCAAACTTGTTCCCACCTCCAAAATGCTTCTGCAGCCCCTATGTTCCTGAAGCAACCCCTCTTCTCTGGCCTATAGGACCTCCAGCAGGTGATGGTGTCAGGACCCAACCTCAATGAAACCAGCATTGTGTCTGGTGGCTATGGGGGCTCTGGTGATGGACTCATCCCCACAGGTATGAATGTTCAGAAACAGGAATCTTGGGTGGAGGAGGGGACAGGAATGGTTTGGGGAAGCATAGGATATGTCTAGGAAAGCTTGAATTATGTCTGGAGATCTTGGGAACTTCTGCTTGTAGGAACCTCATGGACTCTCCTCAGCCCAAAAGCAACTCCCAGCGTTGTCCATCCATTTCCCTTTTGCCACTTAGCCCCTGAAATGGCTCATTTGTCCTTTCCCTGCCACCACCTGAGTCAAGTTAAGACCTGCTTCACAGGAATGCCCCCCCTCTACAGCTTGAGGCTGAGTTGGAACTTTGTGAAGCTTCTCAGAATTTTTAGATTCTAAAGTTTAGAGGAACAAACAGCCCTGAATCTCACACTAAGATTCCACATGGGAATGCAACCAGGTTTCTTGTTATCATGACCCACCATCCTTGACTCCTGCTGCCCCCAAACTCAGTGTATTTTCTTCTGTTTCCTCTGCCCCTGTACACCAACAACTCCCTGCAAACCCCTCCTCTAACCCCCAAGGAGGCCATATGTATATCAGGATTTGGTTCTCACCGCGCAAAGTCCGAGTTCCTCCTAGTAAGCAGGAGCATCCAGTTGTCTCTAGCATCTCCTTCAGGGAAGTCAATTTCATGTGCTCGAAGAGAAGTATGGGTGGGGCCACAGAGGTGTCTGGTGTATCTGAGAGAGGCTGGTGTCAGAGAACTTGATCCTTTAGGGTCTGGCCGCCATCCATCTCACAGCACCACTCCTTCTGGCCCTGGAGATGAGGTGGCTCGGGGCATTGCTGGAGAAAAGTTTGACATCGTCAAGAAATGGGGCATCAACACCTATAAGGTAGGATTTAAGCACCTCTCCCTTCCCCAAAACTCCTTATGGGTACCTTTTTCCCTTTTCTTCGTGATCGTAATATCCCATCTGTGGCTGAGAGTAGGAGCCTGGGGGGTGCTGGGGTAGATACCTGTTGTGTGGGGAGGCTGTTAGGGTCTCTGATTTATTCCCCCATTTCCCAATCAGTGCACAAAGCAACTGTTATCAGAACGATTTGGTCGAGGCTCACGGACTGTGGACCTGGAGCTAGAGCTGCAGATTGAGTTGCTGCGTGAGACGAAGCGCAAGTATGAGAGTGTCCTGCAGCTGGGCCGGGCACTGACAGCCCACCTCTACAGCCTGCTGCAGACCCAGCATGCACTGGGTGATGCCTTTGCTGACCTCAGCCAGAAGTCCCCAGAGCTTCAGGTGCCTCACCCAGACCAAAGAGGGTGGGGGAACTGGGCATGGGCCCTCCCAGGCAGTCATTCCTCATCCTCCCTCCCTCCTGCAGCCCACAGGGAGAACCCCTTCAGGGTGGGCCCAGCCCTACCCCCAGCAGCACTCACCTGTGGAGGCAGCCTAAGGGTTTGTACAGAGGTCCAGAAGTTGGAGGGGGTGGGGGAGGGGGCACACTAGGTGCCTCACAAATAACCCCTCTCTGCACTGGGGAGAATGCCTTCGTGCTCAGCCTAATCAGAGCCCCTCCCCTGCTTGCCACACTAGCTCTCAGACTGTTCCAGTCTTGTGAACTTACCCAAGAATGCCCACCACCCACATTCCTACCCCAGGTATCCCCAGGGTGATCCCACTAACTTTCCGGCTAAGAGAGCCTTGCTGGAGGCAGTCCTTGGTTGTTCCAGTTTTGCTGGCTGTGTCCTCCCCGGGGAGGAGGGGAATGAAGGGCTCTACAGCTTCAGTCAGGTAGGGAGTGTTATTCAAGGTCTGTTCCTCCCTTCTGCCCTCAGGAGGAATTTGGCTACAATGCAGAGACACAGAAACTACTATGCAAGAATGGGGAAACGCTGCTAGGAGCCGTGAACTTCTTTGTCTCTAGCATCAACACATTGGTCACCAAGACCATGGAAGACACGCTCATGACTGTGAAACAGTATGAGGCTGCCAGGTGTGGGCACTGGCAGGGCTTAGGGTTTGGGGAGTTGGCTGGTATGGGTGGAAATTTGGGCATTAGGGGCATAAGAATTCAGGAAGGAAAGGAGAGTATGTGTTGAGGATAAAGGAGTGGAGACCAGCCTTTATCACCCCCTCCCCAGGCTGGAATATGATGCCTACCGAACAGACTTAGAGGAGCTGAGTCTAGGCCCCCGGGATGCAGGGACACGTGGTCGACTTGAGAGTGCCCAGGCCACTTTCCAGGCCCATCGGGACAAGTATGAGAAGCTGCGGGGAGATGTGGCCATCAAGCTCAAGTTCCTGGAAGAAAACAAGGTGCCAACCCCACCCCCTTGACCCTAGCCCACCTTTCCATCTGTAACACTAACCTTCCCCTCAGACCCTCCCCATTATTGAATGAGGAAATGCAGCCTAGCTGGGGAGTAGAGTGTTCACCCCCTCAACCCCTGGGCCTTTCCAGATCACCCTCCCTCCAATTCCTGGCCCTTTCCTGTTGGAGGATTTGGCTGCTGGTCCCAGGAACATAACTGGGAAAAATCACCCCCTGAGCTGGGGTACAAAAACCCTAGGCCCACAAATCCAGTGAGGTTTCTTCCATCATACTGACCCTTCTCCTTTGACTCCCTGGGTAGAGTTCAGCCCCTACCCCAAAAGCACCATCAGAGCAGAGTCCTTGTGCCCCTGGTCTGTGCCTGGGCTCAGGCTCATAGACCCTCAAGAAGGGCGCCTGAGTCCAGCCTTAGCTGACCCTGCTGGACCCCCAGATCAAGGTGATGCACAAGCAGCTGCTGCTCTTCCACAATGCTGTGTCCGCCTACTTTGCTGGGAACCAGAAACAGCTGGAGCAGACCCTGCAGCAGTTCAACATCAAGCTGCGGCCTCCAGGAGCTGAGAAACCCTCCTGGCTAGAGGAGCAGTGAGCTGCTCCCAGCCCAACTTGGCTATCAAGAAAGACATTGGGAAGGGCAGCCCCAGGGTGTGGGAGATTGGACATGGTACATCCTTTGTCACTTGCCCTCTGGCTTGGGCTCCTTTTTCTGGCTGGGGCCTGACACCAGTTTTGCCCACATTGCTATGGTGGGAAGAGGGCCTGGAGGCCCAGAAGTTGCTGCCCTGTCTATCTTCCTGGCCACAGGGCTTCATTCCCAGATCTTTTCCTTCCACTTCACAGCCAACGGCTATGACAAAACCACTCCCTGGCCAATGGCATCACTCTTCAGGCTGGGGTGTGCTCCCTGACCAATGACAGAGCCTGAAAATGCCCTGTCAGCCAATGGCAGCTCTTCTCGGACTCCCCTGGGCCAATGATGTTGCGTCTAATACCCTTTGTCTCTCCTCTATGCGTGCCCATTGCAGAGAAGGGGACTGGGACCAAAGGGGTGGGGATAATGGGGAGCCCCATTGCTGGCCTTGCATCTGAATAGGCCTACCCTCACCCACCCACCCAGTTTAATTGTGCTTAGAGCCCAAGAAGATTGGGATCTAGCACTAGGAATAAACCTTTCATAAAAGCAGGCCCAGCGAGGTCAATTTGTCGGGGACTCTAGGAGGGTGGCCTGGGTGGAGACAAGCTCAGTCTAATCAAACACCAGAACCCTATCAAGTCAAAAGAGCTGGGGCCAGGCAGCTGAAGTCACAGGTTTCAGAGATGGTTTGAAGGCCCAGTCTTCTCTCCCAGCCTCAGTTGGAGCCAAAGCTTTGTCCTTTAGCCAGCACCAAGATAGCTATGGATCTTAAGAGCACCAGATCCAGAGGGGGTTGGGTTTGCTGACCTTCATCATGCATTCATTCATACAGCAAATATTTACTGAGTGCTTTCATTTGCCAGGGACTGCGTTAGGCCCTGGGGAAACATCAGTGAATAAAACACGGTCCCTGCCCACAGTGCTTAGGGCCTACTGAGGGAAAGAAGTAACCAGGCAACTACAAAACAGTGATAAGTATTAGGATACAGAAGTACAGAGGGCGCTGTGGGAGCACAAAGGAGGGGCATCTGGCATGGACTGGGGTGGAAATGGGGATGTCAGTTTGAAAGCTGAGACCTGGCCAGGTGCGGTGGCTCACTCCTGTAATCCCAGCACTTTGGGAGGCCGAGGCGGGCGGATCACCAGGTCAGGAGATCAAGACCATCCTGGCTAACACGGTGAAAACCCATCTCTACTAAAAATGCAAGAAAATTAGCCCGGCACGGTGGCTGGCGCCTGTAGTCCTGTAGTCCCAGCTACTCGGGAGGCTGAGGCAGGAGAATGGTGTGAACCCGGGAGGCGGAGCTTGCAGTGGAGCCAAGATTGCGCCACTGCACTCCAGCCTGGGCAACAGAGCGGGACTCCATCTCAAAAAAAAAAAAAAAAAAGCTGAGACCTGAAGGGTGAGTAGATGACAAACAGGCAGGGTAAAGGGAAGAGCATCCCAGGCAGAGAGGCTAGCATATAATGAAGGCTCTGAGTAGGAACTGGGAGGAATTGCTTGGAATGAAAAATGAAGAGGGAGTGGCTAGATGAAGACTGCAGGCTGGTTAAGGACTTTTGCCCTCTGGAGAAGGAGCTGAGAAGTGTTTTAAGCAGAAATTTGACTGCATGGGAGAAGTATAGAGTTGAGAAAAGTAGTCCTCTGAGGCTTAAGATAGTGTCATCTAGACTCCAGTTCCCTCATCTTGGGTAGCATAGTAGCCCCAGCCCAAAACTGCAAGCATGATCCCCGTCTGGGTTTCCTTCACAAGCACTGGAGCATCTTGTGCTATGTGCTGAACTCAGGTGGATAAGAGGTTGAGGCGGTTCCCAAAGCTCCTGCTGCACCCAGGTGTTGAGCCTAAATCTGAACCTTGTGGAGAGGTCACAAGAAAGATCCCTAACAGCACTTTGGTTTAGTCAGGGCTAGGTGTCATCACCTGTATGCCCTTTGGCCAAGGAAACCAGAATTTTTCAGGATTTTCCCCACCTCTGGAAGGCTGGAGGAAGGGGAAGACCCACTCAGCAGATTCCCATAGTGCAGGGATCCTCACAGGCATGACTTTGCCCTTTGTCATGGATACTGCAGCTCCCAGACAGTCTTCTGGGCTTTGATCAGCCTGCAATCATCTGACTAGAGCTTGATTTTTGGGGCAGGGAAGGTGGTCCTTATATGAGCTGCCACTTAATGGGCCACTGGGGATTTTTCAACATGAAAGGTACCGAGTCTCCAAATGCTGGTTGTAGGGCCTAAAAACAGGGCTCAACTCCAGGTTCTGCCACTTTCTAGCTGAGTGATGAGGGCTAACGTCTGGGGAGCAAGATCCCTATTTTTTCCCATTGTAAAATTGGGCTAATAAAAGATGCTACCTACTGACTATTAAATAATATATGTAAAGTGGCTAGTTCTGTGTCGGCACATAATAACCACTCAGTCCCTGTAAACTGTTACAATTATTTTCCACTTGGGGCTGCTTTTTGCACAAGGCGATGATTCTGAGAATTGTCCAGTGTCTTTGGTGTGAGGAAGGGAGTCGCTGGATGGTCTGAACCAGAATTTCCTCAGGAGGGGGCTCCTGAAGCGCCCAAAGCCTAATCAAATCCCCCACCTTTCTACCCCTTAACTCCTTCTCCCAGAGTTCTGGGTACTGCCCTTCTGCCGCCCAGAGATCGTGCTGAGGTACAGACGGTTTCTACGTCTTCCTGGTCAGCCGATAGACTAGCATATTCCATAGGAGCACTCCAAGGAAGCCGGAAAGGGCGCCTCCAGGAGGCAGGCGGCCCAGACAGGCTCCCAGAGTCCGAAATCCCTGCTGCCCCAGCTGCCTTTTCTTGACGGAGTCTCATCTCAATCCCTGAGACCGACTACACCGCCCTTCCCGGAGCCGGAGGCAGCTGGCGGAGATCCGGGATCCGAGATCCGGGATCCGGCTCGCCGGCCCGCCGGCTCCCTAGCAGCACCAAGGAGGCAGCGTCCGCAGGAGGTGGAGGCGTTGGCGGGGGGGCGTGCGGGTGCGGTAGGGGTGGGCAGGCGGGGTGGGCGGGGCCTCCGCGGCGGCGGGCGGGGCGTGGGTGGGTCTTCCCTACTGGAGTCACCCCCTCCCCCGGCCGGTCCGCAGCCCCGCCCCGGCCCCTCCCTCCGGCCTGTGCGGCTAGTCCGGCGGCGGCGCCGGCGCGGGGACAGGCGGAGGCGCGGGCAGGGCCGGGCGGACGGGCGCTGGCAGCAGTAGCAGCGCCGCGGGCCCTTCAGAGTGGCCGCAGTCCGAGCTTTGCCCTCGCATCCTGTTCCAACGCGGTGAGTGCGACGGGCGGGCCCCAAGGGTGCGTTTGTATTCCTGTCAGCCCGGGTCTGGGTCGGAGCGTCTGTGGGTGGGGGCACAGATGATTTTCAAAAGCTGTGCCTCTCTCTGCCCACGTGAGGCGTGTCCATGTCCGTGAGAGCAGCAGGGGGATTCTTCGGGCTGTGGCTGCTCACGTGAGGTCCCTGTTTTGAGGCGGGGAGGCGCGGGTGGATGGGTGATGGTTCCTTAGGGGAGCGCGGGGTTTGGGAGCTTGTGTGTGTTGGCGGAGGGTGCTGAACGCTGCGGCCGAGGGTGGTGGTGGTGGTGCGTGCTGAGTGGGACTCTGGAATATTGTGGCCCATCTTGTCTGAAGGGCTCTTTTCTCCCTGGTGCAGACACCTCCACCCCTTGCTCCCCCACCCCCACCCTACCCCACCCCCCGCCCCTTCCATCCTCTGGTACCCACAGGCCCACCAGTCAGGATGGAGGACACCCTTTCCTCCCCATGCACTGCTCTGTGGACAGAAAGCCTCATGTGGAGGCTGTTTTTTTGTAGGAAAGGACCCCTCTGGTTCTCCTGTAGCCTGAGCCCTGCCTGGAGGACCCCAGGCCCCTCCCTGGTTCTGACCTCCTCCCTTCTGCAATTGGCTTCAGATCCTGGGCTGCAAACCTGCAGGGACAGATGGTTGCAGGTTGGAGGGGCAGGCTGCACCCCAGGGAGGTCAGTTCGACTGAGGGCAGGCCCTGGGCTTGTTCTTGGTGTGGGGGTTCTCTGATGTGGACAACAGAAACTCAGGACTGGCCCTAGCAGGAAGATCACATCTGGGAGGTCACAGCAGGTGCAGAAAACATCACAGGTCTCCCTTGGCCAGTCTGTCTAGCTCACTGGTGCCCATTCATCCCCTAAGCAGGGGATGATTTGCTGCAGAATTGGAATCAGAGCTGCAGGCCTGACAGTAGCCCTGCCTCCTTGGGCTTGTATGCCTCCAGTGACAGAGCACTTGCTACTTTCTGCTGTGGAAAAGCTTCCTTATATTAAGCAGAGGTCTCTCTTCTTGGGACTTTATTCACTTGTCTTGTTACTGCCATTACTTTTGCATCTCTCTCTGATGAAAGGGAACTGCAGAGATTTAAACAGAGCTCTCCTGTAACCAACATATACTGAGTACTTCCTGTGTGCCAGGTACTGCCACAGCCACTTAGGAGACAATGGCATTCTTGCCGAGAGAACTTGAGCAAAGAGTCCATCGTTGGGATAGTATAGCCCAGGTTCAGAAAAGCAGAAAAACCATATGGTTAGAATAGAGAGCGTTCATAGAGTGTCACAGGTGACTTAAAACTCAGCAAACATTTATTTACGGGGGCGAGGGGGCAGGGGGAGTGTGGAGGGGAGGCAACTAAGACCATCCTCTAACACATTTAGCCTAACAGTGGAAACTAGAAGTCAAATCATCGAGGTAGTACAAGATGGGATTTAATCATGGGCTCATGGTACAATCTGTGGAAGCCCTTGGCTTGAGAGGGAACCTTGGGAATCTCAGATTTTGAGAAAACATCCCTCTTCTCCCAATTTACAAATAAGGGAATGGGGTTGGAACTTACCTAGAGTTTCACCTTGTGTTAGTGGAGTTAGTTACAGCATTAGGACTAGATCCTAGATCTCCTAACTTTTTAAACCTAGCCAAATTTCAGAGGCAGAATTGAGGATGTAGTCATAGCTTGTATCTGAAAGGTGAAAGAAAAGGTGTAATTGAGAAGACTACCAGGGTTCTCGCTTGTGTGGGTGGGTGAGTGGTGGTGCCTTTTATTTATTTATTTATTTAGATTTATTTATTTTTAGCATATTTATTTTTATGCTTTTAGGATGTAAAAGCATCATGTATAACCTCTGCCTTTTGGAGATTTGCAATCTTGTCCATCTGTTCCATATTTCTTAGTTTCTCATGTTTCTGTTTCTTTACTCACTGTTTTCCCAATGTACGTATCAATGTCCTATTTGTCTCTCAAGACCCAGCTCAAATACCCCTTCCTCTGGAAGCCTTCTTTATTCTGTACCATCCTCAGAGTTAGGTACTTCCTCCAGTTTGCTGCTGTAGCAATTTGAACATGTCAATATCATGGTACTTATCACATTGTAGTTACGTGTTTCCATTTCTGTTTCTCACATTAGTCTAAAAACTTGTGAAAGACAGGGAGTGTGTCTGATTCAGCTTTGTGTCTCTATTTCACAGCTGAAGGACCTGGCCCACAGTGTGCCCAGAGAAGTTTGATTGAATGGTTCATTCACTTTACTCAGTCTGGCAATGTTGGGGGAGATGGCCATGAATTTCATTGCTTTCCTTCCCTGCTAATCTTATTTAAAGGATTCATTGGCTTTAAGGACTTTGCCTCATCCAAGGCTTCATTTGTTTCAGAGAAAGCCCAAAGACTGTAACCTGCAGTCATTTGTCATTTTTTTGAGGTCTCAAATGATCAGATAAACCTGGAAGCTAGTGAGTAGACGTGAGTTATTTTAGCAAGCAAATGAGCCTAGCTGACCTCTCGCATCCATTTTCAACAATGCCTTGGTTACCTCCATTCACAACTGTGTAACTCATGTGTACTGGGAATCCTGTGAGATTGTAGGAGGAAGTCCTGGGGAAAATTAATGCTATTTGAGAATTTGGAGAAACTGAAAAGCCTTGAAACACATCCTTTGCAGATGTCCAGGATCTAGTGGAGTCAGCACTGGCTGTCTTCATTTGTTCACAATCAGCTTCTTGCTTGACTCCCTGCATCTGGCTTCCTGTCCTCCATCCCCTGAAAACCACATGCTCTGAGGTTAATGAAAGCCTCTTTGGGGCTTAAATAATGGGACCTCTGCAGCATTTCACTCCCTTGTTCATGAAGTTCTCTTCTCCCTTGGCATTCATGACATCTGTTTCCTGATTCTCTTGCTTCTCTGGTTGTGCCTTCTCAATCTTCTTTGCAGACTCTGCTTCCTGGGCCTATCTCTTAAATATTGAGGTTCCTTGGGACTTGGTGATAGACCCTCCTTTCTCTCTTTACCCTCTCAGGGTAATGTCATCCACGCCCATGGCTTCAGGAACCATCTCTGCACCAACATCCACATTCATGTCTCCAGGCCAGACCTCTCTCTTAGGCTTCAGCGTATCTTTCCAACTGCCAACTGGACCTCTCCACTTGAATTACATCCCATAGGCACCTCAGATTCATCACATTAAACAGTGAACTCTAGCTGGGTGCTGTGGCTCATGCCTGCAACCCCCACGCTTTGGCAGGCCAAGGCAGGAGGATTAGTTGAGCCCAGGAGTTTGAGGCTACAGTGAGCTATGATCATAACACCACATTCCAGCCTGGACAACAGAGTAAGACCCTGTCTCTTAAAAAACAAAAACAAAACTGAAAAAACCTTAAAAGATAAACACCAAACTTATCACCCTCTCATCCAAACTGCTCTTCTTTGAGAGTTTCCAAAGAATCATCTGTTAATTCCTTCTTCTCCCCTAACTCTTCACATGTAAATACCCAGCCACCAAGTTCAGTTGATATCCCCCTGCAAAATTGATTTATCTTGGCCTGTCTTTGCTATTCTCCTAATCAAGGCAGTTTCTTAATTTTCCGTCCTTGCCCTTTAAACTATTTTCCACATAGCAGCCAAAAATGTACTTTTGTCACTCTATACTTAATAGCCCTCACCACTACCAAAGTTTTCCTTTGCTTTTTGGATAAATCCTTCATCCCCTAGCAGGTAAGCGTAAAGTCTAAACTCCTTAATAAGACCAACAAGGCATTGCATGATATATCTTTTGCCTACCTCTCCATCTTGTTTCTTAGCCCTCCCATCACAGTGTCTGATTCAGCCTCCTGATGCAAAAGGCACCATACTCTCTGTAACTCATCCTCAGCTTGAACGTTACTTTCTTTAGGAGTTACTAAAGTTACTTTCTTTAGGAGAAAGGTTGGCCTCCAACCTCTGGACCCACCCCTGCTCCAGATCTAGGTTAGGTAACCTTTGTACTCCTGGAGCAATTGGTGCTTCCTCATCATGGTCTTCACCACTTTACATTGCAGTAATCTATTTATTAGATTGTGGAATCCATGAAGGCTGAGCTGTGACTATTTGTCTTTGTGTCCCCAGGCCTAGCAGCAGTGTCAAGTGAATGCTGAATGAGGGAGTGAGGTGCCTTGAGAACTAAGCCATAAAGTATGGTGGGAATAACCAATACAGGGATAGCAGAAGGCAGTATGAGAAAGGAGAGTAAAGTCTGGCTCTGAGACCAAGGCCTTATAAGTGTCTGCTGTGATAAACAGTTCACTTGAACCACCACCTATAGGATCTTGGGGGCAAATCTCTAGAGCACAGTGGGATGGAAGAGCTAGGACCCCACGGGAGGAAGAGAATCTCAGATTCAGGCAGGGGTATGGCCTCAGCGGCTGCATGCCCAGTAAGTCTGGGAGGGGAACTGAAGCAGGAAGGGGAGGAGTGGGGGAGGAGCTATTGGTCCTTGGACATAGCCCAATCCCCGCCCCTGTGTGACAGTCTGGGAGAGCCCCTAGGCTTGGAGAGAGGTGGAGCCTGGCATCCAGCTACCCCAGCAGGACCCAGCAGACCACTCCCACTCTTCCTCCCAGCCTTTCCCTTCACCAGACAGAGGCTTCAGCTTGCCTCCCGCCTCCTGGTCCTTCCGCCAACCTTCAATCTGTCCTCCCTCCTGCTATGTTTTCCTGGTATTAAGTCTTCAGACTCCAGAACCCATTACAACTGTAGAGAGAACATCAGGATGCCAGTGTCTACATCAGCAGAGGATACTTTCAGGCATGCCCTTCACACTCTACCCAGGCCCACCCTTACACAAACATAAGGCACAGCAACTCAGCCCTTCTATCCCTCCCCAAATCTAGACTCGCTCCTGCATTCATTCATTCATTCATTCATTCATTCATTCACAGTCTTTAGAAAAAGGCTCATAATGCATCCAACAGCACAGACAATGGTGACCTGGTCCTATTCATTGCCTATTTTGGAGTAATCCAGCTGTTGTTCTGCCACCCTTCATGACCAAATCCCTGCCATGTATTGTCTACATCTGCTGTGTTAACTTCATCTCCCATTTACTCTTCAGTCACTCTGACGTGGCTTCTGCCCCTGCCACCCCACCACAGCCAAATCTAGTGGGCACTCTTCAGTCCGTTTCTTACTTCACCCCTTCTTTTTCTTGCACTGTTCTGTTGATTTCTTTGGTTTCACATTCTTTTGGTTTTCCTACCATTTCTCTGGGTTCTCTTTCTCAGAGTCACCTTTGCTGGCTCCCCTCTCTTGTGCCAGGCCCTTTTCTTATCACTGTCTGCCCTCTGTCCCTAGGTGGGCTCATGTCTTCTCATTGCTGAAAGTGCCATTTATATGCTAGTGATCCCAAATCAATAACCAGTCCAGACTTTTCTCTTGAGCTCCTGTATTCTGTTTCTTACTTGACAGCTCTACCTGGACATCAGAGAGACACATTGTACTTAGCATACATAGAACAGAATGCCCCAAATCAGCTCCACCTCAGCTTTCACTGTCTCTATTCATGGCCCATCACTTGCTAAAATGAGAAAGCTAAGTCATAATTGACATCCCTCTCACACCCAGTTCATCTTGATGTCCTTTGGATTTCTCTTTTATTATTTATTTTATTTTTATAGAGATGGGGTCTCATTATGTTGCCCAGACTGATCTCGAACTCCTGAGCTCAAGTGAACCTCCTTCCTCAGCCTCTCGAAGTGCTGGGATTACAGATGTGAGCCACCTTGCTCGGCCAATGAATATTTCTCAAATCAGTCCAGCTTTTTGCTTGTAGCTCAGATGATACCCTACATTATCTTACCCAAAGAACTTTGGTAGCTTCCTAACTGTTTTCTCTGATTCCACTCTGGCTTCTCTTTGTCTTCAATTCTCACAGCTTGCCAGAGTAGCTTTCTAATTTATTTTCACTTATTTATAAACCACATCATCCCCCCCTCCAACTTAGGATAAAATCACTTTTTTTTTTTGAGACAGAATCTCAACTTTGTCTCATGCCAGGCTAGAGTGCAGTGGCACGATTATGGCTCACTGCAGCCTCGACCTCCTGGGCTCAAGCAATCCTCCCACCTCAGCCTCCCAAGTAGCCTGGACTACAGGTGTGTGCCACCATGCCTAGATGATTTTTAATTTTTTTGTAGATATTGGTCTCATTATGTTGCCCAGGCTGATCTCCAATTCCTGGGCTCAAACGATCTTCCTGCTTTGGCCTCTGAAAGTGCTAGTATTACAGGTATGAGCCACTGCACCCAGCCAAAATCACATTCTTAATGGCGGTTATAAGGTCCTTCATGATCTCATCTCTACCTATCTTCCCAAACTCACCTCTTCCTTTTATTGACTTGGCTCCAACCACACAGTCCTTTCAGGTTCTCCATGAGCCTTCTGCCTAAGAACCTTTATCATGCTGTTTCTTCAGCCTAGAATGATTTCCCTTCCTGACTCCCTGTTGTTTCTCACCCTCACCCATACCATTTTTCTCCCATCCACCCAGAATTCTGCTTAAAAGTTACCTCCTTGGAGAGCCTTCCCTGATGACTCAATCAAAAGTGTTCTTTCTCACAGCATCCCTTTTTTCTTTATATCACTTCCCTGCCACTATTATTTACTTTTAAAATATCTGCCACCACCTCCCCACCACAGGGACAGTGACCCTGTCTGTTTTATCATTCCATTCCTAACACCTGTACAAAGTAGGCAGTAAATATTTATTGAATTCCTGAAATCAATTCAGTAAATATAGATCAATCTTTATGTCAGGCTCTGTGCTAAGTGCTAAGAATGAAAACATAAAATAAAATATAAATAAATAAATAAAATGCCTATCCTCAATAACACTGCATGGAGTGGAGAAAGCAGAGAAGTAACAAGAACATTACAGCATAGCTTATAAGAGTTAGGATGGAGTAAATACAGGGTGCTGAGGGACACAGAGGTAGAGCACCCAAGCCAGACTCTGGGTAGTCATGGAAGGTCTTCTAAAGGAGGTGACATTTATATGGGGACCTGAAAGATGAGTAGGTGTCACATCAGCCAGGAAAAGGGGCCAGGAAAAGGATCCCAGGACAGAGAGAACGAATGCCTGATCTCCCAGAAGCAAAAGAGAACAAGGAATTTTCCAGGAACTGGAAAAAAAAAAAAAAAACCCAGCAGGAATGATTGATCATAGACTTATGAGACATGAGGTTGTAGAAAAGGTATGGGGCAAAGTTAAGCCTCACTGGTCAATATAAGGACTTTGGACAATGGATAACATTTGAAGGAATTTAAACAGAGTACTGACAAGATCAAATCTGTGTTTTAGAAAATTCATTCTGGCTTCAAGGAAGATAAATGAAAAGGTGTCAGTGAGGAGACAAGAACACCAGTTAAGAGGCTATTGCTGTATTCCAGGAGAGAACAGATGGTTGCCTGAATTAGGGGTAGTAACTGTGGGATTGGAGAGAAGGGTTTAAGATATTCAGGAAGCAATCCCGACCTTGATACTAACTGGGTGTGAAAAAGAGTGCAGTTTCAGGCAGTTGTGCTAAGAGGTGGGTCAGGGTATAAATGGAAGAGCTGCAGGTAGTTAGAGGAGAGACACTCCATTCAGGTCTCTTGGAGGAGGATTTGGGGGAGGTAGAGGAGATGAAGGGTAGGTATGTCAGTGAAAATGGACATCTCTGTACCATGCACTCAACAGGCACTATGTCACACTCTCAAATTATTATTCCTGTAATTACAAATTAAGAGACTGAGGCTCAGAGAAGTTACATGGATTGTCCAAGCTCACATAGCTGGTGAGAGACTGAGCCAGGTTTGAAACCCAATCTAATCCTACGTCTGTGCTCTTAAACAGAACACCAGGCTCAGAGGTCACATCACCCTGATCCTTCCAGTCACTGCCCTGTCTTGCCCCTAGCAGGGAAGAGGTGGGGGCAAGTTCTCTGCAGGGGATTTGAGTGGCGGGGATTGGGTGGGGAGAAGAAGTTCTGGACTCCCTGGTGCTGACCATCTCTCCATACAGAGGCTGGTGTGAGTGGCGGGAGCCATCTGTGGGCGCCATGGCAAAGAGGGAGGACAGCCCTGGCCCAGAGGTCCAGCCAATGGACAAGCAGTTCCTGGTATGCAGCATCTGCCTGGATCGGTACCAGTGCCCCAAGGTTCTTCCTTGCCTGCACACCTTCTGTGAGAGGTGAGGGGATGTGTGTACTGGGGAGGGATGAGGACCCTGTGGGGAGGATGAGGATCCTCCTCCCCTGTGGGGAGGGTGAGGGAGCATGTGTAAACCTGTAGTAGGTGAGGCAACATGCTTACCTGGGAGGAGAGCAGGTGAACCCCAACCTGCAGGAAATGAGGTTTTGAGGGCAAGAACCTGTGAGAGAACCATAAGAACCATAACACTGGGCCATGGTTCCTGTCAAGAATAGGGCCTTCTCTGTCCTTTCCCAAACCTCAAGGCAGCTTTTGACACCACCTAAGAAATCAAACAGTGCTCAGACTCAACCAGCTTTGGCATCAGCAATTTATGACTAGTTGGAGGATATTTGAAGTTAGGTCTGTCCTTCCCTGCTTGTCCTTGTTGTCCTCAGGTACTGAGTGAAAGGCAACCTGTCCCAGCCTCTAGGCTTCTATGGATCACTTATTCATTTAACAAATATTCATTTATTGAGCAACTACTATGTGCCAGACCCTGTTCTAGGCATTGGGTATGCAGTGATGAGCAAAAACAGATAAGATCCTTACTCTTTTTTTTTTTTTTTTTTTTTTTTTGAGATGGAGTCTCGCTCTGTTGCCCAAGGTGGAGTGTAGTGGCACGATCTCGGCTCACTGCAACCTCTGCCTCCCAGGTTCAACCAATTCTCCTGCCTCAGCCTCCGGAGTAGCTGGGACTACAGGCGCACGCCGCCACGCCCAGCTAACTTTTTGTATTTTATTACAGATGGGGTTTCACCGTGTTGCTCAGGCTGTTCTTGAACTCCTGAACTCAGGCAATCCGCCTACCTCGGCCTCCCAAAGTGCTGGGATTACAGGCGTGAGCTACCGTGCTTACTCTTTTTAAAAACTGATACACAATAGTTTACATATTTATGGGGAACATGTGATACATTGTTACACAAGCATAGAATGGGTAACAATCAAGTAGGGTATTTAAGGTATCCATCACTTACAATGCTTACTCTTAAAGAGCTAACAGTATAGTGAAAGAGAAAGATAGTCATCAAATAATCATATAGCCAGATTATAGATAAATATAACTTTTAGTAAGTGCTGCAAATAAAGTGCTGAGCTATGAGAGATTGGCATATGGAATCTGTTATAGTTTGGAGAATCAGGGAAGGTTTCCCTGAGGAGCAATTCAGAGGATGAATAGGAGTTAACTAGGTAAAGGGGGTTGGAAGAGCATTCTGCACAGAAGAAAGACCATTGGAAAAGCTCATGTGACATGAGAAAATATGTCAGGTAAGAGGCCTGGAGGAAGCCTGGTAGGGCTAGAGCAGAGTGAGTGTGACTGAGAGTATTATGGGATGAAGCTGGAGAGGTAGGTGGAGGCCAGACCACCTAGGGCTTTGTAGACCTGTTAGGGAATTTCACCTTTACCCTGAGAGCCACATGAAGCCTTTGCAGGGTTTTATATGTGATCACATCTGTATTTTGACAATATTCTCTTGGGCCCTTATCTCTCATTGTTCTGTCTTGGGTGGCCTGGTCCCTAGGTCTTCTCACCACCACTGCCTCTATCCGCACTTTTCCTCTGCCTTCTGCCCCAACGGAAACCTGGCTCTGCACCAGAGATACTGCTTCCCTGCCAGCCCTGCTCTTTGAGATTCCAGCTCCACTGCCCACTCTCCTTTATCAACTGGAAATGGCCTCAGTTTTCCTGTCCATTCAAGTTCTTCTGTCAGCCTGGGGACAACCACCCTCTTGTGCCTGTTGGTTCTTAACTGTTTCTTCAGGGTTGTCCCCCATTCCACCTCAGTAACACTCCCTCCCAACCATGCCCTGAATCTTATAATCCAGAATCTTATCTGTAGTCATAAACGCCAACGTTCCACTCCTGGCTCCCGTTACCCCACTCCCATTACACCACTTTCGATACAATATAGATATCTAGCCCCTTTGACTGCTCCCTCTTTTCCCAGTCACCAGCTGCGTCCTGGCCTCCCTGTCTTTCCTGCCCATCCTGGACCCTGTGGCTGACCGACTGGCTCCCCTGCAGTTCCTTCACATCTTTATCCTTTGCAAAACCCATGCAATAGAAGCTCAATGTTGGATCAGAGCTGAAATTGGATGTCTCTGCACTTTCTCCTGTGCCCAGATCACTGAGCACTCCTGGAGAAAATCTGGCTGAGAAATTGTAATAACAGTAGCTACCATGTATTGATTGCTTACTGTTTGCCAGGGACTGGCTAAGTGATTTATACATACTGATTTCCTTAATCCCTGCAACAGATACTTTATTAACTTCATTTTATTTTTTTATTTTAATTTTTTAATGTAACTTTTCATTTTAATTTTTTTTGGTTTGTTTTTTGTTTTTGTTTTTGTTTTTTTGAGACAGAGTCTCTCTCTGTCACCCAGGCTGGAGTGCAGTGGCGCCATCTTGGCTCACTGCAATCTCTGCCTCCTGGGTTCAAGTGATTCTCCTGCCTCAGCCTCCCAAGTAGCTGGGACTACAGGCGCACGCCACCACATCCGGTTAATTTTTGCATTTTTAGTAGAGATGGGGTTTCACCATGTTGGCCAGGCTGGTCTCGAACTCCTGACCTTGTGATCTGCCCGCCTCAGCCTCCCAAAGTTCTGGGATTCCAGGCGTGAGTCACCGTGCCCAGCTTGTTTCAATTTTTTAAATTTTATTTTTTTTTTAGAGATGAGTGTCTTGCTATATTGCCCAAACTGGACTTGAACTCCTGGGCTCAAGTGATCCTCCTGCCTCAGCCTCCTGAGTAGCTGGGATTACAGGTGCAGGCTACCACACCCAGGTATCCCCATATTAGAGAGGAGGAAACTAAGGTTCAAAGTCAGTAAATAATTAAGAAATATCTCTGGCCAGGTGCAGTTGCTCATGCCTGTAATCCCAGCACTTTGGGAGGCCAAGGTGGGAGGATCACTTGAGCCTAGGAGTTCCAGAGTAGCTTGGGAAACAACATAGTGAGATGCAGTCTCTAAAAAAGAATTTAAAAATTAGCTGGGTGTGGTGGCATGCACCTGTAGTTCTAGCTAATCGGGAGGCTGAGGTGGGAGGATCATTTGAGCCTGGGAGGTGGAGGCTGCAGTGAGCCATGATCACATCACTGCACTCTAGCCTGGGTGACAGAGAGAGGCTCTATCTTAAATTAAATAAACAAATAAAAAAAAAGAAATATTTCCAAGGCTACACAGTAAGTAAATAGCTGAGATCTGAATCCAGTTTTCACTGCAGAGCCTTCACTGTCAACTAGTATTCATTCATGTATCCCTTGGTCCCTGCTCTCAGAGGATGTTCTAGTGGGCAGTGACTGACAGTAAGCAATCAAGAAAACGAGAGCTGCAGCTTGTATTAATGTTTTACAGGATATAAACAGAGAGAAGTAGGGGTGTTTGGGGCAAGAACTATTCTATATAGTCATCAAGGAAGGCTTCCCTGAGGAGGTGACATTTGACCTGAGTTCTGAGGATAAGAAGGAGACAGATTGTTCCAGGCAATAGAAAAATCTGTGCAAAGGCCTTGAGGAAGAAGTAGACAGGACATGTTCAGATACCAGAAAAGAAACCAGTGTGGCCAAGTGAGGAGTAAAGTGGGATGAGGTGAAATTGGAGAGAATAAGGGCAGTTTAAGGGGGAGCTTGTAGGTTTTCAGAAAGTGTTTGGATTTTATTTTAAGTGCAATGGGAAACCATTGGAGTTTTTAAAAATATATATATACAGGGAAATAATGTAATGTAAAAAGTTCACCCTAGCTGTTATGGAGAGAATGGATTATAAAGGAGCAAGAGTGGAAACAGAGACCAGTTAGGAAGCTATCGTGAGCCAGGTACACTTGACAAATAGGAAGGGGATATTGCTGAATTAGAAGGTGTTTTGCATGGGGAAACACTAGATTCAGTGAGCTTGGAAGAAAGCTGCTGAAGAATAGAGTAGAATGGTTGAAATGCAGTGATAGTTGATGAGAAGTGGGTGTTAGTGGGAGCATGGGAAATGGGGGAAAAGATCACTGGGGGTGAGAAGGTCAAGGAATTAAGAAATCACAATGGGGGATGGATGTTAGTGCCACTGAGAATGATGGCAGAGTGGTGCGGGGGGTAATGGAAGAAGAGAGTGAGCCAAGAGAAAGATGTCCACAATTGGAAGTGGGGGCAACCATTAGGTTAGCAGAGACAACAATAAGGAGGAGTGATAGAGATAGAAGGCATGAGCTTCAAAGGAGCTAGAGTTGAATAGTTCAGAAATGTTCCAGTTGGGAAGAGGGAGGGCTCAAGCCCACCTTCTGGCCCTAAGGAGTGTGGAGTATGAGACAGAAACCACTCTACTTGAGAGGACTGCAAGGAAAAGTAAGTCACAATTAAATAAGTTACACTGGGCATGGTGGCTCATGCCTGTAATCCCAGCACTTTGGGAGGCCGAGACGGGCAGATCACCTGAGGTCAGGAGTTTGAGACCAGCCTGGCCAACATGACAAAACCCCATCTCTACTAAAAATACAAAAATTAGCCAGGCGTGATGGTGTGAGCCTATAATCCCAGCTGCTCGGGAGGCTGAGGCAAGAGAATCGCTTGAACCCGGGAGGTGGAGGTTGCAGTGAGCCAAGATTGTGCTACTGCACTCACACCTGGGTGACAGAGCAGGACTCCGTCTCAAAAAAAAAAAAAAAAAAAAAAAAAGCCACCAAAAAAACAAAAACAAAGAAAACACAATTAAATAAGTTAATACTTGTGAAGCACTTAGAATCATGCCTGGCACATAGTGTTTGTCAGATTTTAATTAAGATCCTAAGTTATAGGAAACATTAAGAGTTGAGATTGAGGATATGGGAGAGTTTGCATAATGCAGATCTTCACTCCACAAATTTGAGGTCCCCAAATACAGCTGCCTTCAGTTCTGATGTCTGTTTCTAGTAAGTGTCCTCTGCTCTCCCATCACTGACTAATCTGAGCCATCATCAGGCCCCTGAATCCTCCATCCTTCACTCTCCTATGTCCCTAGTGCCTCTCTATATCCTCCTCTCCTTTCCTCCTTCCCTCCATTCAGAGACTGACGTCCAGTCCTCCTCTTCAGGCCAATCCGAGGCACTCCCCAATCCTCAAGATCTTCTCCTCTCAGTTTTGTAGTCTCTTCCCCCTCTCCTTCTCTCCTGACTCCTCCATTCATAAACATGCTCAAAACTCCCATGCCAAACAGGTAAAAACTCTTTCTAGCACCATCCAACCCCTCAACCAGCTCCTCATTGGAACTTTCAAGCTCCCCTTCACTCAACTTCCAGCAGTCAAGCTTTCCTTCTCCTGCCACTCCCTCCCTGTTTTCCCTACAGACAAAGTACCCTCACATTTGCCAAATTCAGTGGACATTTTCCTGTCCTTACCTTACCCAACTCGTCAGCTGCTTTTAACGCTGATGACTACTCATTCCCTCCTGGAAATGTACCACTCAGTTTTCTGCCCTAACACAGCTGCTCTTCCTGCCTCTCGGCCTGGTCTTCTTTGTTGTCCTCATTCAGTTTTTGCTAAGTGCTCTGTCCCTCTCTCTTATCACTGTCTATGCTTTCTTGTCTGATCTCATCCTCTCCCAGTGCTACCGAAGCCATCTAAATGTTGATGGCATGCCCATCTCTTGTCTCTAACCTTCATTCTCCTGTCTACTGGTGACCTCAACCTGGGTGTTTATTGTTACAGTAAATTCAACCAGGACAAGGCTGAACTTTCCTATAGCTACTCCTCTTTCTATGTTTCTCATCTTAGTGAATGTCACCACTATCCACTCAGTTATCAAAGCTAGGAATTTGGAAGTCAGCGAAGACTCATCATCTCTCTTGCTCCCCATATCTAATCAGACAACACCTCCCACCTTCCCTCCTTCTTAAACACTTCTCAAATTTATTTCCACCTCATAGTCTACATTACTATTGCCTAAATCCAGGTCTTCTTCACTTCCTACCTAGATGATTGTAAGAGTATGCTGGCTAAGCACATACTTTGCATTTGAAGACAGGCTTCAGCACCTACTGCTGTTGTTACCTTGGGCCACTTGCCCTTTCTCCTGCTAACAGAAACGTAATCAGAAAGCATGGCACCTGGCACATATGCACTTAATAAATGGTAACTAGCTGGTGATGCCACTGCCCTCGCCCCCCAACCCCATCTGCTGTCTCATTCCCTTTAAATTCACTCCCCACACAGAGGGGGTGAAGAGGAGCTTGGTAAAATATAAACCTGGCTATACCACTCTCTTGCAGCTTCCTATTGCTGGCAGGATAACTTCTAAGCTCCTTGACTTCTGTCACCATTCCTTGCCTTGGACTTTGTCTCTAGCCAGCCACATCAAACTGCTTACAGTTGCTTATTCATACTATGCTGCTTCTTGCTGCCTTCTGTATCTGGACTACCCTTCCCCCTCTGCCTGCACCATTCTTTGGTCAGGCTAACAATTATTTATCCTTGAAGATTTAGTTTGCATCAACTCTCTGAAGACTTTCCTGGACACCCTCTCCACCTGCTTGAGCCAGATGCATTTCCTTATCACTTTCTATCATTCCTTATATTAATAATAAGTAATACAAGTAGCCTACCATATATAGTGCTATTATGAGTCAGGCATTTTACATTTAATCCTCTTCAAATATAAGTAAGTACTTTACATGTAATCCTCTAACACTCTGTGAAGTCTGTACTTCTCCATCTTACAAAGGAAGAGTCCTTGGCTTGTCAAAGTTATGTAACTTGTCAGGGGTCATACAGTATAACAGGTGACCAACGGGGTGTTGGGCCTGGGCAGCCTAGCTCCAGGACCCATTCCCTTAATCATCATGCTATTTACTTCTGTACTATTCCTGTGACTTTTTTCTCTGTAGATGGGAAGTATTTTAAGGGTAGGCACTGTGCTTTATCTTTTTGTCCCCAGGGCTTGGCATAAATTTGGCAAGAGTAGACAGTAGTGTTAATGAGTTAAAGAAGTTGGGCAGGGGGTGCCTAGTTGCACATTCCTATGAGAAGCATTTGTAAACACCTGTGAAAGGTGAGCCTGTGTGCACACTGTGAGGAATGTGGATAGTCTGCTCTTCTGAGAGGGGTCGGGGTGTGTTCCTACTCAGTTGTAAGGGGCAAGGCCATTATACCTGCTGGCAGATGAGATGTGTCAAGCAGAGAGGTTTTAAAATGAAGTGTAATGGCACACCTGTGAGGGAAGGGGTTGGCACCCATGGGAAGTATAAGGAAGGGTGCACTTATGCCACCCCACCCACTCTGTTCTTTGACTCTCCTTCCTGGACAGATGTCTCCAAAACTATATCCCTGCCCAGAGCCTGACGCTATCCTGTCCAGTATGCCGGCAGACGTCCATCCTCCCAGAGCAGGGCGTCTCGGCACTGCAGAACAACTTCTTCATCAGCAGCCTCATGGAGGCAATGCAGCAGGCACCTGATGGGGCCCACGACCCGGAGGACCCCCACCCCCTCAGTGTAGTGGCTGGCCGCCCTCTCTCCTGCCCCAACCATGAAGGCAAGGTGGGCCCAAGCGAGGCCCAGTGAGGCCGGGACTTGGGGTGGGAGGAGGAGGAGAGGCATTGGGGGGTGCCGAGTGGCTGGGTGACAGGGTACTGCTCTGGATTAGTGGTCCAGGTAGGGGGTGCACTTAGAAGGTGAGGGGCAGGGAGGGCAGGTGGGGAGGGGACAAAGAAGTGTGATGTCTAGCCATTACCCGACTGGAGTCCTTGTACCGCAGACGATGGAGTTTTACTGTGAGGCCTGTGAGACGGCCATGTGTGGTGAGTGCCGCGCCGGGGAGCATCGTGAGCATGGCACAGTGCTGCTGAGGGATGTGGTGGAGCAGCACAAGGCGGCCCTGCAGCGCCAGCTCGAGGCTGTGCGTGGCCGGTAGGCACTGGGCAGGGTCCTGGGCTGGTGGGGCCACAGGGATGGTGTCTTAGCTCGGGCGGGGAGGGGAATAAAGGGTCTGGGAAGGGCAGAGATGGAAGTCTCAGGGAGGTCTCAGGAAGGAGATCTCCATGAGGGCAGCAGTAGGTTCCCCAGGGAGAAGGGAAAGTTCGGCAAAGCCACCCTCAGCAACTCTGGAATGAGATATTCCCCCTCCAGATTGCCACAGCTGTCCGCAGCAATTGCCTTAGTCGGGGGCATCAGCCAGCAGCTGCAGGAGCGCAAGGCAGAGGCCCTGGCCCAGATCAGTGCAGCGTTCGAGGACCTGGAGCAAGCACTGCAGCAGCGCAAGCAGGCTCTGGTCAGCGACCTGGAGACCATTTGTGGGGCCAAACAGAAGGTGTGTCTTGTGTTCACCCTTTCCTACCATCGTCCATTGTGATGGTGTTATTGCCTCCATTGTTCCTCTGTCTTCCACACCAGCTCCCCATTCCCCAGCCTAGATATTCTGCCTCCTGACATGCCCTCGGTAGGTGCTGTGGGCATCTGTGTCCTCTGTCCACAGGCACCCTCTTGTATTTTATGCCACAGTGCTACAACTTCAGTAATCACAGAGACTCCCCCTGTGCCAGTCTGCTCACCCACTCCTCCCCTACCCCTCATCAGGTGTTGCAAAGCCAGCTGGACACACTGCGCCAGGGTCAGGAACACATCGGCAGTAGCTGCAGCTTTGCAGAGCAGGCACTGCGCCTGGGCTCGGCCCCGGAGGTGTTGCTGGTGCGCAAGCACATGCGAGAGCGGCTGGCTGCATTGGCGGCACAGGCCTTCCCGGAGCGGCCACATGAGAATGCACAGCTGGAACTGGTCCTTGAGGTGGACGGTCTGCGGCGATCGGTGCTCAATCTGGGCGCACTGCTCACCACGAGCGCCACTGCACACGAAACGGTGGCCACGGGAGAGGGCCTGCGCCAGGCGCTAGTGGGCCAGCCTGCCTCGCTCACTGTCACTACCAAAGACAAGGACGGGCGGTTGGTGCGCACAGGCAGCGCTGAGCTGCGTGCAGAGATCACCGGCCCGGACGGCACGCGCCTTCCGGTGCCAGTGGTGGACCACAAGAATGGCACATATGAGCTAGTGTACACAGCGCGCACGGAAGGCGAGCTGCTCCTCTCGGTGCTGCTCTACGGACAGCCAGTGCGCGGCAGCCCCTTCCGCGTGCGTGCCCTGCGTCCGGGGGACCTGCCACCTTCCCCGGACGATGTGAAGCGCCGTGTCAAGTCCCCTGGCGGCCCCGGCAGCCATGTGCGCCAGAAGGCAGTGCGTAGGCCCAGCTCCATGTACAGCACAGGCGGCAAACGAAAGGACAACCCAATTGAGGATGAGCTCGTCTTCCGTGTTGGTACAGACAGCCGAGGGCAGAGCCAGATGGGCCAGGCTCAGGTAGTGGGTGGGGAGGGAAGGGAGGTTCAAGATGACCTCTGAATGAATTATTTTGTTTTCCCTCCTGTCCCTTCCCACAGGCAGTCGTGGAAGGGAGAAAGGTGAATTCACCAATTTACAAGGTGTGTCCGCAGCCAGCAGCGGCCGCATCGTGGTAGCAGACAGCAACAACCAGTGTATTCAGGTAAGCACCTTTACCGCTCTCCTCCACCACCAAAATAAGAGTTTTCAAGCTACAGGCTACTGAAAAGATAGAATGTACAGGTCACCTCCTGGAAGATGGAACCCTACAGATAGTACCGTTCCTTAAGAGCAGTGAATCAAAGGATCACCCCTTACGCACCCACCAGCCACCCCATTCCCATAGGCCACAACTGTAACCAGCACCTTCAGTCAGAAACCAGAGTTTACTATGCTTGTAGCCTCTACTTTGTAGGCCATGGCTTAGGGCAGGTCAGCTCCTGGACTGCAAAGATCTGGCTCATTCCTCCTTTCCTTCTGCCTCTCCTTGAGCCTCTTACTTTCTCCCTTTTTCTCCTGGTGGCCTGCCCTCCGTGTCTTCCAACATGCATGCCTGGCTCCTGAATGTATGTAGTCTGTCTGGAGTCTCTGCAGTTATCAGGTTGGCTAGACAGTTGCATAGGGGTATCTTGGCCAAAGGGGGTATCTTTCAGTGGCTAGAAGTTGTAGCAGGTGGTCCTCCCACTGCCTCTCCCATAACCTCATACACCTGATTATGGCATCAACCGCACTGAATGAACATGGTTTCTGCTGCACTGTGAGCTCCTTTTCAAAGCCAGGAAATGTGCCTTTTTTTCCCTCTGTTTCTTGTAGTAAAAGCTCAGAGCCTAGTACAGTGGGCACCAGGGTAGTTGACACAGCAGAGCAGTTAAAAGCTCAGGCTCTGAAACCAGACACCTGAGCTTGAATCCTAGCTCTGTCACATACTAACAAGTCACATGACCTCTTTGAGCTTCAGTTAACTCATGTGTAAAATTAGGAAAAGTATATCTGATAGGGTTGCGGGGAGTGTTAAATGATGTACTATACTTGACATCTAGTGAAACTTCTGATGTTAGCTATTGTTAAAAATATCATCGTCCAGGTGGAGGCTGTAAACAAAGGCAAGCAGGTGGGAAAGTGCTGGAGGAGGTGGTTCAGGGAACTGGAAGGAGCCCAGCAGGCCTGGAGGTAGATTACTATTAGAAGCCAGGGGTAGCTGAGGTCAGATTGTAATTGGTTTTGGAGATGGAGTGTGGAATTTTGATTTTATCCTATAGGGGATTGTTTCTAACTACCATGCACTTTACTTCTTCGAAACATTTTACTGGGTAGCAAAACTTTTCGCTGAAGATCCTTACTTCTAAACACCTATACGTTTAAACTTCCTGACCCTGCTTGAGTACTCATGTCATCGATCCAGCTCTGCTAAGGTCCTTTCCCTCAGTGACGGCTACTCTCTGACCCCTGCTTTTCACCTAACAGTCTAAAAGTGCAAGGGACTCTTCTGTGGCCATATTCCCAGTTCTGTCCAGTCGTCCTTTACTCCTACCCTATTTCTAAGAGCAGAGGAATGGAGAGGCCCTGTGCAGCACAGGAAGGCATTTGGGCCCAGCCTGGATAGTGAGGAGGGGATTGCGGGGGAGTAATGAGGTGGTGCTCAGTTCCCTACTCAGTTACACCTTCCAGCTCCTTTCCAACTCCCTAGGCTGGGAATGCTTCCTGGCATAAAAGTTGAGATTTGGGACCCCTTCTCTGTTGTGCACACACACAGGTGTGCTCACTGCTCACATGCACAGAAAAACAAGTGCCACTTTGTCTGTCCTGGTGAGGGGGCTGAACTTCCTCATAGTTTTTTTTTTTTTTTTTGAGACAGGGTCTCTGTTGTCCAGGCTGGAGTACAGTGCTATGATCACAGCTCACTGCAGCCTTGACCTCCTGTGCTCAAGCAATCCTCCTACTTCAGCCTCCCGAGTAGCTGGGACTACAGGCGCATGCCACTATACCTGGCTAATTTATTTTATTTTATTTTTATTTTTAGTAAAGACGGGGTTTCACTATATTGTTTGGGCTGGTCTGGAACTCCTAGGCTCAAGCTATCCTCCTGCCTTGGCCTCTGAAAGTGCTGGGATTACAGGCATGAGCCACTGCACCTGGCCTCCCCATTGTTTCAGAGTGGGGAATTGAGAGGGAACACCTGGTATAGCTCCACTCTCTTCCAAACACCTGCTACTTCTATAGCAGTCCTCCTCTTGCTTCTACTTCCACCTGCCCTCTATGTCGCCACTGCTAGGAGCCTGGCTCAGATTTCTAAGTTGAATTTCTGCTTCTCTTACTCTGGAGTCCTTAGGGCTGGCATGGGCTGGGCTCCCTGATGAGGTCTGATCCCCCTCCTCCTCTCAGTACATGGGGATTGGGGTCCTCACGACATGACCGTTTTCTCTTTTGGACACTTCTATGGTGGAGGATGAGGCAGACCTCACTGAGTGGAACCAGCATCAGTTGACAGAAGACAAAAAACATTTTGTGATTCTGAATTAATAATTTGATTTGTATATATTATGTCCTTGTGTAATTGTCTAAGCTTCCAGTTTTATCAGCTCTTCTGTGAAAACTCCCTCATTCCCTTAGGCAGAATGTTAAATCACATTCTTCTCAGTTCCCTCAGCCTTTTGCTATAGTACTTTTCATACTTTACTGGAATCACTGGTTTGTTTTTGTTTTTGTCTGGTTTTGTTTTGTTTTATTTTGGTTTAAGTCTTTCTCCCCCACTAGACTGTGAGATCCCTGAAGTCAGGGATCTACTTTCAGATACCATGGTATAGGAGAGAGATGTTAAGGACCAAACTAGGACACCAGCAGATTCTAGAGATATTAAGGAAGCAAGAATGGCAGATTTTGCTAAATCGTCAAATGTCAAGAATGGCAGGACTTTGTGGACTGGGTAGATGGTGTTGCCATTCAGGAGCAGGCCCAGGTTTAAGTTGATGAATTCACTTTTGCAGATGTTTGAGATAGCTATGCGGCATTCAAGTGGAGATGTCCAGTTCAGGTCTGAGATTGAGCTGGGGAGTTCATTCATTTGTTGAATGCCTACTATGTGCCAAATGCCATATCAGTGCTGCAAGTGCAGCAGCAAACAAAACAGATGCAGTCCTTATGCCATGCGAGGCTTACATCCTTAGAAGGGGACACCGATATTTAACAGTTATTTAGCTGCAAAGTGATAATTGTTATGAAGAGAGCTGTAAAGCATATATCCTGGTGACCTAAGTTTATATGTGCATATTGATTTGGTAGGGCGGAGGGTGGTACTTGGTCATTAGTCTTCTCTGAAAAAGTGACCTGGAAATTCTAAGAATGGAAAGATGAGTAAGAGTTGGCCAGGTGTCAGGGGTGGGATAGGCTGGGACTGGAAGAACAAGACATCCCAAAGCCTCATCAGTATTGAGCCAGAACCTGAGCTGCTCAAACTGGAGGGGCATTACCTCACCGCTAAACTGTACCTTTTAGTGCCCCCTCACTTCTACTATTTAGCTCGTGGAGCTCATGGTATCTCCCTTCTCATACTGATGAGTGCTGTCCTGCCACAGGGGACCACTGCAGAACCCAAGAGCTGTGCTGGTCAGCCAGAGAAGAGCTTAGTAGAAGGTCCACATTAGAAGAAAGTGATGCCTGTTGGTGGGACCAGTTTAAACAGCCCTGCAGGACTAAGAGATGGAGTTGGGGTGGGGCCGGGGCGGGGAGACCAGTCCATTAAGGAAGGCACAGATTTGAATCCAAGAGCAAGGCCAATGCCCAGAACTTGAGTTCTCCAAGGCTGCTCCTGGCTCTCGTTCATCTTGTGTCCCCAGAGCCTATAACAAAGCAGAGTGTATGAGACTTATGTAGTGAGTAATGTTTTGACTATGAAGGAAAAGCCAGAAAGCTTAGCTAAAGTGGGAAGGAGGATTAAAGGAGGTGCTTTTGGGATGGGGAGACCTGAGCATATTGGGCAGCTAAATTAGAGGAGGTTGGAGAAGGGAGAGGTTGAAAGGTTCACTCTGTGTAGGAGGAAGGTTTCCTTGTCAGCCCCATAGCCTGAATGGACTAATTCTTGTATACTTTCTCCTCTCTCACCTACCCCATTCCAGTCTGCTACTAAGTCTCATGAGCCTACCTCCTACATATGTCTTGAGTCCATCTGCGTCCCTCCAGCCAATTTCCTTGGTCCAAGCCATCATCATTTCTCAACTGGAATACTGCAACAGCCTCTGACTGGGCAGCTAGCTTGTAGTCTTGACTTCTCCCTACAGCCAGAATGTTCTTTCTTAAAAGCAAAATTGATCTTGTCACTGCTATGCCTAGAAATGTTAAGAAACTCCTCATTACACCCAGGATAAAACATAATTCCTTCTTTTGTTCACCTGGGTGCTCCCTGCAGTCCAGCCACACTGGACAAGTCCTCAAGTGGTGCCCATACTGGACTTTGTGCCTTTTACAATCTGTTCACTCTGCTTGAATGCCTTTCCTCTTCCTTTCCTGGCCGAATTTGGTTTATGTGGCATCCTCATTAGGCTATTTGTTCAGACATCTTCTTCTCTTGGAGCCTTTTCTCACCATTCCCCTTCATCCCTTCATGTTCTCACAATCCCATTCATATCTCTGTTGCATTGCCCCAGACCTGCTGCCATGTTTGATTTTGTCAGTAAGTGCTTGTTGAATGACTGAATAAATGGTGGTGGGGGGGTCTCCTCCCTCAGGATCCTACTCCCTTCTGTCTGTGCCCACAGTGTCTCCCCTCCTACCTGCTCCCTCCCCTTGCTCCTCTGCTCCAGGTTTTCTCCAATGAGGGCCAGTTCAAGTTCCGTTTTGGGGTCCGAGGACGCTCACCTGGGCAGCTGCAGCGCCCCACAGGTGTGGCAGTGGACACCAATGGAGACATAATTGTGGCAGACTATGACAACCGTTGGGTCAGCATCTTCTCCCCTGAGGGCAAGTTCAAGGTGAGAGGCCTGCTGTCACTTTACTTACCCTGGTGTCCAGCTGAACTGACCAGTCTAGTGCCTCTTGGTGGTCAGGGTCTGGACTGATCCAATCCTACCTCCTCCTACTCCCTGTTCTTTCCCCAGCCCAAGATTCTGCTTTGGTACTGGGTTAGGACTACTTTCCCCACTGTCAGAATAAAGCCTCTTATGGATATTCTCTTCCTCCAGACCAAGATTGGAGCTGGCCGCCTCATGGGCCCCAAGGGAGTGGCCGTAGACCGGAATGGACATATCATTGTGGTCGACAACAAGTCTTGCTGCGTCTTTACCTTCCAGCCCAATGGCAAACTGGTTGGCCGTTTTGGGGGCCGTGGGGCCACTGACCGCCACTTTGCAGGTATAGGGGGACAGCTCCAAGATCTATGCTGATACCCCTGTTCCAGAGAACTCCCCTAGATACCCCAGCTGTAAAGGCCCTCTCCTCCTATATCTTGGCTCTGGAGATCCCACTTCCCTTACGTTAGCCCTATCATCTCAGAAATAATTTGTCTCAGTCCTGGAGACCCCACCCCTCTCCTAACACCCTAGCTTTTATCTTCCCAGATACTCTTCCCCATCCCACTCAGCATCCCAGCTTACTGCCCTGAAGACCACTTTGTATTTTCAGGGCCCCATTTTGTGGCTGTGAACAACAAGAATGAAATTGTAGTAACGGACTTCCATAACCATTCAGTGAAGGTCAGTGTCTTCCCTCCCTCCGTGACCACTGTCCCAACATCCTTTCCTCTTCCACAAGACTCCTCTCTATTTTACCTCCTCCTTTTCCCCTTTGAGATCATTCACTCAAACAATACACATTTACACATTTATGCATGGCTGCTTTGTCCCAGGCAGTATGCTAGAAGCTGGAGATACAGTGATGCACAAAGCAAATGTATTCTGTGTCTTCTTGATTATAGTCTAGTAGGGAAGAGAAAAAGGTAACCAAAAAATTACAATATGATGTAATAGATTCTGTGATAGGAAGGTGCAGGGAACTGTGGGAAGGGATACAGAAGTGTATGATTCAGGAAAGACTATATGAGGAGGACCTCAAGCACAAGTGGGAATTAAATGGAAGGCAGAGGAGGACGAGAGTGTTTGAGACAAAAGACACAGGAAGAGCCAAGAATGCAAGGTGGGAACCTTAATAGTGTGTTCGAGAAATCACAAGTAGTTCAGACTCAGCTTGAGGAGGGGACCGTGAAAGCTGAGAGTGAGGCTTGTGTGCCCCCTTAAGGGGCTTGCTCTCCTCCCAAGAGCTATGGGGAGTCACAGGATTGCAGGCAGGGGAGTGATGCAGTCCTGTGTGTCTTAGATCACTCAGGCTGAGGCAAGACTGAGACAGGAAGATCAATCTTTTGCAGTGATCCAGATGAGAAATGATGTGAGCCTGGACCGTGAGAAAGACGAGACAGTGTATGCATAGGGTATAGACTTGAGAGAGGGATTTGAGATGGAATCAAGAGTTGTGTTAATTCATTGGCCTATCAAACAGAGAAGAAATTGGAGTCAAGAGTGACTCATGGCCAGCTGGGTGGCACCAGTCATTGAGATAGAGAACTAAGAGAACTGATTTCCCAAAGAAAATGAGCTGTTAGATTTGATATTCCCAATGGACATCAGCAAGAGATGTCTACTAGGCAGTAGGGCACATGGATGTGAAGCCTATGAAGCAGATTTGGGCTGTAGCTGTAGATCTGGGTGGGGGTTCTCAGCCCTGGGGCTTCACCCTATCCTCCTCCAAAGCCCTACCCTCTGCCTGAGGCCAGGTCCCCAGTCCCTAGCCCCTTCCCCCGCCAGGTGTACAGTGCCGATGGAGAGTTCCTCTTCAAGTTTGGCTCCCATGGCGAGGGCAATGGGCAGTTCAATGCCCCCACAGGAGTAGCTGTGGACTCCAATGGAAACATCATTGTGGCTGACTGGGGCAACAGCCGCATCCAGGTGAGTAAGGCCTGGGAATGACATGAGGGGGCGGTTTCCTGGTGTGTCCCATATGCCCGTTCCCCCAAAACAGACTCTCATCTGCCTGATCTTGCCTCTCCCTCCTTTCTGCACTCCTTCCCCAGGTATTCGACAGCTCTGGCTCCTTCCTGTCCTATATCAACACATCTGCAGAACCACTGTATGGTCCACAGGGCCTGGCACTGACCTCGGATGGCCATGTGGTGGTGGCTGATGCTGGCAACCACTGCTTTAAAGCCTATCGCTACCTCCAGTAGCTGTACAGAGGCCCTGCCTGGCTTGTGGAGGGACAGACATTGGGGTGATTGGACAAGAGGGTCTGGCTGGGAGGTGGGCCAGACCTGGCAGCACTGAATGTGGGCTGTGGGCATGGGTGCACCCGGTGCCCTCCCTCTCCTACCCCCACCCCCACGGTTGCACTTTATTTATTCGGTTCTTGCTTTGGTGACTGGGTGAGCCTGGACTGTGGTCCCAAGGATGTGTGCAGAGCTTCACCCTACCCTTCTTACACACCTCCCCACCCCTGTCAGTCTGCTCCCCATCCCCCAGCCTGGGGCCAGAACAGCCTACCCCAGGACAGGAGTCCCTCTAGTTGTCTCCCTACCACCCTATACACACTGACAGAGACAGCAATACCCCACCCCCCATATTAAATAAATGTCTTCACCAAGATGTTTTTGCTGGGTTCTTGTGGGGTGGGGCTGCAGTGAGGAGATGGGATGGTGGGACTAGCTCTGGACTAAAAGGTGGGCAAGCAGGCAGGCAAGGGACCCAGCTTCCCAAGCAGGTCCTGATATTTTGAAACTTCCGTAGAGAAGAGCAAGAAAGGGTGAACCCATGGGACCCTGACCCACCTGCCATATCCCCATCCCCAGGCCCTACAGAAGTAGGCAAGTCCTTTGCCTATCTGCCCTGGGGCTGGGAAGGATTGTGGGGTTGGGGGGGTGAGGGAATGACCTCTGCCCAGCACACAGCCAGTAGGTGCAGAGAGAACAGTGTCAGGCTATGAAAGCAATCTTTGAAGTTCAAGCCTGGGCAAGGGAATTGAGGCTAGCCCAGGTGGTAGCTACGTGTGGGAGACTCCATGGCTAATTTTAAAAGTCATCCCTGAATCCCTGGAGCCCTGACATATCCCCTTTCTCACATTTCCAAGACTGCTGCCCCTCCCTGCAGTGGAATTAGGGTCTTCACATTCTCTCCTGAGCTCTAGACTGCCAGAGTTTTACTGCTATCTCCAGAGAGAATTGAAAGCAGCATTCAGTGATGATTTGGCAAGTAGGGACTATGATTTCTCTCTCTCTCTACAAAAGACTGAAGCTCACAGAAATAGGTCATATTGTTGATGAAGAGCAGAGCCCAGATTTGAATATGTAGCTGTCATACTCCTAACCGGTGAGTTATAGCACCCCGTTCACCCTTATGCCCCTTGCACCTGGCATGATGGCTGGCAGAGAAAGCACTCAACAAGATTTGGGGAACGTTGGATCTGGGAAAGTTGATCATGAGAGGTCATGGAAAAGATCAAGACATCGATCTGGTATAGCACAATTCTGGGGCTAGGAAAAGAGGGACTATCCATGGATCTGTGGAAGACCATGGGGGCTTTGTAGAGAACAAGGGGGTCCCACTTGGACTATATGGAAAGTCTTGGTTATGCTTACCTCCCTGGTCCTCTCTGCCCCACTAGCTGAAACCTGACAGATAGGCCAGGCACAGTGGCTCACGCCTGTAATCCCAGCACTTTGGGAGGCCGAGGTGGGTGGATCACCTGAGGTCAGGAGTTTGCGACCAGCCTGGCCAACATGGTGAAACCCTGTCTCTACTAAAAATACAAGTATTAGCCAGGCATCGTGGTGGGTGCCTATAATCCCAGCTACTTGAGAGGCTGAGGCGGGAGAATTGCTTGAACCTGGGAGGCACAGGTTGCAGTGAGCCGAGACTGTGCCACTGCACTCCAGCCTGGGCAACAAGAGCAAAACTCCATCTCAAAAAAAAAAAAAAAAAAAAGAAACCTGATAGATAGGTGGAGGGACCGATGAGCTCCCTGAAGATTTTAGTGCAGGTGCTCTTATGGAGCCTGCCCCTCTGGCTCTGATTGTGAGTGGAATTGCCTAAGCCCATGCCCTGGTCAGCCGAGATGGTGTGCTCAATTATCAGTCGCTCAGCACCAGTGGAGTCCTCCCCGAGAACTCTCAGGTGATGGTCTATTTTTCTGCACCCCTATCTTGAGCAAGGCACCAGAAGTAATACAGAATGGAAACTCAAAGCTTCCAGCCCTCAACCTGTCACATGTTTACATTGTGAACACCTAAAAGTAGCAGGGGAATAAAAAGGCAGTAAGGGTGACCTTCCTTGGGCGGGATGCTGCAAATGGCTCTTCTGCTAGCCCAAGAACAGGCTGCTAGGGCTGATTTCCATAGATTCAGATTAGGTAGTCTTCCCATGCCATGGAAAAGGTACATCAAGGTGGAGTCATTCTGTTCCTTCTAAATCCAGCCGTGGTGGGCATTTTCTTTCCAATTCAGGCCTTGGGGCCAAGTAGATGAAAGTAGTGCCTGACAGTGGAGGCCAAGTCTGGAATGATTGTCACAGATTTGGGGGTCACAGCAAAGCCCCTGCTGTCAGAATGTTATTTTGTGGTCCTGCAAGGGTTCACACTTTGCTCATATAGGGCTGTCTGGTGACCAGAACAGCCCTATGGCCATTTGTGGTCTGCGGGTTCATTTATTTATTGAACAAGTATTTGTTGAGCACTTAATATTAGACAGAGTAATGGGCCCTGGGAATACAGAGAAATGGTCCCTGCCCTTATTAAGCTTATAGTCTAGTGGAGAAGGGAGACAAGTAAGCAACAAGGAACTAAATGTGTAATAACAATTTGAGTTCAAGCTGTGAAGGAAATGAACAGAATACAATGATAGACAATATAGTGTTAAATAGAGTGGACAAGGAAAGTCTCTTTAAGCAGTGACCTGTAGGGTTGGAGCAGGGTGGGTAGGGAACTAGCTGTGTTAAGAAAAGGAGATAGAGATTTTCAGACAAAGGAAAAACAGGTACAAACATCCTGAGGGGTTGAGATCTTGATGTGTTTGAGAATCTGAAAGGAGGCCAGGGTGACTGGAGAGGAAGGAGGGTGGAAGGAGAGAGGAAAGGAACAAGTTTGGAGAATTAGGCCTGACTTCGATCATTTAACTAAGATAAAGAGCTTGGATTTGGTCTGGAGTATGACAGTAAGCCACTGAAAAGTTTAAGTGATAAGGATGAAAGGGATGCCCTGTGAAACAAACTTTAAACTGGGCAGTGATTCTGTGGGGTAGGAAGAGAATTGAGAAAGAAAATCAGAAAACAATTCAACTTCTCTAAACTGTTCCTCTTGAAGACTGTGTATACATTAGAATTACAACTGACTTCGGCCAGGTGCAGTGGCTCCCGCCTGTAATCCCAGCATTTGGGAGGCCAAGGTGGACAGATCACAAGGTCAGGAGATTAAGACCATCCTGGCTAACACGGTGAAACCCTGTTTCTACTAAAAATGCAAAAAATGAGCCAGGTGTGGTGGCAGGCGCCTGTAGTCCCAGCTAATCGAGAGGCTGAGGCAGGAGAATCACTTGAACCCAGGAGACGGAGGTTGCAGTGAGCCGAGATCGCGCCACTGCACTCCAGCCTGGGTGACAGAGTGAGACTCTGTCTCAAAAAAAAAAGAAAAAAAAAAAAAATTACAACTGACTTCAAGAAAAAATTTTAAGCAGGAGCATAAGGTGATCTCAGATACGTTTTTAAAGATCACTGTGGTTGTTATAAAGAATGTGTTGTAGAGGAGCTATTTCAATGGTCACACAAGAAAAGGTGGTGTTTGCATTACTAAAGAGGCAGAGAGAAATGGACAGATTTTATGTATAATTAGGAAGTAGGAATAATAGGATTCAATATTTATTAAATACATACAGTATTTCAGGCGTGTTCTCAGTGCTGAAGATATAGCAGTGACTAAAGCAGGTAGGATCCTTGTCCTGTACACAAAGGCAGCATGGTAGACTGTGGGGTGCTGGAGCTGGCTCATGAGAGCTGATTGTCAAATTTAGAATTTTGAGAGCTGGTTGTTAAAACACAGCTATTATTAAAAATCAAACTATATAAACTTAAATACATTCTATTAAAACCAAAGATAATCAGTACTTAAAAGTAATCACTTCCTAATTATTTTACTACATTTTACTATCCCCTGTGCTCTTGTGATTATTTATATCTATCATATCTGTATGGTAGGAATATTGTATGCAGTGTGTTACTGTACATCCCTTCCCAACTCTACATTTGGTGATGTCTTGTCGGTAGCTTAAAGTTGGCCATGGTAGGAGTATTTATATCACAAAAATCTGCAAATGTTACAAATCAGTGCTTTTTCCCCCTAGAGAGCAGTTGTTAAATATTTGCCAGCGAACCCCTTGATAAGAACACACTATCCTTGTAGGAACACACCCCTAGGAGTCAGGCACCCAGGGTTTAAATCATGGCTCTGCCACTTGCTAGCAATGTGATTTGGCTAAGATACCTAATATTGGCTTCCTCATTCATAAAACGGGACTCATAGTGCTACCTTTGTCTGTTTGTGCTGCTATAACAAAATGCCCATGACTGATGATTTATAATGAACAAAAATGTATTTCTCACAGTTCTGGAGGCTGGGAAGTCCAAGATTAAGGTGCCCAGCAGGTTTGGTGTGTGGTGAGGTCCTGGTCTCTGCTTCTATGATGGCATTTTGAACGCTGCATCCTCTAGAGGAGACAAATGCTGTTCATCACGTGGCAGAAAAGCAGAGGAGAGAGAATCCACTTCTGAAAGCCCTTTTTATAGCAGCATTAATCCATTCATCGGGCAGAGCTCTCATGACCTAAACACCTCTCATGAGGCCGCACCTCCAAACACTGGCACATTGGGAATTAAGCTTCCAACACATCAATTCGGAGGGGACAGAAACATTCAAACCATAGCAAGTGCTATATACATGCTATATATATATATATATAGCACTAAGGCCCATTATAGACTGAGCAAGAGGAGGGGTCAGCTGGGATCAGCAAGCTCTTTGGCTGCCTGGAGCTTTATCCCTAAGCCTCCTACCCCTGAGGAAAGGAGACATTCAGTTCCTGCTCCCTGGAGTATACAGCCACAGACTTCAGGCCCAGCACACCTAGCACTCAGTGGGCCCAGGAGAAATGGCTAAGGTCAGAGAACTCATATCAACAGCAGAGCAGGCTGGACATAGACATAGCCATTCCAAGGGACAGTGGGTCAGTGTCCAGCTTACATCTGGCTCTTGGCAATGCAGGAGGAAGCTCTGTCATTTGCAGACATTTGCAGGTTCGTGTTCAGACCCCTTCTGGGAGAAGTAAAAAAGCTGCTGGTTAGGAGGATAGAGAAGACTACCCAGGAAAAGAGATGGTTGAATTTCTCTGGGCTCGAGTTCCCAGAGAAGCAAGAGATTGAGGTCCCCAAATCCACTCTGGGCAGCAAGGTTTGCAGAAGAAGGGAAAGAAGCATAGAAGGGTGTGTACCACTAAGGATGCACAGCCAGGGCTGAGAGGAGTGTGGGACAAAGGCTGTGGAGAGCTAGTTTCAGAGAGGAAAAACTCCTGGGCTCTGGCCTCTAGTTGAAGGGCGGGAGTGCACTGATTCCTGCGGCCTGCAGGGGGTGCTCAGGCCCAAGTACCGACAAGCTTCTTTCCTCAGCCCCAGTAGGAAGCCTGGGAAGGACCCAGGACCCACAGAAGGGGCCTCCTGTAGTGAGGGGAAGAGAAGCAAGGCTGCTGAGTCTTGACTACCCTGAGAAGTCTTGGCTTGTACCCTGTGACCAACACCAGGGTGGCCAACATATCCACAGCCCTGGGTTCCCAAATGTGTACAATGTTCTACTTTCAACTCCTGCCCAAAACTTGAACTTCAACCTGGACTGCCTGCAGTGCAGATGACTCTGCTGGCCTAGTCCCTGGGTGGAGCAGGAGGATCCAGTAATGGTTTCTAAGCCATTCTCGGGTACACAGGTGAATTAGGAAGCAACAGGGAAAAGGGACCATAAAGTAGTATTCTGGGATAGATGGATCCGGGGTGCTGTGAGGGGGACCACACCAGGTGTGTGGGGAAGGGGTCAAGCTGAAAAATGATCATCCAGTATATGTGCTGTATGCCCTCAGACAGCCCTGTTAGGCCAGAAGGAGACTGCACCCTTGGACTGGCAAGTCAGTGCAAGGCCCTGCTAATAGGACTATTGAAGACTCTCACTATGGGTTTTCTGTGGGGTGTTTGTTTCTTGGGGTGAAAGCTTCCCTCTCCCCAGGCAGGCCCAGCAAAATCTGTAGGATTCAGACAGGGTTCTGACAGCTGAAGACAAGTTGTTGAGGAAATTCCTGATGGAGGATCATGGGGTGCTCAGGAGGGAGAATATAAGGTTTCAGAGGCTGAGAGGGAAAGAAAAGGTGAGGGGGAGTCTTAGAATAGTGGCTCCCATTGCCCAACACCCAGAAAGAAGACATGCCCTGCAATGGGGAGAAGGTGAGTATGAGACATTGGCTGTAGCAGCGATGGCATTGCCCAGGCTGCCAAGGACTCAGAGAGTCCAGCCTTGCCCACTGACCTATGAGGAGGGAATGATGTTCACAGCACATTTTCATTCGTAAGTCAGGAGAGGACATTGAGCCTGATGGCAGAGGCCTGGTGACATGTTGTTCCAGAGGTTCCGGAATGTGTGTTTTCCTGTTGGAAGGAAACTTCGCAGAGTAGAAAAGGGATCTGAGACTTTTGGTAAGATTATATATGGGACTGTCAGGGGTCTGGAGCCATCTGTGAGGGATCAGGGCCCTTTCAGCCTTGGCTAGGGAGCAGGGGTCCTGGAACTTCATCCTGGCCCATAGCTGAGTCTGCCCATAATTCTTTTCTGACTCACTAGGCAAATCTCACACAGAAATGGGGCAGCTTTGGGAGTGGGCCCAGGAAGTACTGAGGATAGCAGGTGAGATCCCAGGAAGAGATGGATGTGGGGCCGAGACACTGGAGAGAGAAACAGGACTGTCAGATAAAGGGCGTCTGTGACTCCTAGATCTCATTATGCCTACTACCATAACCTACCCCCAATTCCTAATATTCTCCTACCCTAGAGGGGGGGAAATTGTCAGAAATTTGGCTGCAACACTAGCAACACTACTCAGTACTTGAAATGCATTTTTGCATTTTTTTCATTCAACAAATATTTCTGGAACAACTCTTATATGCCAGGCACTATTTTAGGAGTCAGGGATATATAATGGTAAACAAGACAGGCAAAACAAAGCAAAGCAACAACAACCATCACCAGATAAGTAGACAGATGAAAGAATTTCAAGTTTTAGTAAGTAAAATAAAACAAGCAAGGGTCTGAAATGGCTAGATAAGGTGGTCAAGAAAGGCTTCATTGAGAAGGTAGCATTTAAGCAGGAGTCAGCTAGAAATATTGTGAAATTCCAGTTACAGTTCTATTTGTTCTGGGTTGGTTAAATAAAGCTTTTTCCCCCAAGGTGGAAACTACCAAGAAAGACTAATTACTAGTAGTGGTGGTGCTCTCTGGAAGAGAGACACCTCCTGTTTCTGCCTCATTACTGTCAACCCTTCACTTCCAGGCACTTTTTGCAAAGCCCTTTGCCAGTCAGGGAAGGCGAGAGGCTGGGCATGGGGCTTGGACATTTGACAACAGTGAGACATTATTGTCCCCAGACTCACTAGCCCAAGGGTAAAGCTGAAGAGGCTTGGGCATGCCCCAGAAAGGCCCCTGATGAAGCTTGGAAAAAGCTGTTCTCTGAGTATTTCTAAGTAAGTTTATCTGTGTGTGTGGTTACTAAAAGTAGTAAGTATTGCTGTCTCTAGCTGCCTTAGAGCAGGGCTTGACACAGTACACAGCAATATTAGTTCCCTCCTTTTCTCACCTCCCCCATTGTGGAGATAAACTCAATCACAAAAGGTGATCCTCAGTCTACTCACTTCCCTGACTTATGGATGCCTGGACCCATTGCCAGTGTGAGAGTCACAGCTGGACGTCAGCAGTGTAGCCCAGTTACTGCTTGAAAATTGCTGAAGGGGGTTGGGGGGCAGCTGCCGGGAAAAAGGAGTCTTGGATTCAGATTTCTGTCCAGACCCTGACCTTATTTGCAGTGATGTAATCAGCCAATATTGGCTTAGTCCTGGGAGACAGCACATTCCCAGTAGAGTTGGAGGTGGGGGTGGTGCTGCTGCCAACTCTATATAGGGAGTTCAACTGGTCACCCAGAGCTGTCCTGTGGCCTCTGCAGCTCAGCATGGCTAGGGTACTGGGAGCACCCGTTGCACTGGGGTTGTGGAGCCTATGCTGGTCTCTGGCCATTGCCACCCCTCTTCCTCCGTGAGTAAAGCTGGGACTAGAAGCGAAGGATTGAGTTCTGGGCTAGGGTAAGGTAGGGCCAGTTTTTAGGCCTCGGTCAAATTTGGGGTCAGGGGCTATGGGAAAGGGATCGGTCCCAATGGATCAAGATATCTATTTTGTTCTCCCTAGGACTAGTGCCCATGGGAATGTTGCTGAAGGCGAGACCAAGCCAGACCCAGACGTGACTGGTGAGGCCCTGACTCCCTAAGTCTGTCTTATCTGTCTGGTTGTGTCTCTGCATTTTATCACCTTCTGGTTTTTTTTTTTTTTTTTTTTTTTTTTTTTTTTTTTTACTTTGCCATCTCCCTACCTCCACCCCAGAACGCTGCTCAGATGGCTGGAGCTTTGATGCTACCACCCTGGATGACAATGGAACCATGCTGTTTTTTAAAGGTAGGAGGGACTGAGGTTAGGGCGTTTAGGACCTTAGACTTACTCTCCTTCACAAAGGGTGTCCCTGTCTGTGGGAGGTCTTAGGAATTATCTGATGGTATCACTGACAGCTTCTCTCAAGCTATCTCAGTAGGTCAAAGGTTTCTCACTGGGCCCCTCAGTGAGTGTGGGTTTTTTCAGGGGAGTTTGTGTGGAAGAGTCACAAATGGGACCGGGAGTTAATCTCAGAGAGATGGAAGAATTTCCCCAGCCCTGTGGATGCTGCATTCCGTCAAGGTCACAACAGTGTCTTTCTGATCAAGGTACTGCTGGGCCAAAATCAGGGCCAGGCTGGAAAGGGCTGGAATCGACACTGGGGACCCTTCCCCCAAATGGCCTTGGCATGGAGCCCATAGCAATAGGTAGCAGATTTCTTTCCCATGTGCCCTCCTTTCCTGTAAAAGCTTGGGCTAAGGGAGTGTGCATGCGTGTGGGCCTGGCAGGTGCACCATCCAGTGGCTGTTCTTCAGTCCTAGTCTTAGTTCTACACCGCTCTGCTGTACCTCACACTGCTGGCCATCCTTTTTTTCTCTGGCAATTGCTTCCCTTGCCTTCCATGACCCTGTATCAAGTCCTCTTCATAGGGCAAGGCAAGTTGTTCCCAACACAATGGCACCTGGCTAGAAGAGCATGTGGAGCATGAAATCCAGTCTGCTGTGCTCACCAAGTCCCATGTGACCCAGGCTGTGTCTGCTCAGAGGAAGGGGTGCCTTTTCCTACCTTGCCAAAGGTGCTGTGTGGTTGGGGAAGTCCTGACTGTCGGCTTTGTTTTCCCTCCTGCCTCTTTTCTCTCTCTTCTCAAATGTCTCATTCTATCTCAACCAGTTCCCTAATGTTCCTTGGGGATCCATCCTAGCCTTTCCATATACCTTCCCTCAGTGATCTCAACCATCACCTTGGCTCTGAGGAATATCTATGCTGTGGACACTGGATCTAGATCTACTTTCTGAGCTCCAGACATCTCTTTCCAATTGTATGTTCTACAGGCACCTAAAATTCAGCATCCCCCAAACTAAGCTTTGCATCTTCTTTACAAACCAACCTTTCCTCCTGTGTTTCCTGTTTCAGTAAATGACCCCAAAATGTGCCTGATTACTACAAACCAAGTGCACACAGGGTCTCATGATCTGGGCCTTGGTTATCTTCTCAGGTTTATCTCCTCCCCTGCCACATTCACTGTGTGCCAGCCATACGAATCTACATGAGGTTGGAGCACACTGCTTCCTCATGTTTGGGCTCTGCATGCTGCTCCCTCTGCTGGTAACACCCTTTCCTCACTTGTCAACCTGGAAAATTCCTGCTGATTTTTCAGCTCTTGGGCCCAATGCTTCCTCTTTGGTGTGAAACCTTCCACAACTTCTCTAGGCAGACTTAGGCACTCTGTCTATATTCTCAGTGCACTCTTTACACTACACCTTGGTAGTTGCATGGCTAGGATTGCAGGAGTCCTTTCTGCTTTTGTACAGTGAACTTCCTGAAGTGAAAGACAGAGTCTTGTTATCCTCAGTGCCTCTCACAATGCCTGGCATATAGTAGTTATTCAGTGACTGTTTCTTGGATGAATGAATGAATGAATAAATAAATGAAGAAATGAATGAAGAAATAACGTATGGGTGATTGCAGGATGAACAGTTGTGGATATGTTTGTCAACACTGATAGTGTTGCAGATAAATGTGCCACAGGAGTGTCTGGGTACAGAGCTAGAGGCATGTGTGTTATAGTAATAGTGACTGGATTTGCACAAACTGAGAGTGTGTAATGTGCAAAAGGACAGCACATTGTTGTCCACAGATGGACTGAGAATGTGTAGGGCCACAGGAGGATATCGTATAAGCACAGTAGATAAAAAATGTGTGTAAATGCAGAGTGGCAGTATCTGGGGATGCACAGTCAAAAAGAGAGTACTTTTGAATGCAGGGGGACAAAGTCTGGGTATACCCTCCTGAAAAGAAGGAGAAAGGATACCCAAAGTTGCTCCAAGATGAATTTCCTGGAATCCCATCCCCACTGGATGCAGCTGTGGAATGTCACCGTGGAGAATGTCAAGCTGAAGGCGTCCTCTTCTTCCAAGGTCAGTCCAGGCTGGAATCCAAGAACCTGGAGTAGTGGTGGGTTGGTAGTGATGCCAGTAGTGATGGTGATAGTGGTAGTGATGGTGGTGGTGGAGCCACTATGTGGCTTTTTAAGGAAGGGAAATAGAGAAGCCACGTATGGTCTAGAGGTCACGTGAGGGAAGGAGAGGAAGTCATTCTGGTGAAGGCAACTGTGTGTAATTCTGTGTGAATAGTCCCTCATTGTTCCCCATGACCCTTAGGACAAATCTACCCTCTTTAGTCTTACATACAAGTCTCTCCATGGCCAAATCCCTATTGGCCCTTCAGCTTTGACTTTTATTATACTTTTACCTTAACACTAAGCTCCAGAAACCCTATGCTATTCTCTGTACACTCAGTTTGCTCCATGCTTTGGAATCTTTCCTCTCTCTGGGGTTCCATCTCTCCTTGTGTGCCTTTTAATTCCTACTTCAGATTTCACTTTAAGTATCATCTTCCCTGGGAAGTTTTCCCAGACTCTCCCCACTGCCTTTGCTGAGCTGATCCTGTGTGTTTTGCTGCTGAATTTTGGTGTATGATCACCCTCCTTTAGCCATCTCTCTGATGGCTGTGAGCTCCATGTGGTCAGTACCATTATCTGGCCCATCCTGGGACCCAGAGAAAGCACAAAGGAGGGCGTAACCCGGTCTCACCAAATGCCTGTTGATTGATTGGACAAAGGTGACCGCGAGTGGTTCTGGGACTTGGCTACGGGAACCATGAAGGAGCGTTCCTGGCCAGCTGTTGGGAACTGCTCCTCTGCCCTGAGATGGCTGGGCCGCTACTACTGCTTCCAGGGTAACCAATTCCTGCGCTTCGACCCTGTCAGGGGAGAGGTGCCTCCCAGGTACCCGCGGGATGTCCGAGACTACTTCATGCCCTGCCCTGGCAGAGGTGAGAAAGCCCTAGCACTTGAGACCTGTCAGAATTCATCCACTTTCCCTGAGCTTGTGGATCTCACGTGTCCTAGCTCTCACTTTAACTCCGTGTTGCGACACCTTGGCCCTTAATCTAGCCCCATTTCCATTCTGGATTTTCCCATTGCCCTCATATGGGGAAACCCACACCCCACTAACCCCAGCCATCTCTTCCACCTTGGACCTCACTCTGACCTCTGGCCTCCTTCTGTGTTCTCCTCACCCATTTCTCTCTCCAGGCCATGGACACAGGAATGGGACTGGCCATGGGAACAGTACCCACCATGGCCCTGAGTATATGCGCTGTAGCCCACATCTAGTCTTGTCTGCACTGACGTCTGACAACCATGGTGCCACCTATGCCTTCAGTGGTGAGAGATGCCCCCAACTCCCCCAATGTGCTCTCACATCTCTTTTACTTGTATCTCCCATCCTTGACACATTTCTCCATTGTCATCACTGTGTCACTTATTTTGTCCCCTCTGTCCCCATCCTTCTGCATGCCCTTCTGCATCCCTCATCTCTGAGGCATATTTCTCAATCTTGTCTGTCACGGCCCAAGCCCCTAACTTCATCTACCTGTCTACCATCTACTCCCATGGCTGTGCCCCCTGTGGACCTCTCTGGGCCCCTATGACTCCTTGTGTTCTCCTTGCTCAATGCCCTGCTGAGCCCTCTGGCTCTCCCTTGCTCCCTGGACCTCTATGTGTCTCTGTACCTCCTTGCCTCCCTTTGTTCTTGCATATCTTTCTGAGTCCTCTGGCTCCCCCTGATTTATCCTCAGAACTCCATCTTGTTTCAGGTTCCTGGTTCCTATGTCCAGACCCCTGGGCATAGCACTGCCTGGGGATGAGATGTTCTCATTGCTGAGAACCAGCTGAGAAGTGTTGGGTACTTTAGACCTTTAGAGGCTGGCTTCACTAGCCTCTGGAGGTTTCTCCTCTGAGTAGCCAATGGAGATACCCCTCCCTTGACCCGTGGCATCAATTGGTAAAAGCCATCTAATAATACCTAGGGCTGTTCTGAGTTCAGTCAGGCAGTAAATAGTCATGCTGCACAGTTGAGAATATCCCCAAGAGGAGTGAGCAACCACATCACATCCAACCTGAGATATATGTATAATTAGGACAGTGGTAAGAATATAAAATCGTGAAAATATTTTTTTCACACAAAATTTTTTTGGCTCCTGACCCTTGGACAAATTTGACCAGTTATGACTATCAAGTTCTGTTGAAAAATACATCACCACATGGAGAGCAAATCTCCACAGCAGGATTGCACACTATAATAAGAACATACAGCTAAGATGAAACACACACCTGTAGTGAAAATACAACATTAAACTGAGAACATACGCCATAGTAAGAACACATAAGTATCAAGAGAACACACAGCCATGGTGGGAGCCCATTGGGAGGACACACAGACAAAGTGAAATGCAGAAAGAGAGAGAGAGTGAGTGAGAGATTGTGAAAACAGGGCCACAGGAAACACACAGAAATAGAGAGAGACACCAAGCCATCTAGAGATCACAGAACTTCAAGGCCATGTGGCCATAATGAGAATGCTACTGAACTCCTAAATGAAAAATGTCATGTATGTTCCATAGCTGTTGAGAGAGCCCACAGCATGGAGAGAACACCTTATATTAAAAATACCCAGGCCGGGCGTGGTGAGTCACGCCTGTAATCCTAGCACTTTGGGAGGCTGAGGCAGGTGGATTGCTTGAGCGGCTTGAGCCTAGGAGTTTGAGACCAGCCTGGGCAACATGGCAAAACCTCATCTCTACAAAAAATATAAAAATTAGTCGGGTGTGGTAGTGCGTTCCTATAGTCCCATCTACTTCAGAGGCTGAGCCCGGAAGGTCGAGGCTTCAGTGAGCCGTGATCGTGCTACTGCACTCCAGCCTGGGTGACAGAGTGAGACCATGTCTCAAAAAAAACAAAAACAAAAAACAAAACAAAACAAACAAACAAACAAAAAACCCATATATATATATATATACCTAGCTGAGGTGAGAATGCACTATTTTGGTAAAATCACCAACATGACCCAGCTACAGCATGGGGCAGTCCCTCCCCTCTCACTGGTAAATTTTTCTTTCTCTGACTCACAGTTTTGTTGTTGTTGTTGCTGTTGTTTGAGATGGAGTCTCACTCTGTCACCCAGGCTGGAGTGCAATGGCGCAATCTTGGTTCACTGCAACCTCTGCCTCCTGGGTTCAAGCGATCCTCCTGCCTCAGCCTCCCGTATAGCTGGGACTACAGGCGCATACCACCATGCCTGGCTAATTTTTGTATTTTTTTTTGGGTTACAATGTACTATTTATTAATTTAATTTTTGTATTTTTAGTAGAGATAGGGTTTCACCATGTTGGCCAGGCTGGTCTCGAACTCCTGACCTCAGGTGATCCGCCTGCCTCGGCCTCCCAAAGTGCTAGGATTACAGGCATGAGCAACCACGCCTGGCCCCTCATAGGTTTTTATCTATTCTCTTTGCTTCTTCACAACTTTGGCTTGCACGTGGACCATCATGTTCTCTCCACTTTCTCACTACTTCATGATCTTTCAGTCTCAGTTCCAACTGATACCTCCCTCAGTTGCTCTTTTTTCCTAGTAAGATTTCCAGAGAGGGAATCTGAATGGCCCAGTCCATATTTTCAGACCACACCACATTAAAGTGGTTGATTGCCAGCCTATGTATTGGCTACATTAATGGGTTGGGAACTCATCATTTACTTCATTGCACAAAGCAGCATAGCTCTGGTTCTCAAAATAGGGCCCCTGGGCCAGGTGTGGTGGCTCATGCCTATAATCCCAACACTGTGGGAGGCCGAGGGGGGCAGATCACTTGAGTCCAGGAGTTCTAGACCAGCCTGGGCAACATGGTGAAATCTCATCTCTACTAAAAATACAAAAAATTAGCCAGGTGTGGTGGCATGCACCAGTAGTCCCAGCTGTTCAGGAGGCTGAGGTGGGAGGATTGCTCGAGTGTGGGAGGCAGAGATTGCAGTGAACCGTGACTGTGCCTCTGCAATCCAGCCTGGGTGACAGATTGAGACCCTGTCTCAAAAAACAAATAAATAAAATAAAATAAATATGGTTCCTGAGCAGGGTAATTTCAGTGGGAAACCTCCCAGGGGAGGTGGATATGTCAGTCACCGCTGTATACTCAGTACACGGCTAATAAGAGAACTTGTGGTAGCAGCAAGAACACTAGGTATTTACTCAACAAATATTTGTTGAGCATCTGATAAGAAGTGGGCATTGTCCTAGGCACTGAGATACAGTAGTCAACATGGCAGACAAGATGCCTGCCCTGACAGGCTCTGCTAAAGTGAGAGAGGACAATAAGAAAGAGAAAGGAAGAAAGAGAATAATTTTAGGTAATATTAAGGGTTGTAAAGAAAATAAGACAGGATAGTGGGATAGAGGTGAGGAGAATGAGGGCTGTCTTCTGAAGAAATGATTTTTGAGCTGAGACTTCAGTGATGAGAAGGAATTAACCACACGATGTGCTGGAGGAAAAGCATTTTAGGGAGGGTGAGCAGCACATACTTCAAGGAATCAAGAAGGAAGCCTGGTGAGGCTGGAACACAGAGAAAGAGCAGGTGGGTGACTTGAAAGGGCAGGGACGGCAGTGGCCAGGTTACCTAGACCTGGTAAGGGTTTTCAACCATAAAAGGGAGTCATCAGAAAGTCTTGAGCAGGGCTGTGATATATTCTAACTCATTTTTTATAAAAGATCACTCTGACTTTTTGCAGAACATAAGTTATAAAAGTACAAGCATGTAAGCAAGGAATCCAGCTAGCAATCCGTGCAGTTGTCCAAATTAGAGGTGATGACCGCTTGGACTAGGATGATAGCAGCAGAGGTGGTGAGGAATCACCATGATATATTTTGGAGGTAGAGCTGACAGCATTAACTAATAGCTAAGATAGGCCGGGTGTGGTGGCTTACGCCTGTAATCCTAGCACTTTGGGAGGCCAAGGCGAGTGGATCACCTGAGGTCAGGAGTTCGAGACCAGCTTGACCAACATGGTGAAACCTCGTCTCTACTAAAAATACAAAATTAGCTGGGAATGGTGGCACATGCCTGTAATCTCAGCCTACTTGGGAGGCTGAGGCAGGAGAATCGCTTGAACCTGGGAGGTGAATGTTGCAGTGAGCCGAGATTGCACCATTGCACTCCAGCCTGGGGAACAAGAGTGAAACTCCGTCTCTAAATAAATGAATGAATGAATGATATCAGTCAGAGTAGGGAAGGGAAAAGAGGCTTCAAGAATGACTCAGCTTTCGTGGACTCAGCAACTGAGTGGCTGGTGGTTTTGTTTTCTAAAATTGGGAAAGACTAGGGAGTGTGTGTGTTGGTGGGGGGCAGAAATCAGTTTGGGCATATTAGGTTTTGGGTGCCTATTGGCACCCCATAAGCATGTCAGGTAGGCAGCTGATTTGGAGCCTAAACCTCAAAGGAGAGGTCAGTCAGAGCTGACGAGAACAGATTGGAAGTCATCAGCATATAGATGGCATTTAAAGCCCCTGGACTAGGTGAGATTACCAAGGAAGTGAAGGTAGAGAGAGAAGAGAAGAGGCCCAAAGTAGGGGATTCCAATATTTAGATATCAGGTTGAAGAAAAGAGTAGTCAAAAAAGATAAGAGGAATACTGGGAGAGTCAGGTGTCACAGAAGCCAAGTTCCAAAAAAAGACATTTAAAGGAGAAGGAAGTAGTGAGCAGTCCAGTGCTCCTGAGAGGTAGGGTCAGATGAGAACAGAGAATTGACCATGAGATTTCGCAAATTGGAGAATACTAGCAACCTGGATAAGAACAATTTCAATGGTTGAGGGAAACAGAAGTGTAATTGAAGAGGATTGAGGAAAAAAGACAAATGGGAGCCTAGATAATTCCTTAATAAGTTGTTGTGAAAAGAGGAGAAGAAAAACGGGGTGCTAGCCCAGCTACTCCCTCACTCTTCCACCACCTCATAGGGAGAGACTGGAGAACACAGCCAGAGTGAGAACATTCAGTAGAAGTGGTGCTTCCTTTTTAAGTTCTGGACACTGTATTTCATTATCTATAACCGCATCTCTGTACATGGACACCTGAAATCCTTAGGGAGTGCCCGCCAACCCCATGATGTTGGCCTTACCTGGAAACTTAGCCACTGTTTTCCACACTTGCCTTTCTTTCAGGCACCTGCTGATTCCAGTTTCAGCCAGGGCACAGTGCCCAACATTGCTGACCAAGTCTTGCTCTATTTCTCCTTCTCACCTGGCCTCTTCCATCTTGGCCTCTGGATGCATTCTCTCCCTCTCATGACTCATTTCTGCATTCATCACTAGCCTCTTCTCTGCCTGGGCTTCTGCCAGCGGCCCTAGAGCAACCTATGGTATTCCACAGGGACCCACTACTGGCGTCTGGACACCAGCCGGGATGGCTGGCATAGCTGGCCCATTGCTCATCAGTGGCCCCAGGGTCCTTCAGCAGTGGATGCTGCCTTTTCCTGGGAAGAAAAACTCTATCTGGTCCAGGTGTGTATTGGGGGAGAGGCTTGAGGTAGAGACTGGGACAAGCATATCCAACTCTGTATTTATTACCATCCTTTGTCCTCCAGGGCACCCAGGTATATGTCTTCCTGACAAAGGGAGGCTATACCCTAGTAAGCGGTTATCCGAAGCGGCTGGAGAAGGAAGTCGGGACCCCTCATGGGATTATCCTGGACTCTGTGGATGCGGCCTTTATCTGCCCTGGGTCTTCTCGGCTCCATATCATGGCAGGTGAGGGGCTTCTGGGTGCTTAGAGGGCAGCTTGTTCTGCTACCTGTCTGTGGCATAGATCCCCACCAGGGCATGAGAAGGCCTAGGTCAGGATCCCCAGGGCATGAGAAGGCCTAGGTCAGGATCCCCATGACATGGAAGCCATGCTATGTTTGGTGCCTTCTCCCCAGGACGGCGGCTGTGGTGGCTGGACCTGAAGTCAGGAGCCCAAGCCACGTGGACAGAGCTTCCTTGGCCCCATGAGAAGGTAGACGGAGCCTTGTGTATGGAAAAGTCCCTTGGCCCTAACTCATGTTCCGCCAATGGTCCCGGCTTGTACCTCATCCATGGTCCCAATTTGTACTGCTACAGTGATGTGGAGAAACTGAATGCAGCCAAGGCCCTTCCGCAACCCCAGAATGTGACCAGTCTCCTGGGCTGCACTCACTGAGGGGCCTTCTGACATGAGTCTGGCCTGGCCCCACCTCCTAGTTCCTCATAATAAAGACAGATTGCTTCTTCGCTTCTCACTGAGGGGCCTTCTGACATGAGTCTGGCCTGGCCCCACCTCCCCAGTTTCTCATAATAAAGACAGATTGCTTCTTCACTTGAATCAAGGGACCTTGGTCGTGAAACAATCTTCTTTCTTTGAGTTGAAAAGTTAGCACTTCTCCTTTGAGGGTGTCGAGCTCAAACAAGGCTGTGAGAAACAAGGGAGGGGAGCACTAAGGGGCAAACCTATCTCTGCGCAGATGATTCTTAGGTCCAGATCATAAACTAGCTCTTTGCAGACTATCTACACATAGTGGGGGGAAAGAGAACCAGAGTCGGAAGAGGAACAGCTGAGTTTATACAGCAAGTAAGAGGTGGAGCTAGGACTCTGATTCAACTTGCTGGTAGATGGCCACAACCCAGCCGCAAGGCATCAGAAACAACAGGGCCTGGGGCAACTATGCATGTGCAAAGAGGATTGGCTCAGAGTTGTGGGGTAGGAGGTCCAATCTGGGGGACCTCAAATTATGGTTCTGGGTGATTCAAGTAACACCACTCATGGCTTGTGTTGCCATGAGTTAGGCATGACAAGTGGAATGAAGTTGAAGTGGGGAAACAGAAATACACCAGCTGTGTGTCAGAGGCAAGCTGGAGAGAGAGAAGAAAGAATGAATGGCACCATGGAGCACATTTGCAGAACACAGTCCCTGGGAGTCTTGCTGGAGCCTCAGGAGCTTTGCTGGCACAGAGGATCTGGCCTACCCAATTAGCCTCCTGGGTATCTGCACCATCTAGACCAGCAAATGTCACTGGCAAGGAGGTTGCAGTGCTTGGTTATTTTCTGGTCATAAACTGGTGAAGGCTTTGGGTTCCAAATTTGCTGACAGCTGTTTAACTGGGAATTGGGCCTAGACTATAGGTAGCTATGTCTCAGACAAGGCCCTGTTCCTCCACTGCCTTTACAACCCAGCTGAGGTTGGAGGCTGGCTTGTTTCAGCCTCAAAAAATAGCCTGAGTTTCCAGCAGAGGGCCCTTATTCTGAGCTTCCGTGTCCTAGCCTCATTTTCCTTTCCTGTAAAATAGACACAATGCCACCCACCTTCCAGTGACAATGAATATAGACTCAAACCCATCCCTTGAACTGTCTTGGGAAGGGGCTCTGGACGTAGACCCAGACTGTGGCTCATGGCCTCATGTGATCTGGAGTCAGCCCCTCCCAACCTGTCAGCCATTTGCTCCGTAGGACTTTGATGGGTAGAGTAGTAGCTAACAAGCTCTGACTGTCACACAAGGCTTTGTACTGGGAGGCCAGGCTATAGAGTGGCTCCAGCTTAAAGGGCTGGGAGCTGGGGGACAGTGTCTCAGATTAGGGTCTAACTAGGAAGTTGACTGGAGCTGAGAACAGAGGTTAGGGGCCAAGCAGCAGGGTTGTGGGTCTACTCCTTAGGAGCACCTTGAGCTTTACTTTTCATTCCTAATGGTGTCTTGGATGGCTACCCTCACGGGGTTGGCTGCTAGTCTAAGGGGTGGAGACAAGGACAGAGTTTCAGGTCTGGTCCTTATCAAGTTCATGCACTACACTTGGGACCACTGCTGCATCATGCCAGGGAGCCTAGAGGTGTCTAAACAGTTATCCAACAACTGTGATACCCAAGGTTAACTTTCTCTTGTTTTCGGAGGCAGGGAGTACTAAGTCTCCCCTTTCTCCTTTCCTCCCACGTGTTCTCTTGCAGGGAATCCTCTAGCTTGTCTCCAGGGAACTCCCAGAAATGGTTTGTTTCAGTCAGTTTAGGCTGCTATAAGAGAATATCTTAGAGTGGGTAATCTATCAGCAATAGGAATTTATTGTTCACAATTCTGGAGGCTGGAAAGTCCAAGATCAAGGCTCCAGCAGATTCAGTGTCTGCTGAGTGCTTCTTCTGCTTCGAAGATGGCACCTTTTTGCTGTGTTCTCACATGGTGAAAAAGGGACAAGCAGCTCCCTTTGGGCTCTTTTATAAGGACACTAATCCCTTCCATGAGGTTGAAACCCATGTGACTTAATCACTTCCAAAAGTCTCCCCCTCCTAATGCTATCACATTAGTGACATTTGGTTCCAACATATGAATTTGGGGGAGATGCCAATATTCAGACCATAAAAAGGTCCAACTTATACTTCTTTCATTCATTCACTTAGCATCACCTATGTGCAGAGCAGCTTGCCATTCTACCCTCAAGAATCTGCCGCTCTATCACAGTCAGGAGGGGAACACAGAAAAAGCATCAAGTAAATGCAATACAGTGAGATAGATACTAAGATGGAAGACTCAATATACAAAGGACAGTGGAGCCAGCAATACTTAGGATGAAGAAGGGGTTAGGAAAGGCTTCATATATAATAAACACTTAGTTCAATTTTTAAAGATGAGTAAAATTTATGCAATTCCTTTAGTAAATATATATTCACTGCCAACTATGCATTACCATCCCAGGGAGCATTATGAGCAGAGGAAAGGAGAGAAGGGACAACAAGGGGTGCAAACTGCAACCAGCCCCACAGGGCTGGAGTACAGGGGATGTGTGAGGGGCTGGTGAGATGAGACTGGAGAGGGAGGCAGGAACATACCAGTTCACAGGAGGCCTTCCATGGCAGTCTAGGAAGCATGGATATTGTCTATTTTGGGAGCAATAGAGACCTACTGAGGGATTTTAGACAGGAAGAAAGTGAGGTGATGAGATTTACATTTGAGAAAGATTTCTCTGATTGCTGCAGAGTGGATACCAGGTGAAAGAAAACCCCAGCAGATGTGGGCAGACCATTGTGGAGGTTGATGCTGTGGCTAATCTGGTAGATCATGGCACCTGGACACATGGCAATGGTGGAGTAGTGGGCTGATAAAAAATATTTAGAAGACACAGTCTATAGGACTTGCTGATGGATTGGATCTGAAGGTGAGAGAAAGAGGAATCTCACTTCCAAACTGCGCTATGGCCCCTTTTCCTGGTTCGTCATCCTGCTTCTTCTTCCTTGATTTTCCATGGTACCTTTTCAGAGTCATACTCCATGGCTAACAAGCTTCCCTATGTCTTTTACATGTACAAACATGTACACGTACATCGTTTACATGTACAAACATCTCTATGTCTTTACCTCCAGCCTTGAGAACAGGCTCTACCCCAGGGCCCCTCTTTCTTCCCCTGTAGCTTCCCCAGTGGATGGGAAGCTGTATCAGCACATCTGCACCATTTTCCCCCTTTTCATGCTGTTAAATTCCTTCTCCTTCAGCATCATGGATGTAAGCCATATCATTCTCCCTACTATTCCAATGGCCATCATCTACCAGCCTCCTATGTTCTCTCAGTTGCTGAAGGCTTTGCAGACTGATGTCCCCACACCAGCTACCCAATTACTATGGCCAAACTTTAACCCTATTCATCACTCACAATTGCTCCACCTGTTGAAGAAATTCCTTAAATTCCAGTATCTCTCTTGTGAGTGCAGGCCCTTATCCTTCTGCCTCCCTCACTTCACTCCCACATTCCTGCTCTTTGACTTTGTTACTGTCACAGTCTTCCATTCCCTGAAAGCTATTTTTCTCCCACCCAAATTAAACATCAACATTGATTATCTGGGCCAAGTGCAGTGGCTTATGCCTAAATCCCAGTGCTTTGGGAGGCCAAATTGGGAGGATCACTTGAGGCCAGGAGTTCGAGACCAGCCTGGGAAACAAAGCAAGACTCTGGTCTCTACAAACAATAAAAATAATTAGCAGGGTGTTGTGGCATGTGCCTGTAGTCCCAGCTACTTAGGAGGCTGAGGCAGGAGGATCACTTGAACCCAAAAGTTTGAGGCCACAGTGAGCTATGATTGCATCACTGCATTCTAGCCCGGGTGACAAAGGAAAACTGTCTCTATTTTTTTAAAAAATAATTATTTGAACAACTTTCTTGACAATACTTTTATTTCTTTTCCCCCTTTAACCTCTATTTCATCTAGCTATTAAAAAAAAAAAAAGAAATCAACAACAAAAACCAACTGTAGGTCAGAGAAAGTTTGAGAACTTTAAAATCAGACATGTCTGAGCTCCAATCCCAGGCAAGCCACTTTCTGCTTAGATGTGAGAAATTTAACCTCTCAGCTTCTTATGTGTGTGGATATATATGATATGCAAATAAGAATGTGTGTTGTATCAATCAGTGTTCAATAAGAATACAGAAACCACTCTAGATATCCAAGTAGAGAAAGATTTAATGCAAGGAGTTTGTTACAAAGTTGCAAGAAGGTTTGGAGACACATAACCAGGGAAAGCAGTTACCCAAAAATCGGGAAGCTACTACTAATCTGGATTTAGAGGAACAAATAGGAGGAAAGTTATCACCCAAAGATCAAGAAGCTGGAGCCCATGAATCTGCACTAGCTACTGATGCTATTGGGGTTTGTATTGCTGATGCTATGCAACCACCTCCACTTTCACTAGACAGGAACCACTGCTGCTGATGGTGCCAGAGGCACTGCCAGAAACAAAAGGGCTTTTTCCTTTCTCTTCCCTTCAGACCTAATTGGAGCCAAGCTGACAAGGGAGTCTGAGAAATGTGGTTTTCAGATTTCCAGCCCTGGCGGTGCAGAGAAGATATAGAAAAGTAGATGTGGGAATGAGCACCAATAGACAATATCTGCTACGTGTATTCACATGCATTGTAACTCTTGGTTGCATGTAATAAAACCCAACTTAGGCTGGCACAGTGGCTCATGCCTGTAATCCCTGCACTTTGGGAGGCCGAGGCGGGTGTATCACTTGACGTCAGGAGTTTGAGACCAGCCTGGCCAACACGATGAAACCTGTCTCTACTAAAAATACAAAAAACTAGCCAGGTGTGGTGGCAGGCATCTGTAATCCCAGCTACTTGGGAGACTGAGGCAGGAGAATCAGTTGAACCTGGGAGGCAGAGTTTGCAGTGAGCCTAGATCGCACCACTGTACTCCAGCCTGGGCGACGGAGCAAGATGATGTGGGGAAAAAAAAAAAAAATTCCAACTTACAGTGATGTAAGCAAAAAGGGAATTTATTGATTTAAAGAGCTAAAAAAATCTATGGGCAGATTTCAACTTCATGGAAAAGGTAAATCTACAGGTTAATTTGATATTGTTAGGCACCTATCTCCATCCCTTGCTTTGCTTTCTTTGAGTTAGCGTCATTCTTAGGAAGGTTCATCCTTCCTTGTGGCACCTTGTCCCTCAGGCTTATGTTCTATCAGCACCTCTTGCCCAATAGTTCCAGGAAAATTCCTGGATCTGATTTTTCACTGGCTCAAATTTTGTCATGTGCCTACCTCTGAATTGATCACTTTAACTTAGATAGGCCAATCCTGGGTTAGGAACGTACCACTGAAGTGGGTTGTGGGACTATGATGATTCCCATCTGAACCACATGGACAAAGAGTGGGGAGAGGATGGGTCTCCAAAGAAAACAGATGTGCTATTACCAATAAAAGGGGGAAGGGTTACTGGGCAGATAATAATGGCAACAACAGATGTTCATGATGGGATAATACTTATCTTGTGAAGGTTTTCTTGTTCCCCATCCAACCCTCCTTCTCTTCCTCAGCTAAAGAGTTTAAAAGTATTGATATTGGCCAGGTGTGGTGGCTCATTCCTGTAATCCCAGCACTTTGGGAGGCCAGATCACTTTGGTGGGCAGATCACGAGTTCAGCAGTTCGAGACCAGCCTGGCCAACATGGTGAAACCCCGTCTCCACTAAAAATACAAAAATTAGCCAGGCATGATGGCAGGTGCCTTTAATCCCAGCTACTCAGGAGGCTGAGGCAGGAGAATCATTTGAACCTGGGAGGCAGAGGTTGCAGTGAGCCAAGACCGCACCACTGCACTCCAGCCTGGGCAACAGAGCAAGACTCCATCTCAAAAAAAAAAAATTGATATCACTAGGTATTAAATACCTCAACCTCTGCACTACTCCCACCTTTTGCCCTACATGCACCCCTCTCCTCACCCCTCTCCCTTCAGTCTGTAAAGGTAAGGTGTCCAATTTTCCTACGTGAGCCTTTGATCCAACCCTCTCTCATCATCTCCAGGATCTCCTGATCTCTCATCTTTTTTCTTTTTTTTCAAATTCATCATATCTACTGATATCTTTTAGTAGTTTACACCCAATGTTCAAGTCTCTACCATCTTTTTATTAAAAAGGCAAAACAGAATATTTTCTTTTACCTGATTCATTTTACCAGAGAATTTCATTTTATTTTTCAATTTCCTTTTTTATTATTAATACTGTTTTTGATTGGAAATCACAATATACGTTTATGGGGTACAATGTGATGTTTTGATATACGTATGCAATGTGGAAAGATTAATTAAGCTAATTAACATATCCCTCACCTCCCCTACCTATAATTTTTTATGGTGAGACATTTGAAATTTATTCTCTTTATTTTGAAATATACAATACATTGCTATTGACTTTAGCCTTTTTGCTATTCAATAGATCTCGAAACTTATTCCTCCTGTCTACCTGGAACACTGTACCCTTTGATCAACAACTCCCCATTCCCTTCCATCCCTGCCCCTCCCATACCCCCATGCCTCTGGCAACCACCATTCTGCTGTCTACTTCTGTGAGCTCAGCTTTATTAGATTCCACATATAAATGAGATCATGTAGCATTTGTCTTTCTGTGTCTAGATTATTTCATTTAACATAGGGTCCTCCAGGTTCATCCATGTTGTCACAAATACAGGATATCTCCACTTTTAAAGGATGAAATACTATTCCATTGTGTCTATAACCACATTTTTTTTATCCATTCATCCATTGATGGACACTTAAGTTGATTCCATGTCTTGGATATTGTAAATAATGCTACAATAAACATGAGCATGTAGCTATCCCTTCAACATACTGATTTCAGTTCCTTTGGATATATACCCACCAGTGGGATTGCTGGATCACATAGTAGCTCTATTTTTAGTTTTTTGGGGCACCTCCATACTGCAAAAACTGAATCTTTTTTTGTTTCAAGGATTCACGTAGGAGAATCTCACATACCTTTGCAGCTACTGTCTATTCTTTCTTCCAAATTTCTCAAAAGGGGGCTCTGCACTTATTTGTTCTACTTCTTCATTTTCCATTTGCTCAATTCATTGCATTGTGGCTTCTGCCTTCATTTTCTGCTAATACAGATCAAATCATGGGGATCCATAACCTCCATGTTGCCAAATTCAAAGGATACGTTTTTTTTTTTTTTTTTTTTGCCTTGACCTTATTGGAAATCTTTTCTGCATTTGATGTTGTTGACCACTTCTTCCCCCTTGAAAGTCTTTCCTCTCTTGGATTTCTTCCATGACATTACTCTCTCCTGATCCTTCTCTTACCCTTCTGCTAATTCTCAGCTTTCTTCTTGACTGTCTTTTTCTGTGCTGGCTCCTAAACACTGGCATTCCAGAGTTCAGTTCTCAGTCCTTTTCTCTTCTCACTCTATACTCTTCTAGGTAGTTGTTGGAATAGTCCTGTTGAACCAGGCTTGGTTGCTCACCCCTGT